>NC_000015.10:34488995-34792025 GCF_000001405.40 Homo sapiens | reverse complement strand
AAATCTAGAAGGCTCAAGAAGCCCTTGAGTTAAAAGAAGTCATAGTTTGGATTCCCACACAGCTCAACCTCAAGTCCTGATGGCTCATTAAAGGGGAAGTCTATGTTCTGCTCTAGTGATATAATAAAGGATGACACACTGAGTTCATCTCAAAATAAAGGATGACACAGAGTAGTAACTGAATAGCACGTATCTGCAGGAAAAGGGCTAGTTCACAAGAGCTGACTTATTCCCGTAAGTTTCACTACCAAGTAGCTGGACTTTCCAAGTTCCTCATCATTAAATGCAATAACATTCCTACTCATATTAATAACTGGGCACTTATATGTCAACAAATATCCTTCCTAAGCAATGCTTTCCATAAGGAACTTTGTCAGGATCTGATTTAAGTCCATAAACAAAAATTACATTCATTTTAGTTTAAACGTGTATCTTTTCCTTTTCCAATACATCTTCATACATCTGAGAGTTTCAGGAGGTGTTTACTTGAAACAGGTGCTAAGCACAGTTGCTCCTTTCTTGGCATTGTATTGTGGATTAACTGTGAGGCACCCATTCCACCCTGCAGTGTGTCTTATAGGGGAACATATGTTTCAGAGACAAATGGTGACAGCTCCCCCACACAAAGAAGTTCTGTTCTCTTCCCTCTACCTTGACCTGAATGCACTGTGATGTGTGTGTGTGTGTGTGTGTGTGTGTGTGTGTGTGTGTGTGTGTGACTCGTTCCCAGGTATGGAATCTGCTGGCATCCATGAAACAACTTACAATAGCATCATGAAGTGTGACATTGATATCCGCAAGGACCTGTATGCCAACAATGTCTTATCTGGAGGCACCACTATGTACCCTGGTATTGCTGATCGTATGCAGAAGGAAATCACTGCTCTGGCTCCTAGCACCATGAAGATTAAGGTAAAGAACTTTTGTGAGTGGGAGATCCGAGGCAAGTCTTGGTATTCTAAGCAGAACTACGTTCCAAATTCCTTTTCCCTCATACTCAGTTTCTTGTCTCCTACAAACTTTACCTGTTAGCTTTTCTACCACTTTTTCTGATTTTCTTAGCACTTTTCCCAAGATAGGTAACTTCCAAAATGCTTTTAAGCAGTGAATAAAAATAAATCTTTGACAAAAAAAAGACACACACACACGCAACAAAATCTTTGAATACATTTTTAAAGCTCCCAACTTTTGGGCTAGGCTCCACTACACATTTAGCTTGTTGCCAAATTACACTCTAGGTAAGTGGAGAAATTCCATTTTAATAATAGAATATATCTTTAATAATATAAATGATGAAATAGAGGTGAGTTCATATAACTTGATTGGCCACATTATTTCGTGGTATGACATATCCCACATTATAGCGAATTAATATCTAATGGTTTTTTTCTGTGAATCCTCCCAATGTGTTATTTGCTCCCTTGCTTGGAACTTCAGAGTTCACTGGAAGTTTTTGTTTTCTTTCTGCAGATTATTGCTCCCCCTGAGCGTAAATACTCTGTCTGGATTGGGGGCTCCATCCTGGCCTCTCTGTCCACCTTCCAGCAAATGTGGATTAGCAAGCAAGAGTACGATGAGGCAGGCCCATCCATTGTCCACCGCAAATGCTTCTAAGATGCCTTCTCTCTCCATCTACCTTCCAGTCAGGATGACGGTATTATGCTTCTTGGAGTCTTCCAAACCACCTTCCCTCATCTTTCATCAATCATTGTACAGTTTGTTTACACACGTGCAATTTGTTTGTGCTTCTAATATTTATTGCTTTATAAATAAACCAGACCAGGACTTGCAACCTATAAAAGCCTCTCGTTTGTTTTTGGGGTAGGCGTGGGGTGGGGCAGGTGTTTGCTTTGACACCCTGAGCATTGTCAAAGTTCAGTACCACAAGGTTCATCCAGATGAATTAATATGACAGTTAGCTGGGAGTTATAATGCTAACTTTTGATTTCATATTTTGAGACAGAATCATGAATATATTTCATACCTGAAAAGCAGATTAAGGTTTAGTTCCATATAAGTAAGAAATGAAATTGAATAAGATAGTTCTCTAGAATTAGTTGCTGCAGATGACACTGAAGATTATTTTAACATATGTTCCAGTTGTTTTTGTAACCTTGCAGAAAATACACATATATTGATAATGAGAAAGTCAAAGATTATTTTAAATGAATTGGCTTAACTTTTCAATTCTTTGAACTCTTCAATTTTCTTCCTGGGGGCTATGAAAGAAACATGAAGGTTAGCTGACAGTTGGGCCAGCCACATCCCATTGCAAATACCCTCTAAACATATCAAGACCATTGTGTGTGTGCAAAACAAATGTGAGGAAGCAGGAGCCAAACACTTCTGCCTGATCAGTGACTAACTTGCGAGACAGAAGCCTTCAATCTCTTCGTTTCTTTGAAATCTTGAGATCTTGGGTTGAGTGAACTGAAGGCTGCGAGGTCCTGAGGGAGCAAGGGGAGGCGAGAGCCACAGTGTTTGCTTTGCTCTGTGCAGAGCTCTCTGCAAAGTATGGTGGGAAGGCTGCTAGGGGCAGCGTTGAAAAGAATTGAATGTGTTCCATCCTCGAGGAGTTCACACACCTACACATAATCCCCCAGTGCGTGTGGCCTGGAGGCTTTAAGGAGATGTATGTGGGTCTGGGTCTTAGAGAATGGTCAGGAATTAGGGAGGTGAGAAGAGCAGAGAGGACATCTCAGCAGAAGGAAGTGTGGCAGAAGCCAGGATACAAGACATGGGGCAGGCTGGTAGGTGCTGATGAATTTTAGAAAATCCACTGGGAAAGGTAGATTTCAACTAGATTGCAGAAGCCTTACAGATTTTTGTTTTCAAATTAATTGCCAGTGAACTGTTAGCATTCACAGAAGTGTTTGAATAGACTTAATTGAATTTTATTGATGAGGATTCAAGACACAGAGATTAAGCAACTGGTGCAATGTTATAAACTTTATTTGTGGAATGTGCTAGACAGGAACTCAGATTTTCTGACACCTACTCTGATGGTGTCTCTAAAATAATCTTTCTAACTTTATAGTTTATCAAGGGTAACCCCATTCTATCACATGCCTTTTGAGAATTTGGGTTCAATATTTGGAGTACTCTGGACTCATCAGACATCTTTAATAAATTGTAATACATTGCCACTGTCATTCAAGGTCCTATGTGTGTCTTTTTGCCTATTCATACCAAAAATATCTTTTGATCCCTGACTCTGGGTCGGGCATAGTATTAAGGGCAGGGGACACAAAGATGTATGAGAGCACATTTTCTGTGAATAAAAAGCTCAGAGTTTAGAGTTCTGTATGTAGCATATTCAAATGGAAGGCCTTCTATGCAATAAAGGCTAAATAATACATCAACTTGGTGGCATTTTATTTAGATAAGGTGCAAACATTATTGTACATATGCCCCCCGCCCCCACCACCCCATTGTATCCTATAGCACAGTTGAACTGGTTTAAAAGCCATGCATGGGGAGGTATGATTTCACTAGTTTTTGTGTCTCTTTCTTTTCCTCTGTACAATTGAGTGCATAAATATTATGAATTGTATCCTCTGAACACAGTATTAATGCTTTAACTGTAGATGATTGGCTGGGGTATCACCTCTGGTTCTTTCCATCTGTGATTAGAAATGGAGAGGACATTTTTATTTCTATGTAAAAGTAGAAGCTTTAAGAATCAGCTTCTGATATTTATATCAGAAGAGGTAAGCACCCAGATTCTTGTTGAATTCTGAGGTCTTCTCATCTTTGCTTGATTATAGGGTATAAAGTATTAGAACAATTGAATCTTAAAAATTGTGCTTAAGGAAGGTACTAAGACAAAAATGTTTGCTTAAGGTAATCTTCATATGTATACAATAACTGAGACATGGATAGTGCCTACGTCTTTGGTTAAAGTGCAATAAACAAAGAACTATATAAATTATATTTCTTCTTAATTTATAATAAAGTATTGTTTGTAGTTTCTAATACCTCCAAACACCACTTCTTCATTTATTTTGACCAAACAATGGCCATTATGTAGATGTGTTTAAATATTTAGGAGAGTACAGTGGAGAGAAAAGAAATATTACTGAAGAAAATAAAATATTTAGAGGGGTAGGGCTGACTTATTGTATCCAGAGATACAATGTGAACAATGTGACTGGGTCTCCACCTTTCCTTCCAGTTCTCCCATAGAATTTATTACAGTCTGAATTGTGTTTCCTCAAAACTCATATGAAGCCCTATCTCCCAATATGACTGTATTTGCAGACAAGACCTTTAAGGAAGTAATGAAGGTTAAATGAAGTCATAAGTGTGAGGCCCTAATCCAATAAGACTGGTGTTCTTCTAAGAGGGAGAAGAGACACCAGGAGTACAAGCACAGAGGAAAAGCCATGTGAGGGCAGAGCCAGAAGGCGACCCATCTGTAAGCTGAGGAAAGAAGCCTGCTGACACCTTGATCTTAGACATCCAGCCTCCAGAACTGTGAGAAGTAAATGTCTGTTGTTTAAGCCACTGATATGGTTTGGCTGTGTCCTCACCCAAATCTCATCTTGAATTGTAGTTCCCATAATCCCCACATGTCGTGGAGGGACCCAGTGAGAGGTAATTGAATCATGGGGGCGGTTACCCTCATGCTGTTCTCATGATTGATAATGAGTGAGTGCTCATGAGATCTGATAGCTTCATAAGGGGCTTTTCCCCGCTTTTCTTGGCACTTCTCCTTCCGGCCACCATGTGGAGAAGGACATGTTTGCTTCCACTTCCACCACGATTGTAAGTTTCCTGAGGCCTCCCCAGCCGTGCTGAACTGTGAGTCAATTAAACCTCTTTCCTTTATAAATTGCCCAGTCTCAGGTATGTCTTTATTAGCAGCATGAAAACAGACTAATACAGCCACCCAAGTCTATGGTATTCTGTTATGGCAGCCTTGGCAGACTAATATAGGATTTCTCCACCATCCTATAGGTAATATAGGATTTACCAACTTAGCAGCCTCTGAGACAAAAGAATACCTTCCCATATAGTACTGGCAGAAGTCCCAGGAAAGTGTCTGAGCCTGGTCAGGCTTAGGAACCAAGTCATACCATTCTTACTGCAGGGGCTGAGCAATACTATTTAGCAGGGGAGAGGTGATTCTCCAAAGGAAGAGGACAAAATAGTGCAAACACCATACCCAGTGAGCTAGAGGAGGAAAAAATTCTGGTGGCTTGTAGGGGAAGAATTGATTGTTGGATGGCTCCCACCTTCCAGCTCAGGAGTTTTGATTTGACAGGTCCTGAGAAGGACTTGAGAAGAGCAATGACTTCATGCAAACAAATCTAGGCAGCAAGACAGAGAGCCTTTGGATAATATATTCCAGTATGGCCTCAGGACCCAGGGACCCAGTGATCTCTATATGATCAGACTATCTGGATTTTTAAAAGGAAATAATAAGTCAGATTCATTTTATGGTTAATATGATATAAATGCTATAAATATATACCAGGAACTAATAGGGAGGGAAAAAATATAGGTCTTTTAGGCCTAAAACAGCAAAAGTTGTCTATTCACCTTAAGGTCTTCCAGGCTCATTATACAAGAAATCTCTCTTCCAGGCAGAGCTTCTCTGGCTGTTGCTATGGTAACTAAACTCATGGTAGGAAGACATCCAAAACAAAGCTCCTGGAGAGGTTGCAAAAGTACACCTCTGGTCACTGATGAACTTGATGTTTGAAGACGTTCTTTGAAGTTCATTCATTAGCCCTGGGTGCAGCAGATGCAAGAAAGGTTGACTCGGAGGATAAAGAGCTTCAGTTCAACTATAGTTCTCTGAGTTCTTGTGGTTCTGGGCCCCCTCCCCTCCCTGGTTGAGGCTGGAAGTGAAGGGGAGCTGGGTCAGCTGAGAGTTAAGTAGGGGTGGCCTGCATGTCCTTCAGCATCATTGTCTGCTTATTTTCCTGCATTGTTTTACTGTAACTTCCATGGAAGTCATGACTAAAGAGGGGAGACAGAAAGAAAACTACCCCAAGGGAAGGCTGAAGTAAAGCAGAATTAAAACAGGGCTTAAATAGTAGATAAGAAGCAAACTCTAGAGTCAATTGTAAGCAAGGAATTGGGTCAACAGGGTAAGCGTTTAACACAGGAAGATGACTTGGGGAACTTTGGAACTATTACTGCAAGTGGCCTGGAGGCATCATGGAGGTCAGGATATGAAAAAACAGGCATCATGTAGGAAGTTTAAGAGCAGCTCTGCCTTAGGCGAAATAGTGAAATTTTCCTAAAGCCTCTTGAACTCTAGGATGTACACTTTAGTCGTCTTTTCCAGTGTCTTCCACAAAATGCTGGCCATCTCGGACATTCTCCCTGTCACTCCAGTCACAGATTGAAACTTACCTGTTGTATTAGTCCATTCTCACATTGTTAAAAAGAAATACCTGAGACTGGGTATTTTATAAAGAAAAGATACTTGATTGGCTCATGGTTCTGCAGGCTGTAAAAGAAGCATAGTAGCTTCTGCTTCTGAGGAGGCCTCAGGAAGCTTCCAATCATGACAGAAGGCAAAGGGGGAGTGAGGCATCTCACATGGTGGGAGCAGGAGCTAGGGGCAGGGAGATGCCACACACTTTTAAATGACTAGATCTCATGAGAACTCAGTCACTAACGTGAGGACAGTACCAAGGGGATGGTGCCAAACCATTCATGAGAAATTCACCTCCATGATCAAATCACCTCCCACCAGGCCCTCCAACATTAGGGATTACAATTCAACATAAGATTTGGTGGGGACACAGATTCAAACCTTATCATCCATCTTTTACCTGCATCCTTCAAAGAGCAGACTGTGCCAATTAAGCAATCTCTTACCTAAACTATGTTCCCAAGGGAACGCTCGAACAGATCTCCCTGCCAGAGAACACAAGCATAATTTAACCAAAGTTTTCTACATATAGTTTCTTATTAGACTAGCCCAAAGGATTGATGTTGCATGGGCTTCGGGTCAAAAAGATTTGAGTTTAAATCCTAGCTCTGCCACTGATGAGTTGAGTGGTCTTTAAGTAAATCACCTAGCTTCTTCAGGAAAGAAGGGCTAACTAAAATCGTGTTCTCAGAGTTGTCATGAGAATGGAACAAAATGTGCTTAAGATACTCAGCACCATGCCCAGTATGAGCTGAATTATTCAATTAAGTTTACTTTCCTTCCGTCCCCATTTCTTTCTTTTTAGCATGAACTTTGGAGGCTGGGTTGGGAGGTGTTGGAGAGGGGCAGAGGTGGGCTACGGAAGTCTCTTCAAATCACATTGTTATGGTTTCTCTACATTGAGTTTCTCTTGAGAATAGGAAAAATGAATAGGAAAAATGAAGGAATAGAAAGCTCAGTGGGAAGAAAAAAATTAAAGGGCATTTATAACAGGATGTAAAGGAAGGCAAAGAGGAACACAAAGTCTCTTTCTTGGAGACCTGGAAGACAAATTACAGAGAGTCGTGGTGTGGGCAGGAGGAGCAGCAGCTATGTGTGTGCATGTGAGTGTGTGCTCCCACACATAATACAGGTGAGAACAATCAACAGAGGGTTGGACTGATGGCCATGTGAAAAGGATCTGCCTGCTGTTTTTCTGTGCTCTTCAACTCCCACTATTCTCCCCATGCCCTTCTCACCCACATTTGAGAGCCTGGCCTTTCCTCTCTTCCCTTTGTATATATGGAATCAGCATAGATGGACAAATATTCCATCTATTGTCTAAATAAGTTGACATGAGAGAATTTGACTCCACAAGCCAAGACTTCCAACTAACTCCTTTTCCTGCCAGCTGGATCTGTACAGGAGCAGGCACTTAGGGAGAAACACTGTCCCTACTCCTACTCCCACTCAACTTCCTGGCTTTGTGCCATGCCTCTGCCTCATGGAATTTCTTTTGTGTTTTTAGGGATTTGGGCTTCATGTTCTTTGGCTCTAGATCCTGGTCAATGCTCTTAGTCTCAAGGAACAGAACTCTCCTCAAACTAGGGAGTTAAGTTAGGAAGGGAGTTTATTAAAGAGATATAGAGGAACTCCTAAAATCTGAAGATATAAAGTAGACTTAGACTTCATAGCAAATGGGAATTTAGAACTGCAAAACCATCAGGAACAGCAGGCATTCTGCATTCTCTATCTCTTCAGTTCCCCCTTATAAATGAACTGTACCCATCTCTCCTACACAGATTTACTCATGTAACTCCTCCTGAAGGAATGGCCCTAGGCAGACAAGTTTGTTTCATGCATGGCCCCAGGTCTAATGGAACCAGAGGGGAATATGTCTGGCATGAGGACTTGTATATCTAAGGACCAGCAACCAATCAGACATTTTTTCCTCTCTTTAGCTGGAACTAAGAAGCACAGGTGGTGCTGTTAGTTGTTTGTGGTCTCTGGAACTGACACATAGCAGATGGTGGCCAAGATGGGTTGAGAAAGCAAAGAAGGCAAAAAGTTGCCAAGAGAAATAAGAATATGGAGCTGCTACAGCTCAGGGAAAAAAAACATGAGTGCCTGAACACACCTCTTGGGTAAGGGTTGTGTGTGCGTGTGATGTTTTTCTTGTATTATGCAAGCGTTTTGGTGGAACACCACCCACTATATATTATATCTGTTTTCCTTTAACTCTGGGAAGTATTAGAAACATATTTAAACTAAAATTTGAATTGAGAACAGCCTATGTGATCACACCTACTGGAGGATCTGCATTACTCTTCAAATGAATGAAATGACTAGGTAGAATTTTAGACATCTTCAAACAAGTGGGAAGGATTAGGGTACAGTGGGTAAGGGCTGTCATCTAAAAGACCACCAGGAATGGCTACATAGTAGAAAGGAGAGCTTTATTGTAGATGTCAGTTTGCAAACCAGGAAGAAATAGTCTCCAGTCTGGACCAAAGGTACTCTGTCTTCGAGGAAGGAAAGGGCAGGTTGGGTTTTATGACTCACACAGTCCATATTACACAACCATGTCATACATATTTAGCAGGTGTGCGGGGAAGCTGTCCATATTTATGAAGGATCCAAGATATGCACAATAGGTAAACATATATGTAATGTACATCCCATGTTCACTTTGGGGCAGGGGTTTAGCATTAAAATGAAGTGAAATTTGGCGATTTACACCAAAAGTGAACTATAGGACACAAAGAGAGTTTGCACATAACCTTTATATATTGGCCGAAACTGGCTTATGGTCTTCAGTTGAAGAGAATGTTTATAAGGCTGGTCCTCTGCCCAGTCAGAGTTGTAGTGATCTGGGTTGTAAATCAGAGTTAGGAGGGGGTCTGATAGCTCTTATTATCAGGGAGTTTAGCAAGTTGTGGCCAAATTCTACCAGATCAGACTGAAACTATTCCCAAAAATGGAGGAAGAGGGACTCCTCCCTAACTCATTCTATGAAGTCAGCACCACCCTGATACCAAAATCTGGCAAAGACACATGAAATAATCAAACTACATGTCAGTATCCCCACTAAACATACATGCAAAAATCCTCAGCAAAATACTACCAAATCCAATAGCACATCAAAAAGTTAATTCACCATGATCAAGTAGGCTTCATTCTTGGGATGCCAAGTTGGTTCAACATAGACAAATCAATAAATGTGATTCACTACATACACAGAATTAAAATAAAAAATCATATGATCATCTCAATAGATGCAAAAAAAGCTTTCAGTAAAATATAACATCCCTTCCTGACTAAAAACCCTCCAGAAACTAGGCACTGAAGGAACACATCTCAAAATACTAAGAGCCATCAAGGACAAACCCACAGCCAATGTCATACTGAATGGGCAAAAACTGAAAGCATTCCCCTTGAGAACTAGAACAAGACAAGGATGCCTACTTTCACAACTCCTATTATTCAACATAGTACTGGAAGTCCTAGCCAGAGCAATCAGGCAACAGAAAGAAATAAAAGACATCCAAATAGGAAAAGAAGAAGCTAAAAGATCTCTCTTCATAGCTGATATGATTCTATACCTCAAAAACCCTGAAGACTCCACCAAAAGGCTCCTGGAACTGATAAACAACTTCAGTAAAGTTTCAGGATATAAACTCAATGTACAAAAATCAGTATCATTTCTACACACCAATAACAGCCAGGCCAAGAGCCAAATCAAGAATACAATCCCATGTACAATGGTCACAAAAATTTAAAATACCTAGAAATTCATTTAACCAAGGAGAAGAAAGTTTTCTAAAAGGAGAACTACAAAACACTACTGAAAGAAATCACAGATTACACAAACAAATGGAAAACATTCCATGCTCATGGATTGGAAGAATCAATGTTGTTATCATACTACCCAAAGCAATCTACAGATTCAATGCTATTCCTATCAAATCACCGATGTCATTTTTTCACAGAAAGAGAAAACACTATTCTAAAATTCATGTGGAACCAAAAAAGATCCTGAACAGCCAAAGCAATCCTAAGCAAAAAGAACAAAGCTGGAGGCATCACATTACTGGACTTCAAATTATAGTATAAGGCCACAGTAACCAAAACAGCATGGTACTGGTATAAAAAAAAAAAAAAAACAGACACATAGGGCAATGGAACACAATGGAGAACCCATAAATAAAGCTGTACACTTACAGCCACCTGATCTTTGACAAAGTTGACTAAACTAAGCAATAGGAAAAGGACTCCCCATTCAATAAATGGTGCTGGGATAGCTGGCTAGTCATGTGCAGAAGAATAAAATCGGACCCATACCTTTCACCATATATAAAAACTAACTCAAGATAGATTAAAGATTTAAGGGTTTAAATGCAGGACCTCAAAATATAAATATCCTAGAGGAAAACCTAGGAAACATCATTCTGGACATTAGCCTTGGGAAATAATTTATGACTAAGTCCTCAAAAGCAATAGCAACAAAAACAAAAATGATGAGTAGGACCTAATTACATTAAAGAGTTTCTGCACAGCAAAAGAAACGATCAACAGAGTAAACAGACAACCTACCAGATAGGAGAAAATATTCTCAAACTATGCATCCAACATCTATATGCTAATATCTAGAATATAGAAGGAACTTAGACAATTGAAGAAGTAAAAAACAAATAACCCTATTAAAAATGGGCAAAAGACATGAACAGACGCTTCTCAAAAGAAGGCACACAAGCAGCCAACAAACATATGAAAAGATGCTCAACATCACCAATCATCAGAGAAATACAAATCAAAACCATAATGAGATACCATTTCACAGCAGTCAGAATGGCTATTAGTAAAAAGTCAAAAGTTACACATGCTGGTGGGGCTTCAGAGAAAAGGGAGCACCTGTACACTGCTGGTGGGAATGTATATTAGTTCAGTCACTGCAGAAAGAACTTAAAACAGAACTACCATTTGATCTACCAATCTTATTACTGGGTATATATCCAAAAGAAAATAAATCACTCTACCAAAAGGACACATGCATGCATATGTTCATCACAGAACTATTCACAATAGCAAAGACATGGAATCAAACCAGATGTCCATCAATGACAGATTTGATAAAGAAAATGTGGCACATATAAATCATGGAATACTACTCATCCATAAAAAAGCATGAGATAATGTCCTTTGCAGCAACATAGATGCAGCTGGAGACCAATATCCTAAGTGAATTAACGCAGGAACAGAAAATCAAATACTGCATGTTCTCAACCACATTGTGTACTCATAGACATAGGATGGCAACAAAAGACACTGGGAACTACTAGAAGGGAGAGGGAGGGAGAGAGGAGGGATCATTTGAAAAACAATCAGGTACTATGTTCACAACCTGAGTGACAGGATTAATTGTACCCCAAATCTCAGCACCACACAATATACCAAAGTAGCAAACCTGCATATGTATCCCCTGAATCTAAAATAAAAGTTGACATTATATTTTTAAAAAGTAATATAGGTTGTTAGAATTCAGAAATGAAATTTCATTTAGAAAGTAGAGAACAGATAAAAATAATGTTTAAAAATATAGTAAAATTTTTATATACATAAAATTATATAAATAATTTATATGTTTATATTTACATGTAAAATGTATATACTTATAAATTTATATAAATAAAACAATACTTTATAATCATATTAATATGACTATATTTAAATATATTGATATACTGTATATATATTATATATTACACATTGTACCTACACGTGTGTATGTGTGTGTGTGTGTGATGTGCAAGAATTTGAAAGACAAGTGTGGAAATTTGGATTTGATATGAGAGAATACGTGCTTTTACTCAGGAATTGATGACATTTCCTGAGAAGAGAAGTGGCCCACTGGAATGATGTTTAAAGAAGGCGAATTCCAGCATTTATGTCCAGAATGGTTTAGTTAGTGGAGATCCTTACGGAACAATGTAGTCCAAGAGCAAATAGACAATTTAGGTAGCACAAACTCTAAAGGCCAAGAATGTAGAGCCAGATTCTTCTTTGTCTTCCAAAGGAGAGATTGATCTAAATCGTTTTATGAAGCAAGAAAATGTGACTATATGATACAGGGTTTAAAGAGTTCCATTAATAATTACCATGGCCTTACACCACAGAGCCTATCCAGGAAATCTAAACTGGCTTTCTGAATTCTCAGTTTAGAAAGCACTTTTCACACCATTTGAGTCTCCTTTGAAATTGAAGGAACTTATTTTAAAACTGTGTAACTCTTACAATAAAGAGTAGCCAGATTCCTTTTTATATCCATTACCCTAGAGTGTCAATTCCATTGTGTTATAATAACTGGTTTGATTTTAATATATAAAAGGGAGCTCCATCATTGAAATATAGTATAAGGATCCTAGTTTTTAAAAAGAAAACTGTAGCTTGGTAGGGATGGAGTATTCATCAGAAGGAACTTGATGAGTATTTGCTCTAAGTATACATCTTAATAGGAAGATATAAAAAATAAAAAAATATATATATCCAAACTGGAAGAGAGTGAAGCATGATACAAAGACTTTAAAAATCAATTGCAGGGCCAGGCATGGTGGCTCATGGTGGCTCATGCCTGTAATCCCAGTACTTTGGGAGGCCAAGCTGAGAAGATCACTTGAGTCCAGAAGTTCAAGACCAGCCTGGGCAACATAGTGAGACCTTGCCTCACCTCTACAAAAATAAAAAATAAAAAAATTGGCCAGGCATGGTGGGGCACTCCTGTGGTCTCAGCTACAAGGAGGCTGAGGTGGGAGGATCCCTTGAGCCTGTGTGGTGGAGGTTGCAGTTAGCCAAGATTACACCACTGCACTCCATCCTGGACTACAGAGTGAGACCTTGCCTAAAAAAAAAAAACTAATAAATAAATAAAATAAAAAATAAAAAAATTCACTTCAATCGTCAAAGGTTGGATTGAAGTTTCCATCAACCAGGGTCCACACAGAATTAGAGTAACCAGAGGCCCCTGCAGAGATGAAGCATGAATGAAAAATAAATTGCTGTTACATTAATCACTGAGATTGTGTTTGTTACCACTGTGTGACCTAACGTATTCTCACTATTATCCTCAGCTTTAGATATTCACCTCCCCAAGATTTCACTTTTTGTTAGGGCCCTTTAGGTTATTTTATGCCAGCTGTATAATACATTTAAAATAATAAACGTGACCGGGTGCGGTGGCTCACGCCTGTAATCCCAGCACTTTGGGGGGCAGGCAGATCACTTGAGGTCAGGAGTTCGAGACCAGCCTGGCCAATATGGCGAAACTCCATTTCCACTAAAAATATAAAAATTAGCCAGACGTGGTGGCACGTGCCTATAATCCCAGCTACGCTCGAGGGAGGCTGAGGCAGGAGAATCACTTGAACCTGGGAGGCGGAGGTTGCAGTGATCCAAGATCGCACCACTGCACTCCAGCCTGGCGAGAGAGCAAGACTCCGTCTCAAAACCGAAACCAAAAACAAAACCCAAAAATTAGCCAGGCATGGTGAGCGTGCCTGTAATCCCAACTACTTGGGAAGCTGAGGCAGGTGAACGCTTGAACCCAGGAGGTGGAAGTTGCAGTGAGCCAAGATCGCGCCATTGCACTCCAACCTGGGCAACAGAATGAGACTCTGTCTCAAATAATAATAATAATAATAATAATAATAATAATAATAATAATAATAATAATAAACAGTTACCCAGAATTTTTATTTCACTTGAGAGGGCTCTTCAATGTATCCAAAGTGCCATGCTATCAAAAATAGAAGTCTCTTACTGGGTACGGTTATTCCATTTTTTGGAGGAAGGGGAGTTTAATTTTCCTTTGGCATATGAATGAAATAGAAAATATATTTAAATTTTCTCTAGTTACATTTTGTTGTTTCAACATATATGATGCTAAGTCAAAATGAAGGATTTTTTTTCCCGTGTACTTTGCTTTAGTCCATGGCTAAAGTTCACATCCTAACCTGGCTCATCAGAGAATTATATTACCTTTAAAACTTTAAAAAATTAAGATATAATTTACACCTATACAATTCACTCATTTAGAGCATACAATTCAATTGTTTTTGGTATATTCACAGATAAATGTAACCAACCATTAGCACAGTCAATTTTAGAACATTTTTATCAACCCCCCCAAAAAACTTTGTATTCTTTAGCTAATACTCTCCTATCCCCCTACCTAGAAGGACTTTGGTGGGATGGTCTGGTTGCACATACTTCTTTCCAGGGAAGAGTAAAAATACGACTTTCATTTTAATAAACATGGCGGCTTTTGTCTTCGATTGCAAGGAAAATAATCAGAGCCTTTGCCTATGTGATTCCGCATTGAGCTCTTTCCTCCTGTCAAAAGACAAAATTTTAACAAATTGAGTTTAGTGATAGAATTGGCTTTTATTAGTAATTCATGAATCAGGCAGCACCCTATCTATGAAATTTAAAGGTGCTTTGATGAGCTGAGCAGAGGAGGTGAGCTTTATAGGCAGAAAAGGCTGAAGAAAGCAGAAACAAGGAATAAAACACAGATCAGTCATTTCAAAGCTACTTTCTTTATGGGGTTAAAGCAGAGGAGACTTTCTTATCATGCCAGCTGAGGTTGACTGGACCCCTTTGGACTGCTTGCTGTGAATCTCCTGTTTTCTTGAAAAACAGGCCTGTTTGTAAGTTCAGTGCTTACGTAGCACCCAGCACAAGTGACTCACTCCATTTTGGTTTGGGCTGGTATCTTGGGGCCTAGTGCAGAAGTTCAGTCCAAAACAACAGTGTCCCATAAATTTTATTTAATACTCCTTCCAACAGAGAATCTTATTTGCCAGAAAAGACTTCTTGAGACACCTCATCTAAGTTGACCTCAACTCCACCCCACTATGTTATCTGGGTTTGTCTCCTTCATAGCATGTGTCACATAATTTTCTGTGAGTGTTTACACTTTATCGAGGTGTAATTTATACACAATAAAATGTGTTCATTATAAGTATGCAATTCAATTAGTTTTGACAAATATATATAACTTTCATCCTAATCAAAATATAGTACATTTTAAATCACCCCCATATTTCCTCCTGATCCTCCAAATTCAATCTTCTGTACCTTAACCCCAGACAATCCTCTATCACTGTAGATGAGTCCCGTCTGCTCTGGCATTTCATATTAACCATAATTCAAGCTATTTGATTGCTTATCTAGTTTGTTTTTGTCTCTACTACTGGCCTTTTTCTTCACACCATGGTTTTCTAGCACAAAGTGTCTAGCGCGGAGCCAGGCAGTGCCAGAGTGAATGAATCCAAAATCATTCTGTTTATCAGCTTTGATTTTAACAATGAAGGCACCTATATATTTGAAGGGAACAGTGAAGACTTTATTGTGAGGGTTAACACACAGGAACCTCTTATGTCTGCCTTCTTTGCCCTCACCTTTGTCGTCACAACAGTGTCAAAAACAGCCTTGAATGAGAAAGGATGTCATGACAGGGGTCCCACTCTTTTACCTTTGGGCACAATGTGTCGTCGTTTTAAACAAACATGTTGAAATAGTCTCATTTAATTGTAACGTTTCAAAACGTTGATCTTTCAACTTAGTAGGATAAAGATGTTTCTAACGGCATCTTGCAAGTCACACTCTTGATAACGGGGCAGGAGATCAATTCAAAGCACATCCCACTTCTGAAAACACACTCAAGATGCTTGTGTTCTTCCAGCCAATGTCATGGCAGCTCTGTTAATTTTGATACAATATTTCTCTTACTATAATATCATCAAATCTTGAATGATATCTATAACTGCTTTTCTCCAAAAGTGTTTGAAGCCTGTGAACTGGCATGTCTCTTTCATGCCTTGGGGAGGGAGGGCTCAGTTGGGCATGCCCCCTTCACAGGTGGAGAAGCTGAGGTGGAGTGACCCCTGTACGGAGTGATTTTCCTCGCTTCCTTTGCACGCCTTCATTTCCGGCATGGCGGTCTGTGCATTCCCCTTCAGCTGAAGTTCTAAATCTCTTTTTCTCTCAACTATCTAGGACACATGAGAATTAACCTACTCATGTAGATTACAGGGCCCAGCCCTCATTAACCTTAATATTGAAAGAAATACAGCTTTTGCAGTTGGAGAAGTGGAAATGCCCTTTCACTCAGCACAAACAGCAACATTCCCATGAGCTGAGGAGATGGGCTTTTTAGGGAGTAGTTCATCCAACACAAACTTTTGTTTCTAGTCAGTGAAAATTTCACATATATAATACCTCTGGATTTGTGGATCCCTTTTTAAAGCATTTAAAAATGACATCCCTGAGGTTCTTTTACAGTAGATCTAAGTGCTGTCTATTCTGTATTTTCTTTACGTCTTTTGAATGAATAATTTGGTCCTGAAATTCTCATCTTCCTCCCTAGCAGGTACTGGATTGCTATTTGTTGAAGGACTGAACCGCTGACCCTTCATTCTTAAACACTGAAGTCGAATGAACTGTAGACCTCTTCTTTTCCAAGGATCAGGCTCTCTGTCTGTGCCCTGCTTTTCTAGTCTGATCTTTGCTTTAATGGGATTTAAGTACTGAGTGAATCTCAGCCACGTCCTTATCCCTCCTCTTTGGTAGGTGTTGCTTTTGTCAATGACATTGGGTTTAGGGGGAGAGTCACCTTATGGGTGGTGAGAAATAAATGTCTGTTGCAGAAGCCACCAGTCATGGTATTTTATTATGGCAGCTCAAGAAGACTGATGTTCTCACTTCCACTGAATTGTTTTCTTTATTCTTCTCATCCCCCATTTTCATTCTCAACTAGCACGGAAGTTGTACATTCTATTTCTATTCTTCTAGTGCTTGCTCTTAAGCACTTAATATATGTTTAACTCAACACAATCTAAAGTTAACTTCTCTGCTCTTTCTGTTATGATAGTCTTGTATTTATTCTCACTTCACTCACGTTAGATACGTACAATAGATTCTTTTTGAAAGAAGTTTACCTTTCTTTCCTCATAATTTTTTCCCTCACATCCCACTCTGGCTTTAATTATTTTCTTGACTGACAGCTCTGTGTAATTATTTCAGTGAAGGTCTATGAGTAGAAAACCCTTTCCTTCTTTGTCTCAAAAAAGAATCTTTATTTTACCCTCCCTCTTGCATATAGTTGGGTATATAGGCATAGGAAAATAACTGCAAGGCAGTGCTTATATCTGAGTTGAGAGACTACTGGTAGTTTTCCTTATTTATGTGCATATTCTAATTTTTCTATGCTGAATATTATTTGGATAATTTCTTAGAAGTTAAAAGCTGCACAACAAAATGTGATAAGAAATGAATACTTTGATCACTGGCTCATCAAATCAGTGCCAAATACTCATATATTCTGATTATGTTTCTGCAAAATTTTCTTCAAGAGAACCATGGAAGGTGATGCTGTTGCCATGGCACCATAAAAGTAGTCCCCTTAGAAGTTCAAATGGAGGAGTCACATCGTTCTGGGCTCAGGTTTCAGCTGCTCTGGGTTGCATTTATTTGCACTACTTCAATGCAAATGTGCCTTTAATCCTGCTTTCTCTCCTTCCCAGTGGTGGAATGTAGTATCTGCCTTCATGTAAGACTTGAAGCTGGAGTGCGAAAGAATCTTAGCTGGCACCCACTGTACCTGGGAAGCATGGCTACATCCCCTCTCTGCTTTCAAAGCAGATTTTTTTTTTTAACATGAATTGATGCTTCAGTTGGCATTGCAAGCAGCATCTGCTCATGGGATGGAAATCCAGAGTGTAATCCAGGTCTCCTCCAAAATCACCAGATTTCAAAGGACCATAGTGAAAATCAAATTTCTAAGGAGAGATCACAGCCAGTGACATTGAGCTAAAGTCATTTTTCCAGCTGCTCAGGGAGCTGGTCAGCTGGAGAAATCTGAATTCTCTTCACACAGAACTCTATGAGTCAATTAGTCCACACTGCTATTTTATTTTTAGCAGATTGTGTTTGGATTCTTATTTTCTCTTGGGTTTTGGTTAAAACAGTTTTTTCTCTGCTCCTATTACACTGAATCCTGCAGCTGATAGGAGCTCCAAATTAACCTCTGATATTTGTAATCAGTAGATTTCTTTAAGAGAAAAAAAGCAACCAAATCACTCCTGACATCAAAATCCATCTGGTAACATGCACCTCCAAACTGGCCACGAGAGATTCAACAGAATGCAGACATTTCACCCTGTATGTGGCAGGTGTTCAGTATAGATGCATTGTTTTCATTTGATGATGGGCTTATTGTATTTAGGATTGCCTTTTTGGAAAACACCAGTAAATGCTCAACATGAAAAATAAAATTGTGGGACCTCCATATAACAGATGGAGAAGAGAGCACATGCATTTGCTCTCATTCCCTTCAGAAACCTCACTATTATGGTAGCAAATATATTTTTTTAAGAAGCCATAAATCTATAAGAGCAAACAAAATAGAAAGCTGGAAGGCAGATAGATGAGTGATAATGACTTAGCAGGCAGCTGTAGAAAAAGCTGAGCTACAGTCTGTTTTACACAACAGAAATCTGCCAGTCCCAAAGGTTCAGGAACTGGGGCTGAAGAGGAGGTAAGGATGTAACTAAAAACAGGAGGGTTGTTTGAAAGTCTGTTGAGGAAGAAATTCAAGTTCTATATCCCCTTCACCACTCCATGTAGACAATTAATTGCCGTTCCTCCACCACAATAGAGAACTAGATGTTTAGCCTCTGGAGAGGGCTTCTGGACTGGGAAAACACTGGCCAGAGTTGATGGTGAGGAGACAGTATTGTAACAGAGTGTTTAAGTGACTTTTATATACGGACTATTGAAACCACCAGCCCATTTCTCCCTCCGGGCTTCTAGAATGGTGGGATCCAAGGCTGTAGCCTCTAGGCAGGAGACTGGTAGGTTCTTGCCTGCAAAATCTAATCAGCCCAGGAGAAAGATAAAAAATATTAGTATCAGGGGTGACTTAACTCAATGACCCATTGTGATATTCTACAAAATCTAGTGACCTTTTGGGCAGCATCACTCTTTGTTATGAGGGCTGTCCTGTGTTTTGTAAAATATTTAGCAGCATGCCTGGCCTCTACCCACCAGATGCCAGTACTATCTCCCAGAGTTGTGACAATCACCAGTGTCTTGCCTGCTGTCGAGAACCATAGCTCTATATTGCCCATAGTTGGTAGGTCCGTCTTGTGCTCTCAGATTTCCTATCAGGTTCTTAGTGCTTTATTCATTCCTAAACATGAGTTGACAACCAAAAGTCAGCAGATATCTGAAGAGAAGAGCCTCTAATGTGAAATACAGAGATCAAAATAAACATTTTAAAAAGTTTAGAGGAAAGACAGACTATAAAAGGAGATGAGAACATCAAATATTATAATTATTATCCTGAGAACGAGCAAAGACAATGCAAACAAACTCTCAGAAATTAAAAATGTGACCATAGATATTTTAAAAATGCAACAAATGAAACGCAAGAAAAAGCTGAGGAAATCTCTCAGAAAGCAGAGAGATGGAGGATTAAAGGAAGATAAAAATTAGAGGATGAGACCAGGAGGACCAAGATTCAAGTGATACCTTCTAGAAGGAAAGAACAGAGTAAATGGAGGTGTTGGTTTGAAGTAAATCAGCAACAAACAATTCAACAACTTTTCCTGGAACTGACGGGCATCAGTTTTGTTGTGGTGGTGGGGGTGGTGGTGATTGTTTAAAGGGCCCCCTTCGTATCTAGCACAGTAGATGAAGCAAAGATTCACACCAAGCAAAGCATACTATCGTGAGATTTTTAGAATACTGAGGTCAAAGAAAAGATCTCAAAAGCTTTAAAAGAAAAAGTTGCATACGCTACTTCAAAAATCAGAAAGACTTTGTTTTCAGATGTAACATTGGAAGTTAGAAGACAGTGGAGGAATGACTTTAAAATTCTGACGGAAATGATTATGTAACAGTAGATTGAATTCACTTGCAGATGTGAGAGGTCTTTAAAATGTTCCTCCCATGGACTCTTTCTCAAAAAGCTACCAGAGGAAGGGCTTCACCGAAACAAGAGAGAATATCAAGAAAAAATAAATTACACAGAAACTCAATCAGGCCAGTTTGAAGAAGTCGGAATGTTGCAAAAGATATTTCTCCATGAACATGTAACTTGTAGAACATGATGTATTCAAATATTTTGAGAGATGATTGAGGCAACAGAGGAAAATTTGGGGTTTGAAGTAGTGATAAGTCCTTAGAAAACCAAGCATACACACAAACAGAAATTTTCATACCAGGGAGAACAGAATTTTGCACAGGAAAGAAAAGAATTATGGAATATAACACTGCTAAGTTGTGAACACTGTTTATGTAGCTACCATAATATAAACTCTATCTGTTCAACAAATTATATTGTACTGTAGTTATTTTAGGAAGATGGTAGAACCAGAAAGCTGAGGTATGTGGTGGGGCATGTGCTGATAGAGATAAACACTGAATCCAATTCTTCCATGTGGGCAAGTGAGACTGTGTCTAGTACTTGATATATCTTGTGGGGCCATACCTGTGTACACGTGCACAGATCCTATCACATGGATATAGGTTTACACTATACATTCATCTCATGGTTTAATACCGTATGAAACAAGTATTGGCTGAAGCATTAGATTTGTGTCATGGTTCTTGGTTTAACCGTTTCCTTGCTGCATGATTTGAGCAGGTCATTTAATCTCTCTAAGCCTCAGGTTGATCACAAGTAAAATGGGAAATTTTATTCAGTCCACAAACAGTCATTGAGCATTTCCCATGGGTCCTGTGGAACGAGAGCTAGAACATACACTTCTAGACTTCAAGTTCAAGGAGGGAGGCAGACCAGGGAGCTGATGGGATATGACCAGGGTGCTGAGGGAGCACAAAGGAGAAACGGAGACCAACGTTTATTGAGCACTTACAATGTGCCGGGAAATATGTCATGTGATGCTCCCAGAAACCCAGTGATACTACTGGCCTTTTAGTGGAGGATGCCGATGCCCAGAAAAGTTAAGTAATTTAACTTGAGTTGTACAGCTAGAAACAAGTGGCAGAGCAGAATTTAGGCCCAAATCTTTCATGATCCCATTAAATTACCTCTTCAAAAACAAGTGCCCTCCCATGGACATACAGAGTAGAAGAGCAGACATTGTAGACTCCAAAAAATGGGAGAGTAGTAGCGGGGTGAAGGTGAATGATGAAATACTACCCATTGGGTACAGTGTTTACTGTTTGGGTGCTGGTTACACTGAAAACCCACACTTCACTATGCAATATATCCATGTAACACAACTGCACTTGCACCTAAGTCTATACAAATAAAAAATTCAAAACAATAACATGTGCCCCCATAAGGGGCACCAAGCCTAAAGAAGAAGAGGAAGGGTCAGAAAGGATTTCTGCAGAAGGCTGTGCCTGAGGGGAGGGTTAATGAATGGATTCTGCTGGTCATGGAAAAACCGGGACATGAAATCTCTCACTCCTGGACTGGCAATCTACCGCTGCTTTATTCATAAAGCTTCACTTAGCAAATATTTGAGTGCCTATTACATGCAGGGCCCATGCTAGGTACTGAAGGGGATAAAAGTAAAACCAAAGCAGAACGGAACAAAACAAAAGCAATTCCTGCTCTGGATAAGCTTATAGTCTATTGGTGACTATTTTTATTTTATTACATGGCATGGAAAATTACATGCTGGAAGGAGCACCTGACACAAATACGCAGGGATGTGGTGGGGTGGGAGCAAGGGGAGTCTCCCTAGATAGCTAGCTGGCCTGAGTCTGGAGGAAGAAGTAGGGGTTAGGAGAAGGCTAAAGAATAGGCTTCCTAGGCAGAGGGCACAGCACATGTGGTGCCCTGAGGCATACTACAAGTGTGAATTTGGGAGACTGTGGCTAGTTCAGTATGACTGAAACTTAGGTGCTCAAGGAGGAGCTGTAAAAGATGAAACTGAAGAGAGAAACAAGAGCCAGTTTATGTAAGGCCAAACTGCTAAAGACATGGAAAGTTTTATATTAATGGTGAACCATAAATAGGAGAGGAAGGACTGGACTTTCAATGCAGGTCAATCACTCTGCAGCACAAAGGGTGCACAGGAGTGTCAATGGGAGCAGGGAGGCCTCTGGGGAGGCAAATGAATTATTCAGGGAAGAAAGGAGAAGTGACCTGAATGAGGGCAGTGACAGAGATGAAGACAGGCAGTTGGATTTGAGAGTGCCACAGAGGTGCTTAGTTCCTGCTAAGATTTCTGCCCAAATTCCCCTGACAAGAACTGGTCTGGAGCTTGTGAGAGCAGGGACAGCCTATCTGCAGCACCATTTTGTCCAAAGTTGCCCTAATTCATGCCATAGCTCCCTTCTGAGGCTACAGCAGGAGAGGAAGCTTGAGGTCAATGAACTGGAGCCAGCCCGTGGGAAAGGTGAGGAAGGGGCATTCCTTGCAGAGGGAATAGCATGTTTTTGGGGGAACTGCAAAAAGACCCCTACGGCTGGAATGTAAGGAGTATGTGGCAAGAGGACAGGTAATCAGGCTGGAAAGATAGGTACAGGCCAGATCTTCAGCAACTTTCTTTATTGGCTTGCTAATGAGTCTGACCTTTCCAGAAGGCTGTAGGAACCACTGATGAAATGCAAATAAGTTGGCCAGATTTCATTATAGAAAGAACATTCCATTAGCAGTATGAAGGATGTTTAGAAGATAAATAGGGAGGCTATTTTGAAAGGCTTGGGCCAAATAAGTTATAAGAGAAGAGAGCAATGAGAATGCTTTTAGAGATATTTAGGGGATAAACAGGTCATAAAGACTTCATATATGGGTGAGGAAGTAGGAGTGGACCTCCAGATTTCTAGCTTGAGCAATTAGGTTATATTTTGTGCAATCAGGCTGGCATAAAAATAAACTAAATAAGGATGGGTGTATATCAGTTAGAGTTCCAGCAGGGAACATATGACTCACTCAGCTGTGATTTTTGAAGAAACTTTTCAATCAAGGAACTTTCTATAGATGTGTGGGCAGGTTTAAGGGAACCAACAAAGAATACTGAGATACCCAAGGTCTAGCAACAGTAGGAAGTTTTACTACCCAAAGGTTCACAGGGACAAGGGAAAGAAATAGAATTACCTGAATGCTGTGAGACCTGGGGCCCATGGAAGAAACTGAAACTAATCACAAAGAGATGGAGCCAGAACTTCAAGAAACAGGGAGGAGTAAATGCCTGACCTTGCACCTCTTTCACCTGTCAATCTTCTGCCAGGACTTCCACTTAGCCAAATTCAAACGCAAACCCAAAGTTGCAGTCTGTAAAGGTCAGCCTCCCAGGACACAGAGCAGGGCTGAGAATGGCAGAAAACGGATCTGGGGGATGACAGAATAGGAGAGAATTGTGGAAGAAAATATTGAGTCCTGTTATCAATATTTTGGCTTCTAGGCATCTGTGGGGCAATCGTGTGGAGCTCGGCAGAGTTCTGGGCTGCAGATAGATAACTGGGCACCAGTGTCCAGTTTGTTGATGACCTATGTTTCATACTCAAGGATTGTTAGGGAGATTAGACATGATATTAGTGCTTTAAAAAGTGCTCTGGATTAATAGGCATTGAATGACCCTCAGAGAGATTGCAGTAGTTCTTGCAGTTTATGCATTTAACTAGTAGTAGCTTGAGTATTTATTTCTCCAGTAGTTGTCAAGATGTATAAAATTATATGGAAGAGAGGGACAAACAAACAAACAAAACCTGTCTTCTTCGCATAGATTAAACCTATTAAATATCTGTTACATTTAGCACACAGGTATCTAAACTTTTTGCTTTAGGTAATTTATTTTTCTCATACAGGTTTCTTGAAGTTTTAAAGACTGTACTAAATGATAAATATCAATTATGTATCATACTTTAGAACATAGTTCCAAGATCTTCTAAATAAAATAAGATATTCTTATAGAAATAACACATCAAGGCCAGGCGCGGTGGCTCACGCCTGTAATCCCAGCACTTTGGGAGGCCGAGGCGGGTGGATCATGAGGTCAGGAGATCGAGACCATCCTGGCTAACAAGGTGAAACCCCGTCTCTACTAAAAATACAAAAAATTAGCCGGGCGCGGTGGCGGGCGCCTGTAGTCCCAGCTACTGGGGAGGCTGAGGCAGGAGAATGGCGTGAACCCGGGAAGCAGAGCTTGCAGTGAGCTGAGATTGCGCCACTGCAGTCCGCAGTCCGGCCTGGGCGACAGAGCGAGACTCCGTCTCAAAAAAAAAAAAAAGAAATAACACATCAATAATTAAATAAGTTTTTCCAGGGGAAAAAAGTGCTCTGGAAATGCTAAGATACTAAGGTATGAAGCAAACATAAGGTGGTGATATTGTTAGTAATACTATTCTTAGGAAACACACTTTGAATGAAAGGTAAACCTATCCTGTATGATCTGTCCATTCATCAAAAAAGCCTGCATGGACTCCCGCCCCATCTCATCAACATGTATAAAGCTTGATGGTGTGCATAACCACACACTTCAAAGCAGCCCCTCTTGAGTACCATTTGGAAGGTCATGTACATATTACAGCATGCTGCCTCTGCATAGAACATTTTAGGAACTCATCCGCTGTTCTTTCTGGAGCTGGCAAACATGTTTATAAATATCCTCAGTAAAGGCAAACTCATTATTTGAAGGGGAATTTGATTTTGTAAATAACCGAAAGTCACTGGCTATTTAGTGGTCAACACAAGAAAACCTCTCAACTTGTAAGTTGGAGAACCTGAATCCCAGCTCAGAGTTGGCGAGAAATTCTACATGATACAGGGGCAAAACATTTTGTCTCCTTCTTTCAAATCAGACTCATTAAAATATATATTTTCAGAATCCAATAATAAAAAGTAATTGGATAACGAAGCTGGCACAACTTACAGTAAAAAAATTAGGTGTGATTTTTCAAGTAATTAGGATTTTCTTACGTACTAACAAGGGGCCCTGAAGACAGTTTCAAGTCTCAGAAATTGTTTGAGTTATCGCACCAAATCTGGAGAAAATCTATATATTCTTAAGAAGACGGCTTTTATTTTGTTCTGTTCACGATTTGTTTATAAATAGCAGTATTGATCTCCTTAGTCTTATTTGATGATTGTGTCATCTATAAGTAATTTTACTCAAAAGGAATGACCAAAATCTCTGGAAATTCTCAGACATTAATGTCTCAAAATGATCTTTATCCTCCAACAAACCCCACCTTCTACCTAGACTTGGCCCTGGCCATGACTGAACTGTAGAGCTCAGGCAAAACCTGGGTTTCTAAGGAAAAAAAAAAGGGTGCACAGAAGTCCTGGCCTCCCTAACTGGGGAGCCCACTCTTACTGCCTCGTTAAAATTGCTAGATACCAGGGGACTGCCTTCCACAATGTATTTACTGCACCCAGAGAAAAACATGTTTGAAAAAGGCATTGCAATTAGTAATTGCCATTTAAGATTCAACTAATCATAAAGGTCTTTATGTTGACCATTATAATCAGGGCCTATTTATTTCCTACATAATGACAATGCTTGACGATGGCTCTGAGGAGTCATCTCTCATTTACCTGGCAGCAGACAAGGCTAAATCCTCGAGGTGTTTCTAGTCCTCAAGGGAAGGAAGCTAAGTGCATATGGGTGTTACATGCATACCTTATTTTATTGCACATTGCAAACACTGTGCTTAATACACTGTGCTTGAAGGTTTGCGGCAACCCTGCATCAAGCAAGTCTAGTGGTGTCATATTTCCAACAGCATGTGCACACTTCGTGTCTCTATATTACATTTTGGTAATTTGCATAATTATTTCAAATGTTTTCATTATTAGCATATGTTATGGTGATCCACGATCCATCATCTTTGATGTTACTATTACAATTGTTTTGGGGCACCATGAACTATGCCCACACATGCCCACATGTGAACGTAATCTATAAACATGTGTGTTCTGACTGCTCCACTAACTGACCCTTCCCTCATCTCTCTCCTTCTCTTTGGGCCTTCTATTCCCTGAGATACAAGAATATTGAAATTCGGTCAGTTAATAATCCTACAGTGGCCTTTAAGTGTTCAAGTGAAAGGACGAGTCATACATCTCTCACTTTAAATCAAAAGCTAGAAATAATTAAGCTTAGTGAGGAAGGCACGTTGAAAGCTGAGACAGGCCAAAAGTTAGGCCTCTTGCTCCAAACAACCAGGTTGTGAATGCAAGGAAAAAGTTCTTGGGGCCGGGCGCGGTGGCTCACGTCTGTAATCCTAGCACTTTGGGAGGCCGAGGCGGGCGGATCATGAGGTCAGGAGATCGAGACCATCCTGGCTAAAATGGTGAAACCCCGTTTCTAATAAAAATACAAAAAATTAGCCAGGTGTGGTGGCACACGCCTGTAGTCCCAACTACTCGGGAGGTGGAGGCAGGAGAATCGCTTGAACCCAGGAGGCGGAGGTTGCAGTGAGCCGAGATCGCACCACTGCACTCCAGCCTGGGCGACAGACCGAGATTCTGTCCCCTCCACAAAAAAAAAAAAGTTCTTGAGGGAAATTATAAGTGCTATTCCAGGGAACATAAGAACGATAAGAAAGTAAAATGGCCTTATAGCTAATATGAAGCAACTTTTAGTGGTCTTTATAGAATATCAAACCACAACATTCTTTTAAGCCAAAACCTAATCTAGAGCAAGGCCCTAACTCTTTTCAATTCTATGAAGGCTAAGAGAGGTGAGAAAGCTGCAGAAGAAAAGTTAGAAGCCAGCAGAGGGTTGGTTCATTACATTTAAGAAAAGAAACGATTTCCATAACATAAAAGTGCAAGGTGAAGCAGAAAGTGTTGATGTAGAAGCTGCAGCACATTATCCAGAAGATCTAGTTAAGATCTTTGATGAAGGTAGCTACACTAAACCACAGATTTTAAATGCAGACAAAACAGCCTTCTATTGGAAGAAGATGCCATGTAGGACTTTTATAGCTAGAGAGAAGTCAGTGCCTAGCTTCAAGGCTTCAAAGGACAGACTATCTTGTTAAGGCCTAATGTAGCTGGTGACTTTAAATTGAAACCAATGCTTATTTATCATTCCAACAATTCTAGGCCCACTAAGAATTACGATAAATTTACTCTGCTTATGCTCTGTAAATGGAACAACAAAGCCTGGATGACCAAACATCAGTTTATAGCATGGTTTGCTGAAAATTTCAAGCCCACTGTTGAGATCAGTAGATCTAACAAAAACAACAACAACAAATAAAACTAATACCTCTCAAAATATTACTGCTCATTGACATGTGTGTAGTCACCCAAGACCTCTGATAGAGATGTACAAGGAGACTAATGTTTTCATGTCTGCTAACACAACATCCATTCTGTACCCCGTGAATCAAAGAATAATTTTGACTTTGAAGTCATACTATGTAAGAAATACATTTCATAGGACAATAGCTGTCTTAGACAGTGATTCCTCTGATGGATCTGGACAAAGTAAATTGAAAACCTTTCTGCAATGGATTCATCATTCTAGATGCCATTGAGAACATTTGTGATTCATGGGAGGTGGTCAAAATTTTAACATGAACAGGAGTTTAGGAAAAGTTGACCTCAACCCTCATAAATGACTTCAAGGAGTTCAATACTTCAGTGGAGAAATTAACTGCAGATGTGGTAGAAATAGAAGAGAACTAGAATTAGAAGTGGAGCCTAAAGATGCAACTGAATTGAAGCAATTACATGATACAATTTGAAAAGATGTGGAGTTGCTTCTTAAGAATGAACAAAGAAAGCAGTTTCTTGAGATGGAATCTACTCCTGGTAAAGATGCTGTGAACATTGTTGAAATGACAACAAAGAATTTAGACTACGACGTAAGCTTAGTTGATAAAGTAGTGGCAGGGTTTGAGAGGGTTGACTTCAATTTTGAAAGATGTTCTATTGTGGGTAAAATGCTATCAGTATTGCACGTCATAGATAAATCTTTTGTGAAATGAAAAGTTAATAGATGCAGCAAACATCGCTTTTTGTTTGTTTGTTTGTTTGTTTTTTGTTTTTGAGATGGAGTCTCACTCTGTCACCCAGGCTGGAGTGCGGTGGTGTGATCTCGGCTCACTGCAACCTCTGCCTCCCAGGTTCAAGTGATTCTCCTGCCTCAGCCTCCCCAGCAGATGGGATTACAGGTGTGAGCCACCATACCTGGCTAATTTTTATATTTTTAGTAGAGACATGGTTTTTCCATATTGGCCAGGCTGGTGTCAAACTCCTGACCTCAGGTGATCCTCCCACCTCGGTCTCCCAAAGTGCTGGGATTACAGATGTGAGCCACCCCAAGCCTGGCCTTTTGTCTTATTTAAAAAAATTACCACAGCCTTCCCAACCTTTGGCAACCACCACCTTGATCAGTAAGTAGCCATCAACATCGAGGCAAGATCCTCTACCAGCAGAAAAATTATGACTGGCCGAAAGCTTGGATGATCATTAGCATTTTTAGCAATAAAGAATTTTTGAATTAAGAAATATCCATTATTTTTTAGACACAATGTTATTGCACACTTAAGAGACTACAATATAGTGTAAACATAACGTTATTTTTTGTTTGTCTTGTTTTATTTTGTTTTGTTTTTGAGACAGGGTGTCACTCTGTTGTCCAGGATGGAGTCCAGTGATATGATCATGGCACACTGCAGCCTCAAACTCTGGGTCTCAAGTGATGCTCCCACCTCAGCCTCCTGAGTAGCTGGGAATATAGGCAAGCGCCACCATGCCCAGGTATTTTTAAATTTTTTGTAGCGACAGGGTCTCCCAGTGTTGCCCAAGCTGGTCTCAAATTCCTGGGCTCAAGCAATTCTCCGGTCTCGCCCCCTAAAGCACTAGGATTACAGGAGTGAGCCACCGTGTCCAGCCTAAACATAACGTTTATATGCATCGGAAAACCAAAAATTTATGTGACTCACTTTATTGTGCTATTTGCTTTATTGCAGTGCTCTGGACACAAACTATCTCTGAGGTGTGCTTGAACTTGAGTATAACCAATCAGCAATGTTAGTATTGTCACTAGTTTTCTTGCATGCACTCTTGCCAACCTCCTCCAATCTATTCTAACTGTAATGCAAATAGATTGAACTTTAAGAAACAAATATCATGTCACTTTCCTCTTACATGCCTTCAAATACTGCACATTACTCTTAGGGAAAATGCTAACAACTCTATCCTAGCCTATATGGCCCTGCCTGTCTCTCCAGCCTTGTCTCAAACTTCTTTCTCCTTTGGTGTGGACCAGTCAGAGAGACCTTGCAGTTCTTTGAATGTGCGACTCTTTCCTACCACAGGGCCTGTTTACTGCTGTTCCTCCCGCTCAGAAAGCTCTTCTTCCACCTCTTTCATCTGGCTTCCTCTTCCTTTAGAGCTCAGCTGAAGATTCCCTTTCAGTCCCTAACCCTTCCCCAGAAAGTAGGTCAGCCCCTCCCTGCCCCATTCTGTACTCAGGGCTGCACATCTCAGAGCTATCTACAGTAGTTACTTACCACAGTTTTAAAATTACACTTTAGTACTTTAGATTACTTGGTTAATTAATGTTTGATTAAATAGTCTATGCCTCTCTTGCTAGATTTTAAACTCCATGAGGTCAGGGACCATGTTGTTTCGTTTACTGCTATATCTCCCTGGCACATAGTAAGCAAAGAATAAATCTTCATTCAACAAATGAATGAATGAGAGGGCTAAGATTCTGTATCTGTAAAGATTAAATATTAATGGGCTGGAAGAATTTGGTTGCAGCGGTGCATGTGCACACACAGTAGATATCCATGCACATCTATCGGTTTTTAGATGTGTACTCCAGAAAGGTAGAGGTGTAAGAGATAATGTGACCAGTAGATAAAGAGAGAATACCATGCTATTAACTCATTCATCCATTTTTTATTCATATTTGTTCATTCAAGTGTCACAAGAAGGAAAATTTGTTTTTATTTGAACAGCTGGCACTATAATTTTCCTTAGGAAGAGAATTGCCTTGGTTGCAACAATAACACAAAAGGCTGTGGAAAGTATTTGGGTTAAGAAGTTAGTCCTTCCCCCACACCATTCGCTCTACCACCAAGCAATGACAGATTAATACCAGTCTAGACATGTAGCTTTCTGATCATCTGACCTGTTGTAGAGACAAAGTTTAGCAAAATTAGAGAAAAAAGTGACCAGCTCAACTCTTAGTGGATTCCTCCTCTGTATCAGTTGTCACAACTTGGTCATTATCATGAACTATACAACAGACATTTTAAAATGGAGGCCACTAACAAGTATCTGGCTCAGGAAATTCTATGCTTTTGATTGAAATATCTGTTCTATAGACCCCAGACAGCAGTACTGAAATTGTATTGTAAGCAATAACACATTTGATCTATACTCTTACCTTAATGGAAGACCATCCCACTTCTGCATAAAATAGAAAAATGTAATTATTGACATCATGAGAGAAACAGTGATGCTGAAGCACAAAATCCATGGACCGTTCTTCTTGTGTTCTGAATAAAAGATGTAATCGGATGCAATCATTTCATTAATACACACATGGCCCTATAATGGGAATACAGAGGACCAGATGGCCAGGAGTAGACTGAGATGAAACGAGATGGGTGTTTGCAGTTTAGCAACTAACTACTTAGCCTGTATGGATTATATTAAGTACATACAGAACCACATGAACACATTTTCAGAATGAAATTTTGACTTTGTGTCCAGAAGCACCATCCCCAGCATGAGGAAAAAGCCCTGCAAGGCTGTTATGCCTGAGTAGTTGGTAGCATATATTATTGTATTAGTGCTCAAACGTGACTGCCTATTGAAATCACCTGGAGAGTTTTAAAAATATATATTAAAGCATAGATCTCACCTCCAGAAATGCTGAGTTAATTGGTCGGGGTACAGCTTAGGCACTGGGATTTTTCAAAGCTCCCCATGTGATTCTATGGTGTAGTAAAGTTTAAGAATCATTACATTTGTGTAATTTCTGTATTTCCACAAGTAGGAGCACTTTGTCGATCAATAAAAGAAGCAAGTGCTTGTGTGGTGTCATTTGGGAGGGCTCATAACACTACACCCTTGCCCCCAAACAGCTATTCTCTCCTTATGCATAGTGTTTGGAAAACTACCTAGGAAATTTCATTTCTTTGGATGAAGGCTTTGCAACTTAAATGAGGATAATTCTTCTGAGAAGGATAATACATTAAGTGGTTATCGGTTATTAACACTCTGGTGTGCGCTCGTTTATCGGATTACTTTCCTTTATGGTGGTGGAGTGACATGCAGGGACTGCATGAAGCACAATGGTGGGAGGCTCTAAGGTCAATAGGATATGAATTCAAGGTAAGTTCCAGGAAAGAGTTGACCAAGGCAGTCTATAGTCAAGGTGGAATGATGAGTATATACCAAAAAGAGACAGTGTGAGAATCTGAAGGTCAGAGATGACTGAGCCAGACCACATGGGCAAGTTGGAGTCCATGCTCGTGACAAACCCTTGGCTGAGCATGAGATGAGCAATAAGTGAGTGGTAGCTCCTTTCCAGCCTCACCTCAGCTGCAGAAACAAGAGGCTCTTCACGCTAGATTTGAATGTTGGTGCCTAAGAGTTGATCAGAAGGCAAGTAGTTGACAAGAACTAGAAAAATACAAAAGCCTCTGTGCTGAGTAATGCCTGAGCCCCCAGAGTCCCAGCAAAAACAGAAATTAGCTGAATTTCAGGAAGTCAAGATATCAGGCAACCAGGGGAGTCCACGTACAATTATGAGCGCAAGAAGGAACCTTGAATGTAAGCTTCAGATCTTAGAGAAGGTTCTTTTGGGATGAATACCAATTCCTCTTAATAATCTTGGCACCGGGATGGAACCAACTTTTAGCTCTTGTAGCAGTACACTCTGATGTGGAAGAAGAGCAGAAGGGCACATGTGGGAAAAGAAATATATTCTCCCAGCTTAACAATTCTGTCAAGGGCAGGTCCTACCGATGTGCATTTCCCCTGCAATTTCCTCATCTCTTTCATACAGACTAGAAAGGCACTCAGCAGGAAGCCCTGCTATAGCCTGCCTTGCTGGGCCTCTGGCTGGACAGCAACAATGAGAGTGAAGGGAAGGGTGCCTAGACACCAGGCGGGCAGGCTCTTCTGCACTGTAGCTGAATGCTATTCATGGGAATAGCACTGACTTCAAAGAAATCTCTTTGTGCAGGTTTAATGAGCCCCCCTGGGAAGCTCCTGATGTGAATGGGAATCACGACTTGATATAAAAGTGAAAGATTATGTGTCAGCAGGAATGATTTGATTCTTAATGCAGTGTTAATTTATTTGCTGTGATTTCACACATCTGCTTTGGCCACAATACCATATTACATTAATCCCTGAGATATTATTACACATAGGTATATTCTCTATATACGAGGTAGTCGGGGAATGGGGGAATTTGTATATGTAATTTTTTTAAAGGCTATATACTCTTTTATTCAAAGAACTAGCAGGCAGAAGACTTTAGATTTCCTTACCATTTGGATACATAATCTCTTGGGCCTAAGACATGATTTGGCATTTGGGTCCATGAGATGGCAAAATAATTTTGAAGATAGCAGATTCTGGAGAATCTTAGACCACAAAGCAAGCCACTATATTTAGGGCTACTTAAGATTGGTACATCGGACAGCTTTACTCTCTTTGGAAACATTACTTCATAAATTTTGTCTGAACAGCAAAATCAAGTGTTTTCCTAAACATTTGAACTGAGGCTTATACATAGGGAAGGACACATGAAAGAAAAAAAGAGAAAAACCACTTTGCAGCAAATAAAAATAGATTCCATCTGCCACTTAGGTTCTTTTGAGTCTCCCAAGACAGGTTGGGGTTGCCCCTTAAGAAGACAAGTTGATGGTTTCATTAGGAAACAGATGCACGTAGGCCACTGGGAGAGATAAAGCTCAGTTAATCCTAGCTATTTGTGAATGAAATGTAGGAGAGTTCAACACAGAGATCAATTCCAAATCGAATGCAGTCCCTCCCATGCCACACAAATTTCAGGAGGCTACAGATGCTGGTCCTTCCCAATCCAGGACTGAGCTCAGCTAGCTGGGGTTGCCTCTCTGATGCTGCAGCCCAAGCCTTACCTGCTCAGCTGCATTCCCCCGGTCAGTTCAGCGGGTGTCTGGACTGCAGTATTGAGAGAATAATGGAAGTGAGGGCAGGGGGCTGGTGGTTAGTAAGAAGGCTTTCTACTGAGGGGTCCAGGCTATCCTAAGTGTGTAGGAACTTTCACTTCGCAAAGGGAGCCCCTTTCTCCTTTCTGACTTGAATATTACTTGTGATTGTGGAGGACACCCAGGACCCACTTCTCCTCAGGAAAAGTGCAGTTCTGCTAGGCTGAGGGGAATAGAGAGCCAGAATAGCTGACCTTCACTTTCAACAAATGCTTGAGTTTAAAGACGCTATGAAAAGAACCATGACATATGAGCATGCTCTCTGATCTCTAGGAATTTACAGTCCAGTAGAATAGAGGTCAGTAGATTAATGTTCATTCTTACAACATATACAAAGCTCCTATGAGGTTTCATTTACAAAACATTTGAAGCTGCAAGGCTGAAAGGTTCACCTGGGAGTCTGTGGTTGAGAAGAGAATGAAATTTTGAGCACATATAAGGATAAGAACAAATTCAGACACCCCTATGTAGTAAATGGAATCATTGTTAGTAGCTCTACATTCTCTCCTGTATTATAACATTCAACAACACCCTTTGCTCCATGCCTTTGCAGTTTTTCCCACTAGATGTGGATAATATTTCCCTGCTCTGTTAATGGAAAATACTATTTGGTAAGACATAGATTTGCAGATCAACAATCTAGGTATTTTTTTCCTCTAAATGTCTGGAGGTGAGCATGTTCCCACTTTAATTCCCCTTTTCTTCTTCAAATATCACATTTTTTTCATACTTTTAAATAATTTTGATCTTCTCTAGGATTCTGAATACCACATTCTTCATAGCTTTTCCTTTGCTACCCATATGATTTTAGGCAAGCTAGCTAAGCTTTGGGTCAGTTTTAACACTATGAAACAAATGGATGATAGATTTCCTCATCCCTAGGATTCACTCCTGCCCTAATAGTCATGGAACTAAAAGTTCTCAGGTTTTTATTGTTATTGGAGCTGTGGATGAGAACCCGTTAATAACACAGCTACCTCAATCTTGTTTCCATAGATTTCAATTTAGCAGAATTGGGATGGGATCGCAGCATCTGTCTTTTTAATGAAGATCCCCAGACAGTCTGTTGTGCAGCAAAGGTTATTCTATGAGCATTCTACGAATTTCATTGTTTCTCATCCAAAACTATTATTTTAATAAACAGAATGGCTTTTAAATAAGATGTAATGGAAAGAACTTCCCAGCTGCCTTAAACGGGGGTTTTCAATCAGAGGAGAGTTGAGATAATCAGAATCTATCAAGAAGATACAATGCCCTGAGGAAACTGAGAGATGCCCGGATCCACAGAGAACCATTTCACATTTAATGCACATTTGTTTATCGGAACAAATTATTAATTGAAAATGGAGTTGACTGGACTTGAAGGAGGAAGTACAATGTAGTAAGTGTGAAATTTATGAGTGGTTATTAAAAATAAAAATGGTTATTTCTGAAGTGTGGTGGTGAGACTAAGATTTTTATTTAAAAGTAGCCTACACAGTCCAACTGATGAGTTTTAAAATATAGGTTCTATATATATGCGTCTTTGTGCACTTATACACCTATGTTGTTTGCACATGTTTATATGTGGAATCTATATGGCATATTAAAGTATATTTCAAAATAATACACAAATGATCAACAATTCAGTCATAGCGTAGTGTCTGATAATTGCATTTCCTGCAGTCTATGTTCTTAGGATCATAATCTTTAACGGTTTGGGAAAGCCAACACATAAAATGACAATTTTGAGTTGTGCAGCCTATTTTGGGACATTTAAAGATGTTAAACAGATTTCCCTTTGGACTTACTCATTCACTTCTTGGCTAAGATCATTTACTATAAGAGAGTCTGCCAGACAAGGAGGGAATACAGGGACCTAGGGCCAAGGGGAGTAGAAGGGAAACCTGGGAAAACACACCAAGTTTGGGTTAGGGGATCACCATTCCATCTGGAAGCTAACTGGATAATAGGGTATCCATTCGTCCTCACCCTTGAACCTCCTCCGTGTTCAGAAGGAAACTAATAAATCACTTTATCCCTCTCTCCATTGTTAGTGGACTCTTTTACTCCTTTGCAGTGAAAGGCTGCTTTCTTGGGGTAAAGATGTCAACCCTAGCAGAGGATTTCAGTGATCTTTCTGGCGGCGAAGCTTAGACCGTGTGTTTAAACATCATTTTATGAAGAAGTACACTGTGAGTGGACTGAGGGCCATGCCCTGCACCTTTCTTCCCAGTCCCTGGGCCACCAACTACCCAACCACCTCGGTTGTTCCAGAAGTGAAGGCTCACCATGGTGTGGCTTATGTAATATACATATGTGCTATGATCCCTGTGGATAATTAAGGCTAGGTCCCTTTATATGCCTAGGACAAGTTAGCAACCCTTTCAAGGTCGTGTTTTCGAAAGGATGACAATTACTTTCCCATTGGACTTTTGGTACATTTACATCAAACACTGCCAGCTACAGTGTCTCCTAATACTGACCCCTGGGCTAATTAGCAGCTTAGTGAGGTTGTTTCAATTTTTCAGCAACCAATTAAGTAGTTGCTCTAGACAGAACTGACAACACAATGTGAATTTTAAAAACCGGGATCTGCTGGTTGAGGGGAGAAAGCCAAACCCAGTAAGGCAAGTGGGGGCAGGGCGAGGCTGTGAGTGGCTCTGTTTCTGCTAGCAGAATACTGGGTCTTAAATTCAGATTAAATCACAGTTTACCTGACGAGTACCCCGCCCCCCCTTCCCATTAGTAAAATAATAGCAATAATTTAAAAAGAGCCGAGCATCTGGGTTAGTGCAAGGGGAAGCGAGACCTTTAACCATGGCCACCCCACTTGCTCTTTGCGAGGCACCTGTTAGATGCGCTCGTGTGCCCTGACCCCTATACCGAGAGACAGCTCCACACCTGCATTTACCCTTCAGCCTAAATGGATTCCCATCAAGCCTTTCTCACTTCACTGTCGGATCCACAGAGGCACCGAACCGCAGCCACTCTGCAGAAGCACTCTCAGCCACTCTGTCCCCTAAGGGAGATTTAAAAGTGGTCGCCCCCACTCGCCCTCCCTCAGCCAGCATCTCCATCTAGGGAAGGAATTTCAGTTGTCTCCAGGAGGCAAAAAGCGAAAAGGTGAGGGATGCACCGAGAGAAGAGAAGATACCTACTCACTCCCCTCCCCACTCACCCACGCGTCCGCTCCCGGCTCCCCCTCCGCCTGCTTGGGTCTGGCGGTCAGGTGAGGTTACCTGGGCTCCCCGAGAAGCCCCGAGGGGCGCTGCAGTCCTTCCTTTCGAAATCGCCCCGCTCCCCGCCGGGCCTCCAGGACTCTTGCCCCTCTCCCCCCGCGCGCGTCCCCGGCCCCTCGGGCTCCGACGCGCAGCGACAGCCGCACGGCGCGCTCTGCTCCCCTCCGCCGACCTGGCGTGACGCAGGCGGAGACTACTTAAGGGCGGATTAGAGGCGGCGGCCGCGGATCCCCGAGCCCAGCATTCGGCTCCGCGCGCTCGGCCCTGGCCTCGCAGGCTGCCGCGCCGGAGCGCCAGGTGCCCGCTGAAGTAGCAGGAACAGAGCCGGTGTTCGGACCCTCCCCTGGCCCCCAACCTGCGGCGGAGAGCGGCGCTGAGACTTCTCCTGGGCGGGCGAGCGCTGGAGGACCTGCAGGCTGCCACCCCGCCCCGCCCCTCGTCCCGGCGTCCGCGGGATCCAGACCCGAACCCCGGACGGCGCCCGAGGTTCGTGCCCTCTCTCTAGACCGCGCCAACTGCCCCATCGGTCGGGACGCGCTTGGATTTCTTTCCCCATTTCTTCTCTTTTAAGTACAATAAAAGGAAAGGGGGATTCGAGGATTTTTTAAAAAATTGCTTCTTTAATTGGGAGGCAATTCACTCCCATTCTGGAAGTGCGGCCCGGGGAGGGGCCAGGAGCGGGAACGTGCCCGGTGCTGCCCAGTCTTTGTCTGCTGCCTCCGGATGCACAGCGATGGGGGAATGGACCATCTTGGAGAGGCTGCTAGAAGCCGCGGTGCAGCAGCACTCCACTATGATCGGGAGGTAAGGGCGCCAAGCCGGCGGTCAGGGGGCCCCGTCGGGCGGCCCCCGGGAGTCCCTTCTCACACCTGGACTGAGTCTCCCGCTCCAATCCCCAGTCCGTCCTCTGCCTCCTCCCCATCGTCCTAGGTCAAGGCTCCGGTGTTCCCGGCGATGAGGGATTACCCGACGCCCCGCGATGCCCCCCTCCTCTAGCTACTCCTAACCAGCTGCCCATCCCTTCCCCATCAAGCACCACTGGGGCTTCACTCTTCCCACATCAGAAAAGGAGCCGCTGGCTCAGTCTTGGTCCCTCCACTCTCCAGAGTCAGAGCCAATCTCCATTTGGTTCCCTAAATAGAATCTACAAAGAAGGCAGGATTGCATTTGGACAGAAAAGGGCAAATGGGGAGATGGATTTGCTCTTCAGAGCAGATGCCTCTTTTCTCAACAAATAATTACTAAACCAAACTTATTTGGCGGTGTAAACTTACCGAGCCTACACACCCAATTGCCATTTTTGGGTCTGTATCTATATCTATGTCTCTATCTACCTAGCTTTATATATATATGAGTTCAATATATATGAATATATATTCATAGCCATCTGCTTATATAAAGCATTAAATTTAATATTCATGTTGAGAATAAACTAAATATACACATGGAGTAGTTATTTACACACCCTGTGTGTAGACCTCGAAGCATGCACCATCTGTAAAGGTATTCTGTGTGCATTTGCCATATCCAGAGTGAAGGTGTGTTTTGTGTTTCTATACATTCTATATAGAGAGATGAAATCTATCTGTTGCAAGTAGACTATGTCCAGTGTATGGAGATGTGTGTACCTGGGATCTCTATAATATGAAATATTCCCAGCCTACCAGCACTCAGCAGAAAAGGAAGAGACAAAAAGCTTTCCCAGATTCCTAGTTCAGTACCAGCCCGGGATGGACAGCTCCCCAGTCAAAAGACTGGTAAACACCAGCAAAGGGAAGGGAGGAGCAGGGGTTTCCTGTCAGTGACGCAGCCCGTGAGAACCTCTCTCCCTCCCTCTTCCTCCGTTCAGGATCCTGTTGACTGTGGTGGTGATCTTCCGGATCCTCATTGTGGCCATTGTGGGGGAGACGGTGTACGATGATGAGCAGACCATGTTTGTGTGCAACACCCTGCAGCCCGGCTGTAACCAGGCCTGCTATGACCGCGCCTTCCCCATCTCCCACATACGTTACTGGGTCTTCCAGATCATAATGGTGTGTACCCCCAGTCTTTGCTTCATCACCTACTCTGTGCACCAGTCCGCCAAGCAGCGAGAACGCCGCTACTCTACAGTCTTCCTAGCCCTGGACAGAGACCCCCCTGAGTCCATAGGAGGTCCTGGAGGAACTGGGGGTGGGGGCAGTGGTGGGGGCAAACGAGAAGATAAGAAGTTGCAAAATGCTATTGTGAATGGGGTGCTGCAGAACACAGAGAACACCAGTAAGGAGACAGAGCCAGATTGTTTAGAGGTTAAGGAGCTGACTCCACACCCATCAGGTCTACGCACTGCATCAAAATCCAAGCTCAGAAGGCAGGAAGGCATCTCCCGCTTCTACATTATCCAAGTGGTGTTCCGAAATGCCCTGGAAATTGGGTTCCTGGTTGGCCAATATTTTCTCTATGGCTTTAGTGTCCCAGGGTTGTATGAGTGTAACCGCTACCCCTGCATCAAGGAGGTGGAATGTTATGTGTCCCGGCCAACTGAGAAGACTGTCTTTCTAGTGTTCATGTTTGCTGTAAGTGGCATCTGTGTTGTGCTCAACCTGGCTGAACTCAACCACCTGGGATGGCGCAAGATCAAGCTGGCTGTGCGAGGGGCTCAGGCCAAGAGAAAGTCAATCTATGAGATTCGTAACAAGGACCTGCCAAGGGTCAGTGTTCCCAATTTTGGCAGGACTCAGTCCAGTGACTCTGCCTATGTGTGAGAGGGCAGGTTTCATGAAGGTCTGGGGGATGGCAAGGAGCCCCAAGGCAGATGACTGCTCAGACGTGGCTGTATCCACCCTCATTTATGTGACCCTCACCATTAAGATGTAGGATAAGACTGGATAAAAGAAGATTTTGCACCAATGGGAAAGGAGGAAAAGTGGACCCATTTTCACATATCACCTAATTGGTTCTACAGAGACGATTGGGTAGAGTGATGAAATGGATCAATTAGACTTCTTTGGTCCCTTTCTGTTTATGGCCTAGCCTGATCCTGATAACACTGAACTTGCACAGCTACCAAGTAGGACTTAGCCCTGCTGAGCTCTTTATTCTGGTGAATGGTGTGAGTTGAGTACTTCATTGATATAAAATTTGTGACCTATCTCAACCCATCCCTTTATCCTGAGCCATGGGACAAACATCCTTGAGGCACTCTTCATGTATCTCCCCCACCAGCATGCCCCTTTCCCTCAATCCAAAATAGCATGCCAGCTTTTTTTTTTTTTTTTTTTTTTTTTCCAGAATCTGGCCTTACATTAGACCTAATATGTTTTATTTGCAAACTTAGAGGGAATTACATGGGGTGCTTATTGGAGAACGGCCATGGCAGAGGTTTTCATTAGAGCCCCATCTGACTGGCCCTTAGTCGTGATGAAAACCTTAGGAATGTCTCAATATTTCCAGTTTTCTAACTCAAACTGCACTGGTGCTGTTTACTAGGGATGGGGGATGGGTGGGAGGGAGGGAATTGCAATATGCAACTACAACACTTTTGTGAGATTGTTGTTGCACAGTTAGGCACACGGTTACGAGCTTCAGGATATTTCTGCCTTCCAGCTTGTGGACTTTGGTTAACATTAAAAAGATTTTTTTTGGCTAATATCAAGAGTGTCTAGCTGAGCCACAGCATTTGTAACTGGTGTATCTCACTCATTTTCTTACATAGTTTTGTTGTGCAACACAGCTGCACGGTCATTTTGCCATGATTTGAATTTACCTGTGTGCTTACACCAGAGACCTTAATCATCCCATGTCAATCCTGATTTATTATTTTTTCAGTTACTCTTTGAAACACACACACATATACAGACACACATACAAAATTACTGGCTTAAAAGACCTGCAACTAAACACTATTGGCTAACGTGTGTTTACGGTGACTTATTTGAGACATATACCAAAGGTTCAAAAACCTATTGCATTGGACTGTCAATATGTTTTCTTCTTTTTGCTCTTATTTATTTAAGTGCCATACTGTACCTTTCATATCCACTGTGTATTTAGTTAAAATATTGGCCAAGAGAAACATCTGGGTAATGTGCTTTTATGAAGCCCTTTGTTCCCTTTGAATTATCATTATCATTTTTGATTTAGATATGGACATGGTGTAACACACAACTAAGGATTTGTTTAAAATAAAGTTCTTGCCTTTTTTTGTAAAATGGGAAGAGTCTGCACTTTTTGATGGGGGGTATATTTATTTAAATGCATGATCAAAAATGTTATAACAGAAAAACATTGGGGGTAGGAAGTAAGTCATGGTTGAATAGTATTTGAGGAATGACCAATAAAATACAATCAGCCACTAACAGATGAAGAGAGACTTTTCATGGATATTTTCTTCCAAATCAATGCTTTATGAATGTTCATAAGGGAGTGGTGAGATATTCAAATCGTATGATTTATTAGCTCCTTTCCATTTCAGCTCAAAACTTTCCTTACTTGTCTATTTCTTATAACACAAATGTCAATACTACATCATATTAGCCCATTCCAGGAGTGGAATTTTTTTTTCTTTCCACCACATTTTTTTTTCCTGCCATGGATTAATCATTACACTTGGCGAGCATGCTGTTCTTTCCATGATCTCTTCGGGGTCTGATGCTTAACACAATGCTAACCCGGTAGTCAAGCAGATCTCTCTAGACCAGCGCTGCCAGTAGAACTTTCTGTAATGATGAGGATTTCTTCTATTCATGCTGCCCAATGTGGCAACAACTAGCCACATGTGACTACTGAGCTCTTAAAACATGGCTAGTGCAAATCAAGAACAGAATTTCTAATTTTATTTAATTAATTTAAATAGCCAAGTACGGTTAGTTGCTACTCTATTACACAGCACAATTCTAGACTTTTAATCAATCATTTCTTAGTGGGTTCTTCAAAGGAGATTGATCCTTTACTTACATGTCATAAGACATTACTTTTTAGCCACAACATTTTACTCTCATTTTTGGTATTTTCTGCCTACATATGGTCCCATTATTTCAGCAGACTAGTGTTCTTTCTCATTTCTTTAGTGCTACTCACCTTCTAATTCCAATGAGCACTTGGCTTGAACATTGCGAAGCAACGTGGGGTTTCCTGGACGATTGATTTTCAAACACGATTGTTGCATCTCAACTATGGCAGCACAGATGCCAACTTTAGAATGAAAATATGCTCATTTCAATCTATAGGTTTCTATCTGCAGTATAAATAAGCAGTTGAAGATGATTATCCTTGAGTAAAGAAACAGATCCTCCTCCGTTTTGTGTTTGGTAAGCTAAAAATGTTTTAAGACGTCTCCCAGAGATGGAGGAAGAGTGTTGCTTGAGAGCTCTTAGCATATGCTTGGGTGTGAAAGAAATAGGAATCTGTGTGGAAAACAAGGTCTGTTGTATTTATGACTTGATGTAGGATTAAAAGAACCGTAGTGTTTCCTGGTAGAAATGCATCCCATATGAGTGGGGTTGATCTATTTCAGTTCTGTGATGTTTCCCAACACCTACACATGGCAAAATTATTAACTCAGTTGTCAGCAATGGAGAAGAAAACACTTTCTTTCAGAGTATAGAGTCTTCCCTCAGAATGACCATTGGTGTCGGTCTTTTGCTTTCTATGTAGTAAAGGAAATACACTGATGATTTTACGGTTCACATAGCTATGTGATAGATGTCACCTTAATTTGTATTTTGTGAGAGAACATCACTGATATAGCCTCTTAAATTTAAGAGACATTTGGTGAATTGCAGGCCCTCTTGGCCTGTGCACAGCTATATGTGAGCGCATGTGTGTGCATGTGTGCATGTATGTGTGTACACTGGTTAAGTAGTGGGTGGCAGTGCCTCAAATTGGTTTAAAAGTTTGGAGAATAGCCTGGAGAAACTGAAGTTGCTTAACCTGAAGAAAGAAAAGCTGAAAGGGCAGAATTTGTAACTGTAAGTGCTTAAATATTTAAAGGGTAAAAAATATGAAGGATAGTAGTTATGCTATCTGTGACCTCTGTGGACAGAGAAAAATGATTGAACTTAAAATCCAGGTGGGAGTGGTTTTAAAAGCACTAGAAAGAACATTGTTACCTTTTCACCTCTCTCTCTTTTTTTTTTTTTTTAAGTCTTTTTCTCTGCAAGGAATACCTGTCCGTCTACCTCCTTTCACTAGATGTATTCCTCTGCACCCATTAAAAATCAGTTTGGCTGTCCCCTCACCAAGGAACCTATTCTAAACCCTCCTCCAGTCTGGCTTAGTGCTCCTGCTCTGAGTCCTCATAAAAGTCACTTTGCTGGTAACTTGCTGTGTGGAGATGAGACACACACACACCATGCTAGATCACGGCATGGTTCCTTAAGGACAGAAACTATGCTTTACCCATTGTAACCACATACAACATTTATTGTCACCGTCTCAGTGTTTCATCTGGGAATGGTCTTATAGACTCAGAATGTATGAAAGCTAAACACATCCTGTGAAGACATTAAGGAAAACCTTTTACAGTACAGTTGAAGAAATCAAAAGATCTAAACTCAAGACAGCGGGTTTCTAAAAAAGTGGTGTAAGCATTCATCTTGGAAGGCTGGAAAACTTTATTTAGATGGAACTTAGAAAATGTTATTTACATTGGTTTTGTTTTCTTTACATTTTATTACGTGTATTAGTTCGCTAAAGCTGGTGCCATAACAGAATACCACAGATTGGCTGGCTTAAACAACAGAAATTTATTTTCTCACTGCTCTGGAGGTTGGAAGTCCAAAATCAAGGTGCTGACAAGTTTCGTTTCTTCTGAGGCCTCTCTCATTGGCTTGCAGGTGATCGTCTTCTCAAGATGTCTTCACATGGTTTTTCCTTTATGCATCTGTAGCCGTGGTGTCACTTTGTGTGTCCAAATTTCCTCTTCCTATGAGGACACCAGTCAGATTGAATTAGAGCTTCATTTTAACTTAATCACCTCTTTAGAGGCCCTGTCTCCAAATAAAGTCAGGTACTGGGCGTTAGGGCTATCAATATATGAATTTTCGGTGTGTGTGTTGGTGGTGGGGGGGCACCATTCAGCCCATAACACCAATTTTCACATCTTTAGGTACCATTATGGTTAAGGGGATTACATGATTTCTTGTACAAAATGGGACATCTTTGAGAATGAAAGGGTCAGGGTAGCTAACTGGATGGAACACAGACCCAAATTGGGTCTGTCCTGGGCAAACCCAGTTGTATGGATACCTTACTTAAGACAATGAACAAATATTGAGCTCCTGCTGCAGGGCCTGGAACCCTGGAAACACAGGGATAATAACACCTAAGTCTCAGCTTTTGAGAAGGTCTATGAAAAAGCAACTTCTCAGACAAAAGAGCAACATTTATGTCAATAATAGTGGAAAAATAGTACAGTAAAAACACTGATGCCCTTGCTCCACTCGGGACCGCCTAACTTAGAATCTCTGATGCTGTAGGCTAGGCGTCAGTATTTTAAATTTTCACACTCATAAGGTTGAGATCAACTGAGTCAGAGCATTAGCATTAGATTATGAGAACCCGGTATCTGGAGGATAAATTATGAAAGAAGGAAAAGGGAAGTGGGAGGCTGTCATGGCGGAGCTGCCCTTGTTTAAATCATTAGTGATGAGAATATTAGTAATGAGAAGCTGTGGATGGAAGACTGCCCACAATTTTCAGGGCTTGAGCAGTGAGAGCAGTGGCCATGGATGAGACTTTCATGGTGGCAAGACGGGCTGACCACAGGTAGAACCTGGAGTGGATAGAGGAGGAGGCACCTAAGACAGAGGTTGAAAAGAGCCAGTTAGCAAACTGATGGGTGTCATAAAGGTAAGGGAGGTGGAATCTCCAGGAAGAAGATGTGGTATTAGTATTCAACTTTACCACGTCTTTAACCAGATAAAAGAGCAAAATAGGGTCTAGGTAAAGGACTCAAACACATCCACTAGATTTGTGAGTGGGCTGTGAGAAAGTGGAGAGTGAGCACAGGCTATCCTTCGCCTTAGATACTTCCAGACCTCCTGCAGGTTGGGTGGAAAAAATAAGGGCAGGCAAAGGGTAAATTATCAATCCCATTGCAGCCAATGCTCTGACAGCCCACCAGGCACGGCGAGTCAGATGAGGGGAGTCAGCTTTGTGACTGCCCAAAGTTTAAGTTCATTTAGTGGTTACCCTACAGATGGAGTGTGTGTTAACTAAGACAGACCTGGCTGAACTGAACCTAAATGAGTAGTTAAGGCTAAAATGTACACAGTGGCTCTTGTCAGCTTTGGGTAACAATGGCTGTAGGTAAGGACAGTGAATAAATGCAGAGGCCTCTGAGAGGACAGTGGAGCTGATTGTCAACACATGAGTTACTGATGTGACTCAGATCCACTGTTCACCCCGGACAGTGTTCTGAGTGTCTGTTGGCTGTGGCCAATGAGGTTGTGAGAAATGGACCAGTTCTTCCTGACTCCAAAGAGGAGGGATGTTTTCTAAAACATGTTTATCTAACTTAATACATAAAGGATCTATCATCTGTAAATATATCTCCATTTCCCCAACTTTCAACTCCTTTTCTTAAAAGGCCTAAATCTCCAAAAATACCAAGGAATAGAAAGTTCTTCAATCCAGTGGTTTCCTGAACACCGATGGTGTGCAAGGCTGTGTATGAGGTATTACAGGAAATATACAGACAGGTATGATGCCCTCCCTACTCTCACCAGGCCTGCAGCCAACCTGAGAAAAATAAGACAACCCTAGAAGGCAGAATGGGATCTATGCCTTAGTCAGTGCTCAAAGTATTCTGAGCTCCAAGGAAGGAAACAACACATCTGCTGTGTGTACATGTGAGTTGGGGAGGTGGAAGGATAGAAAAGCTTTTTATCAATAAAGCATGGAAAGACTTTACCACCAACAAAGTTTTCCTTTACTCTCTCTCTCTCTCTCTCTCTCTCTCTCTATATATATATATATATATATATATATATATATATATATTTTTTTTTTTTTTTTTTTTTTTTTTTTTTTTGCCAAGGGGGTGAAATAATTCTGAGACTCATCACTCAGCCCAGGCGCCTCTCCATGGATGGCCAGTGCTATCTATCTGCCATTTGTGTGGCCAGTACCTGTGTCATCCCATCACATTGTGGTGGACAGCGGCTGGGTATCCTGGACCTTGCCTTGTGGACACCCTGGTCTGACCTGGGAGCAGATGTTGTGGGCCAGTCAGTCCTCTGAGCAGATCAGCAGAAGCTGGATAGACTCCTGGAAGCTGTGACCTGGTTTTGATTTTCTGAATATGAAAAGTCTGGGTGTTGATCAGGGTCTGCAGCAGGAGCCACTTCATCTTGAACCTGACTGAGACATGGAGTCCTAGGTTAGATTCAGAGCAGATAGATGTGGGTGGAGTAGGTTGGAGAAGCTGTCCAAAAAATGTGAGCTGTTCTAGAAGGAGCCGAGCCAATACTCCTGGGCCCATGAGGGAGGCTGGAGAGATGTGAGCTTATCTCATGGAGCTCAGAATCTGCAGTGTTTGGAAACAATGATGATCCCAGGTTGGTATCAAAAAACTTCACCAACAAGGTAGTATTGAGGTGGGTTCCCCCAAAGAAGAGAGAAGTGGGTAGGAAAAAACATAAACATTCGCCTCTGGCTGAGAACTGGGGAATCTTGTTTTGTCTGGAGCTCACAGGGAGAAGTCATGGGAGGTGAGTTTGGGGAATGGACTGTGTTGCACATCAGGCAAAGGAAGCTGAGCTGAATTGGGTAGACAATGTGAAGACATGTCTTTCAACAAAGACTTTTTTTTTTTTCGACAGTATCTTGCTGTGTTGTCCAGGCTGGAGTGCAGTAGCATGACTGTGGCTCACTGCAACCTCAAAACCTCAAGATCGCTCAAGCGATCTCCCACTTCAGCTTCTAAGGTAGCTGGGACTACCGGCATGCACCACCATGCCTGGCTCCAACAAACCCTCTTAATACCATTTCTTTGAGCACTGCCATGTCCCCAGGCTTCAGCCACACTGTCCCTGTCTAACCATACAGAGGCTCATTGGGCCTGTTTCAGGATCAGCTTTGATTTGGAAAAGACATTTCAATCTCAAAAGTTAGGGATTGGAGCAAATATGCAGGGTGATGGTTGGGGATTTGGCAGCATGGCCCCATGAACATTAGTGGGAGTTAGTCTGCTAAATCCCAGACACTGAACAGAATCCTCATGTTTATTCACAGTGACCTTTCTGCTGTAAATTGATACAATATTTGAGAATCACTTAGAACCGATTAAGCTTTGTAGCGTCTCCCTCTCCTAAAAGGGAAATCTTTCTGAAAACTGCTGCTGTGTGCCCTGAAATGTTTGTATCTATGGGCAACTCTGGCAGCAGGAACATAAGGATGCCTAAATATAGAATTGGTGAGTTTTGATACCTCTGAGACAGTTGATCTGGGGAGCTTTATCTGTTGTACCTGTCTCCAGGTGGGGGCCAAGCTTTTTGCAAATGATTGTTTTCTTCAATGAACTCCTTCCTTTTTGTACAATTTTATGTTATCTTTCCTCCATATGTTTATTTTCTGAAACATAATTTTAAAAAGAAATATCTGAAGTCTTTTTATATGAAATCTAGTCTAAAGATTCTATTCATAATCTCAAAAACGCCGAGTATGTGCTAAATATTTACCATGTTCCAGATCTCATGCTTTACATGAATTACCTCACTCAACCCCCACACATAGCCCTGGAAAGAGAGTGCTAATTGCTATTATATGAATTTTTTTTTCAGAAGAGGAGAACAAAATATCTAGATGTGATATCAACTTGACAGGTATGTGCTGTGAACTGGTCCATTTCTCACAACCTCATTGGCCACAGCCACCAGACACTTGACAGATTCCAGCCCATGCAGTGTGATGTTGAAGCCAAGTTTAACACTTCATGATATTGCCTTCAGGAAGCTGCTAGATGAGGTCTCAGAAGACCTGGAATACTGATCTTCTACCTCTCTCTCAGGACAGCCTTCATAGGAGGTTTCCCCCACCCCCTTTGCCCCGCCAAAGGTTCTCTTCTTGTGTGTCTTTGCAGGGCATGAGACAGTGAGGTTTTCTGTGGCAGTGCCACATAATTGTCATCTTTGTACCTAGAGTTGCTGGCATATAGCACAGCTTCACACAAGTTTATTGACTGAATAAGTAACTAAAAATATACACTCATGGAATCTTGACGTGGATAGGAAAGGTCATCCCATTTACACCTTCAATTTGTAGCTAGAACTTAGATCTGGAAAGTAAGCTGGAATAAGGAATTCCAGGTTAGATGGAAGTTGAGGTAGGGTAGGATTAAGATAAAGAGCTTCTCAAATTGTCAGGAAGGTTGACCTGGGGTGGAGAGAGGTTATTAGCAGTGGCTGGCAGAATCAGAGGCCCCCTGGCTCCTAGTCCGGATCTCTCCAACCAGGGGTCATGAGAATCATGAGTTACACATTGCGAGAGAAGGAGCTTTCACCTTGGGTAGGTATGTGGCTCATTAGCTCTGAGGTCTTATGTTCCTGGGCTTAGTCTAGGTCAGAGGATTACCTCTGGGTGTGTGTTTATCTCTAGAAGCACCTTGGGTGGCTCTCCCTTTGTCACCACCCCGAGAAACCAAATTCTTTGCTGCTTCTTCCAGAACCCTGGCCAGCATGGTGGTCCTAGATAGAGCTCAAGATCCCCAAGACCTTGAAGAGGACCCGCGAATCCCACCCATCCTGACTGCAGCTTCTCTGTGGGGTCTTCTCTCTCTTCCAGGAGCCTGCGGGTGTCTTGTGCTGCATGCTCATTGGTCAATGTTTCCCAGTGCTGTTTAGAAATTTCTCTCTTCCCCTGCTTTTTTTCCATCACTATGCTTTGCCTAAAAGGTGTTCAGCGAATGTATTTATTCTTTTAGCACATATCTACTGAATATAGTACTTTTACATGTTTAGCTCTGAGCTAGCACTAACGACACAGACGATATGTAAGAGAAAACCAAAGGAAATAGCTTGAGCATGGCCCTTCTTTACAAGGAAAAGAGGCAGAGGTGAGGGGCAGCTAAGAGTAGATGAAAAAGAGCATGAGCAATAGAGTTCAAGGGTCTTCTTCCTAAGAAGCAAGCAGACTATATGCATCTGACATCATAAAGGCAAGTCTTGTCTTTTATAACAATGTATAAAAATATGATCTCAGGCCAGGTGTGGTGGCTCACGCCTGTAATCCCAGCACTTTGTGGGGCTGAGGTGGGCGGATCACGAGGTCAGGAGATCGAGACCATCCTGCCTAAGATGGTGAAACCCCGTCTCTACTACAAATACAAAAAATTAGCGGGCGTGGTGGTGGGCGCCTGTAGTCCCAGCTACTCGGGAGGCTGAGGCAGGAGAATGGCATGAACCCAGGAGGTGGAGCTTGCAGTGAGCCAAGATCACGCCACTGCACTCTCCAGCCTGGGCATCAGAGCGATACTCCATCTCAAAAAAAAAAAAAAAAAGGATCTCGATTGATGCCATAGGCCAAGGATAACTTGGTGGCCAGGACTTCCAGAATATTCTTTCTCCTTTTCCAGAAAGTAAAGTCAAATTGCAATATCATCTGTTTGTTTCTTTAGTTGAGAGAGCAGTAATAGTAACAAGAATGACAATAATAGCAATCATGATAGTGATAGCAGATATTTGAATAGATCTAGTACCTCCTCCTCATGTATCAGCTTATTTGGTTTTTGCAACCTCTGTCTATAGAGTAGGCAGAGTAGACAGAATGAGTGGTACTCATTTTTCTTTAGAGGGGCAAAAACTCTGGGTCTCAGTTTGGGCAACATGTCCAAAACCACAATTAGTTTTAACACAGATAAGACAGAGTTATAGTATGGTATACTTTGACTCTGACTTATGGTATTTATTCTCTGACTTATAGTATGGTATACTTTCCATTCTACATGGTTTCTTGACTCATCAAATGCTAAACTTTAGATTGTCAAGAGAGAAATCTAGAAATGTTAGGAAGGAAATGCATATATTCTCAAATAGTGGTTTTCTATACTTCTAAAGAGATTGCAAGGAGACAAAATTCTAAAAAGAGACTGCAGGCCAATCTTTAGAGAAGGGGTTTGGTCTTAGTCTCCTGAGAACTGTGATTTGCTCAGTGCAGTTAGAACAGAGTGAAAACCATGTGGAAGCTGAAGTGAATATCTTGGAGCAGCAGCCGGGTCTGACCTGTGATCCTCTTCTTAGCTAATTTCCAGGATTTCAGAGACAAGAGAGGAAATAAAAAGCAGCACTTTTTCTTTTAAAAAGATCATTTGTTTCCCACTAATTAAAAAATAATGAATATTCAGAGCAGAGAAAAATTACAATGAACAAAATTCTATCACCCAAAGAGAACTATTGTTAATTTGTGTCTGTCCTTTGGTGTATACTCATGTAAGAATTTCTACTAGATAGATAGATACACTTACGACCATAGAGGTTGCTTTTCCAGAGGTTGCCTCTCTGTACATACTGTTTTGTACCTTTTTTCCGCTTAGTAATAGATGGTTAAGGCTGGGTGTGGTGGCTCACGCCTGTAATCCAAGCACTTTGGGAGGCCGAAGTGGGCAGATCACTTGAGGCCAGGAGCCCAAGACCAGTCGGGCTAACATGGTGAAACCCTGTCTCTACTAAAAATATAAAAATTAGTGGAGTGTGATGGCACACATCTGTAATCCCAGTCTCTTGGGAGGCTGAGGCACTAGAATCACTTGAGCGTGGGAGGTGGAGGTTGCAGTGAGCCGAGATCGCGCCAGTCCCCCCATCCTGGGCGAGTGAAACCCTGTCTCAAAAAAAAAAAAAAAGAGAGATGGTTAATATTTTCTACACCAACAAATACCTTAACAACATGGTTTTAACTAGTAGACAAAAGTCCTATGATATGGTGGTACCACAACTTACTAGAGCAGATCCCTAATTTTGGATACTTTGGTTGTTATCAATTGTTGCTATGATACCAATAGAGGAGTGAAAATCTTTGCGGACTTACCAGATTGTGTCTTTAGAATAGCTGGATTACAGAGTAGGCATGTCTTAAAATTTGTTGATATATTTTGCCAAATCTTCAAAAAGTCAATATGAGAATGTTAGTAATTAATGAGAATATTCAAGAAGCAACTAATTTTGGAGATTCTGGAAAAAACTAGCTTATGAGACAGAAAGTCACAGAACATCTCCTGAAATTTGCTTTTGGGAGGAAGAGTGGAGGGAAAAGTATTTTTAGGTTTTGTTTTGTTTTGTTTTACAAATAGAGGCAGAGTCTCCCTGTGCTGCCCAGGGAGAACATAGAACTCCTGGGCTCAAGTGATCCTCTCACCTCTGCTTTGCACATTGCTGGGATTATAGGCATGAGCCATCATGTCTGGCCTAGGCTCATTTTTGTCTTTTATTGAAAACAATCAGTAAGTATCACACACACATGCGTGTGTGTGTGTGTGTGTTTAAGTAATGGGAGCTAATTCTGCAAGTGTAAGCTGTCAGCACAGAGGTTCCAGGTGGCTATGACTCCTGAGCTTAAGACAAATATTTTGGCCCAAGGGTTGAGGATAGGCATGGTGCACAACCAGGCTAGGAAATAATCCTGGAGCATCCCTAAAACGCTGGCAAAGTTGTGCATGAGAAAGCAAGTGGGTATAATTAAATTCTCATCTAAAAAAATTGAATTCAGCTCATGCGTTGGGTCATGAACTAGTCTTGGCTAAAGGAATCATATCATTGGAACTACACTGAGTGATCAAAACTCTGCTGGTGAATCACAGGAAAGAGGCAAAGCCCTAATTCCCGGTCATAGAGGTGGCACTCCACCTGAGCTACAAAGCTTTTATATGTTTCCCGTCAGGTTTGTGCCTGGGCTAGAACCGAAAAGCAAGCGGCTGAGATAGAGATTTCATGAGGGAGCAAATGTAAAAATGTACACAGGTGGCTTTCCAACCCCACATGTTACAGGTCTGAGGATAGCTACCAGGCTAGAAAGGGCATACAAGATAGTCTGTCTTTATTAGAAGGAACAAAAATTTCCAAAGGAACCCTTTTTCTGTCAAGTTTCTCTGCAATTTATTTAAGCGAAGGTACATTTGATAAAAATAGCAGGCTCCTTCTCTGTGCCTGGGTGCTAATGAGCTCGGCAGGCATTTATTCCTCACTCTGATATATTTGCTCTCCTTACCACACCTCTCTCTGGCGGTCCTGGGGTCCCAGGGTGTTGAAATGAGGGTGGCTGCTACTTACGGAGACTTTCCTAGGTGAGAAAATACAATGATGTAACAATTTCTTTTTAAGGAATGAGGAAAAGGGAGGTCAATAGTGGGTAGAAAAAGTAATGTCTTAAGAAAAGTGGAAGGGAAACTCTAATTTCATTTGTTCGCATACTTTTTTCAGGGTAGATTTCACAGGTAGCATGTGTTTGTGTTTGGGGGATCTCTAAGGTTGAAGTCATTAAATGAGAAAAATAGGAGGATGACAGGCAGCTGGAGAGTGGTCATAAGCCCAGGTTTTAGAGTCAAACTGCCCTATAAAAATGGTAGTGATTTATGATACAGGAGTGTCCCATGATCATCTCTCTCTGATTAAAATTTGATGTATTCATTCTGTAAGTATTTACTGAATCCCAACTGTGGATCAGACACTGAATTAGCTTCTTGACTCTTCCATTTTCTAGCTATGTGATCTAGGTAGGTACCTAACCTTGCTAAACCTTAGTTTACAGATCTGTAAAATGGGAATAATAAAACCTCATTGGGTTCTTGGAAGTTTTGTTCGATTCTGTTTGTTAAGAGCTCTTCGCAGTGCCTGATACCTACTAAATGCTCAAACCATTATTTATTTTAATAATGATTATCAGTACCAATAATAACCTAGGTGATCAGATGTGGTCATTGGCACACTGAGTTTATCAAAGTTCTTTCTGCAAGAGGATACTCGCTCCCTCCCTCCCTTCCTTTTCCTTTTCCTTTTCCTCTTTCTTCTTTTGCTTCCCACTCAGTGATTTTTATGGGTTTCCATCTTTTTTTCTCTCAGAAGAGGGGGAAAAAGATCTTTGTAAGTTCTTTTCTTCCAAGGATGAAGTTGTAAAATTGTTACACCTTCCCAAAGAAAGGAAAAGACCTCAGGAAAAGAGAAATGCTTGACTCAAAGGAAGAAATTACTGATGACAGAATTTCAGGTGTCAATGAAGAAGATATTTTTAAGCAGGATCTTTCCATTTCATTCAAACAATATCACAGAGGAGACCTCCTGTGTTTTGTTATGAAACTGTTCAGCTCTCTTGTAGACCCATAGGCTCCTAGGGTTGGCAGGGCCATTTTGTGCAACTAGTCCAGCATCTTGTACTTTGAAACTCCCTGTACAGAATCAATTCCAAGTGGCTGCCCACACTTGCTGGTGAGGAGCTGATTCTCTTTGAGAGAGTCCACTCTATCTTCTGGCCACCCTGATTGCTTGAAAGTTCTTCCTTATGTAGAGCTGGAATCTGCCTCCTCAGAGCAGAGGCACCTTTCAGACAACAGCCCAACAGAAAAGATGTTTTTTGTTCTGGCTTCTTTCTATTCGCACCCTCCCACAGGGTTCACTGCCTGAAGTGGAGTTAAGGGCCATATGCTTTCCTCTGGAGAAAATTGTGACTGCTGTGATGCCTGATACAATGGCTTAGTAGGGAGGAAAGAATCTTGAAGTTCAAATGTTTTGACTTGGAAAAAGCAGGGAATAGGGAAGTGCTCTGGAGTGTCCAAAGACACATGTATTAGATCCAGTGGTTCTTTCTCTTTCCCAAGAATAAATATTGCATTTTGAAAGAATAGAAATAGCTAATAAAATACAAGTAGCAAGAGCGTATTTATCTCCACTCACAGGCAATACTAGTGGTACCAGGTTCATATTTGGAAAAATGGGCTAATTTGTTTGTTCATTCAGATCAAATTGGTATCAAACAACCACAGATTCCATATGTTCCTTTTTCTGTTTTGGTTGCTAGGCACAAGAAATTCATGGGGCGCTTGCTAAATATGTATGACACATTTTTGCATGTGAATGATAAATATTGGTAGATTCTTTGCAGGAGTGGCTGTCATTCAGAAATAGATCCTGAATGAAGCTTTCCTCTTCAGTAAAAAGACTTGAACTTCAGGCTGAAAGGAGGTACAACTTGGTATGGGAGGCAGGTGTCCAGGTATAAGGAGAAGAGTAGTGGAAATGACAGTCCTTTAAAATTGCATGGCGTTTTGCAGTTAACAAAATGCCTCCTCATTCACAATCTCATTTGATACTCACAACTCCCCTGTGAGCTAGGTATTAGGGCTGGCAGCTGCCTCCATCCCAGGAATAAAGTTGTGGGCACTGAAGAGCATGACAGGAGAAGAAACCCCCAGGACGGGAATCTCCTGAGAGTGACTCAAGCTCATCTTGGCAGTTCTGGGCTGTGCTTCCTCAGTACGGGAGAATGCACGCCACCATCCTGCTGAGTCTAGCCTTGTCATTTCTTAACTTGTTCTACTCAGTCCTGAGCCAGTGGTGCTTACATAAATGTCCTTCTGGCATGAGGGAGAGAGAGAAAGGAAACAGCAGCTGTCAGCAGAGTGTCAGGCTGGGGACCTGCCATCTCATTGAACAAAGCTCTGGTCAGCTCCAACAGTGTCCTGGGTGCAGCTCTAATAAGGGGTGATGGGATAGTCCCCAGGCACAGGATTACTTCCTGCCCTTAAAAAGGACAGGGAGAGAGGACCCCTTAGCTGTTTCCAAGGTGTCACTTGTAAATCATTAACTAGGAGCAGAGAGGACCAGAGCGAGGTCAAAACAAATGAATCCTGATTCAAGACTGTTTCTCAGATGGTGACATCTGAGCATTAATCTTACTTGGCTATCACAAACATGCAATTTGTTTTGGTGGGAGAAGTGGGCTGTGCTAATTTGCATTTCTTTTAACTCTAAAGAGTCTTCCAACATTTTGTACTTTCCACTGGGGTTGGAAACCCGCTTCCCCCTTCCACCAGCATCCAATCCACCTTCCTGCCTTTGATAGAACTGTAGACAGCACAGCTCTCCATGGCTGGGCCTGTTGAACACAGTGCTTCTTTTTTTTTCCCCTCATTCTCCATGGACTGAACAAGAGAACCCTTGCACAACCATACTATAGACCCCACTCCAATGCCTGAAATCCTACAAAGTTCATTTTTTATTTCTGAGGGTCCACTTAAAAGGCCTTCAAGAACAAGACTGCTGAATGTGGATAATGATTGAAGCTGATTGATAAGCACATGGGGAATTATTGTACAATTCTATTTTGTATGTGTAAAAACTCCATAATAAATCTTTTTTTTTTTTTTGAGACGGAGTCTCACTCTGTCACCCAGGCTGGAGTGCAGTGGTGTGATCTCAGCTCACTGCAACCTCCGCCTCCCAGGTTCACGCCATTCTCCTGCCTCAGCCTCTCCAAGTAGCTGGGACTACAGGCGCCCACCACCACACTCTGCTAATTTTTTTGTATTTTTAGTAGAGACGGGGTTTCACTGTGGTCTTGATCTCCTGACCTCGTGATCCGCCCACCTCAGCCTCCCAAAGTGCTGGGATTACAAGCGTGAGCCACCGCACCCGGCCAATAAATCATTTTTAACAGACAAACCATCAGGATGGTTGGACTTGACTGAATGACAGGATGGAAGTCTTAATACATGCTCTGGAATCAGGCTGGCCTGAGATCAAATCCCAGCTCTGCCACTTTCCTCCAGCAACTGGAGGAAAACATAACCTTCCCAAGTCTTCCTCATTTCTGAAGTCAGAGAGAGATGAGCTGCCTCATCAGGCTTCTGTCAGCATTAAATGAATTAGTAAAGTTTTCTTAACAAGTGATAGAAAATTAGCTTTAATTTGTTTAAGAAAAAAGGGAGAATGCAGTATAAGGATTGCACAGGTATTTAATAATTCAAGGAGAGAAGTACAGCTGACTCTCCCAAGGACTGAAATCAGGGACTCCCAGGGCCTCAGGACTACACTTGGTATCACATCTCTGTGCCTCTCTGCAGGCTTGTTCCTCTCTCTGCCACAGACCAGCTTTCCTTGTTTGCCAGTCTCCATGAAGGAAAACGTGGCTTGCCAACAGCAGCTCCCAGACTTATATTTTCTCAAATCAGTAGAACAACCAGGCTGAGTTTGGATCTCCTGGTAGGGATTCCAAGTTTTCTGAGCCAGGTCTTTGGTTTCGCTTGAGTGAGAGGTCTATTCCTGTACCCAACAATGCGGCCCAAGAGCTGGAGCCACTCTGTGTTAACACAGAGCTCTTATGGTGGCTGTGTGGATGGAGTTGGCAAGGAGAAGTTCTCAGAAGAAGGGATGGAAGTCTCCAAGAAATGGTTGGGATGGAATGGTGATGGTACTGGATAGACAAAATGATAAGAGTCAAAATACAAAATGCTTAGAACAGACTAGCAGTTGATAGATAAGTATTGGCTCCTGACCCATCTGCATGTCTTAATGCCATGAAGTATTGGTGCTGACCCATCTTTGGGTCTTGAGGGCATTGTATCAGGTTAGCCCATTCATCAAAAAGGGGAGGAGAACTGGAATTACAACAATTAAGTTGTTCCTTCCTTCCAGTGTACCTACTGTGTGCCAGGCAAACGGGATATAGCAGTGAACAAAGGAGACAAAAATCCCTGCCCTCTTGGAACTTGGAGTGACACAATAACAAAAATTAAAACATACAAAGTGAGGGACCTTGGAGGAAAAAAAAAAGCATTACATGGGATAGGAAGTGCAGGGGGTCATATTAAACAGGGCGACCAATAGGAAAGTGATTTGAACAACAGCCTGAAGAAAGTGAAGGAGTGAGTCACGTGGCTCTTTTGGGGAGGAGCATTCCAGGCAGAGGGAATAGTTGGTGCCAAGGCCCTGAGTTAGAAGGAGAGCCAGAAACCTAGTGCAGCTGGAATAGGCTGAGAAAAAGAATTCATAATAACAGACGTGTAAAACCAGTGACATTCACCCTAGTCTCCAAAAGCTTTCTGAGGAAGAAGAGAGGTGTGGTAAAATACTAATGCTGGTGGTCAGAGCATCAGTCTCATCTATTTTTTAATGATCTCTAAATAAGCCATCCCTAATGGAGACAGCTGTAGTAAGTCAGCTTCTCACACTGCGAATAATCAGAAACTATAGATTGGATTGAGAATCAAAGATGCAGCTGCATGGATATGCCGATACAATCCTCACCTCCAAGTTGCTATTCTTCATCAAGCAACTGAGAGGGTCGTGCAGTGCTAGTGGAAGAGCCACGAATGGGATTCATGAAGAGTGGGTGTCCTTTTGCATACAGACAGGCCATGGCAAGAAACAAAGGAAAGGCCAGAATTTCTTGTAAGAAAGAAATCTAATAACTATTTTTTAAAATGCCAATCTAACAATTTTTCAGTGCCTTTAATTCTGCATATTAATCAAGAGATGGTTGATGTAGTACCAAAGGAGAAAGCCCTTGTTCCCTGATTATGTGCCAAACCCCTTTTTGTAATGACCACTGCCAAATATATTGAACATGGATATTAGCTAATAAAGGGCCAGAAGGAAATAGAAAGGGAGAGACAGAGCCTATGTAAGAGAGAAGCTCTTCTCAGTTCCCAGGAAATCAGTACTAACCTAAAGCCCATACTGACCCGCTCCTCTCTTAAAGCTCTGATTTATATCGCACAAGAGTAGGATCTCGTGCAAAATACAGTTGGCTTCTAACCTTGGACAGCTACATTCAAGGAAGAACGTGTGGCTATTGGACAAGGGAGTTCCGAAGTTGATCACCTGTAATACATCTGGGTGGAATGAAACAGGGAAATGTAATTTAGACAGAGGAAATGAATTACAAAGGAGAAACAGCAAATCCAATCCTCCTGTAGCAGGTGGTCCAGGAAAAGTAGAGGGGGCAGAATAAGCCTCTTAACGGACCTAGATTAGTACAATATTCTCCCCCCATAATAACTGGTTCTGGTGATGAGAGCAAGGAAGTTTTTTCCGTAGTTCAGAATAGGTGGTGTCTCAAAGAAGAATCACTTATAACAGGTAATTTGCATCATCTCTAAATTCATGTGACAAAATGTACAAACATATACAAAAATATTGGTTATATTGAGGAATGAAATGAAGCAGAACAGAGGAAGTAATACATTTTTTCCATGTCTTTCTATATGTGCACTTTGGTACATTGACCCAATATGTAAATTTGGTTTTCTAATTATGATACAGATTATGATAACATTTTTTTTTCTCCTGGGCATTCTTGATGCCGAAAGCAGAGGATTTAAAGGTAAAATAAGCCAGGTCATACTATATCAGAGAGTAGACCATTGTTAATATGTGGGTCTATCTATCTATCTATCTATCATCTATCTATCTATCTATCTATCTATCTATCTATCTATCTATCCAACTATCAATTATCTATCGTCTATCTATCATCTATCTATCTATCTATCATCTATCTATCTATCTATCCACCCACTTATCTAGTAAGCAACACAAACATATGGCACAAAATTCAAAGATTATACATTCTTTCTCCCCCTCCATTCCCACTCACTTTCCCTGGAGGGAATACACACAATATGTGCATATATGCATCTATGTATTTTACGCGCCCCTTTGTTTAATGGTACCACATACACTGTTTTCACATTGCCTTTTTCGCTTAACAAAAAACACTGTGAAGTTTCCGTAATCAGGGTTGTGCCTTATTTTTTCCCAAAGGCTGTATAGTACTCCACTGCATGTTTGTTCCATAATTTATTTAACCACTCTCCTAATGATGGATATTTTGGTTGTTTCCAAGCTTTTATCACTGCAAACAATACTTCTGGATGTTAGGCATTATGTAAAGACAGCCAATTTAGAAACTGCTCAATTTGTTGATAGATAATGCTTTACAATTGAACTGAAAATGTGGAATGACAGTCTTGTAACTCAGCCTGATGTGATGGGGAGTAACAAAGTGCTATCTTTTTCTACCATCAATTGCCATGAAGTAAATGAACAGTGTCAGCAGGGAAAAAGTGAAATACCCATGATTTTTAAGAGTCAGTTTTCAATATTTTATTCACCCAAATAGGGTAAGAATAGGATGAATAAGAACTATTTTCATTTAGATTTAAGGAACATTTTCAATGCCTTTAAGCTTAAATCTAGACATTAATTGAAAGACATAGAAAGGTGATACACTGTGCTATGTTATGCCATTTCAACTTGGTTACGCTGGTACCAACATGGTTCAGAGTTAGATTCGGTCAAAGGAGAAATTGGTGTGAGATTTGGAAGACAGAAGGAAAGCAGCAGCTCTTACTCATAGAAGGCTGTGCGGTCATTATGGTAATGGGTAGAATCAGAGATGTCTGGCAGGTTCCAGCTGGTCTTTGCATTCTTCTGCTCTGCTTCTGGGTCATTTTCTCTGCCTGTGGCCTTGCTGACCAACAATGGCGCCAGGCCCTCCACAGCTTTTGGCCGTGGCCCACATAGTGGCAGGGAGGCAGCACGGCCTCCCTTAGACCTCTCCATCAGCTCCTCCTTTATGGCCTTACTCTGCCAGCTAGACGTGCCTGGCTTCTCAGATTTCCCTACAAGTCCTGACATGTCCATCCATGCACGGTTGGTGACACTTGCTCTGCTCCTCTGACTCTTGCTTCCAGACTTTACTCAGGTCCTCCCAAATTTGTGTATCATCTCATTCCTATATTCAATTCGTTACTCCTGTAATAATCATTTTGGCTCTGCTTTCCTGCCTGAACCCTGGTTGCTACTTACAGGAAATGCAATGCACTATGGGTTACCCTCGTCCTGAAGCACCTTAGCCATTTCCAGGATCTGGGTTGTGAAAGACAGATGGGAAACTTAAGAGGTTAGCAACAAATTGATTGTGGCTTCCTGTCTACTTCTAATTAGTCAGAACAAAAGGAGGAGAGTAAATTCCCATCTAGGAGATGTGGATTAGACATCCATGGGGCCGGGAGCAGTGCTCACGCCTGGATTCCCAGGACTTTGGGAGGTCGAGGTGGGCAGATTGCTTGAACCCAGGAGTTCAAGACCAGCCTGGGCAACATGGTGAAACCCCATCTCTACAAAAAATACAAAAATTAGCTAAGGGTGGTGACGCATGCTGGTAATTCTAGCTTCTCAGGAGGCTGAGGTGGGAGGATCAATTGAACCCAAGAGGCTGAGGCTGCAGTGAGCCATGATCACACCACAGCACTCGAGCCCGGACAACATAGCAAGAACCCTGTCTCAAAATAAAAAATAGATACCCCCGGGATCACTTTGGAAGTCTTCGGAAAAAGTGTAAGTTCTCAGCTTGAGATGGCTTGATTGTGGTCCTGCTTCAAGTTAAAGAGATGAAAAAATGGCGCTGAGAGTCCTTTCTAGTACTAATATCATAGTACAGCCACACACCACTCAAGAAATGCCACATTAAGTCAGTTCACTGACTCCAGCCCATCATTCTTTTTCTGCCGGTGGCCCCATGAGATGTTCGTGGGAGGATATAGTTGTACTCCAGTGTATCACCCAAAGGTGAAGTGTGCCCTCCAGTAGCCTTCCTCAAACCCTATTACCATCCCTTCCTCTGCCTCCAGTTTATGCCGTTGGTTATTATTTCATTGCAGTTGTTTGGAGGACAGACTTATTTCCTTACAGGACATTAGTTGTCAAAATCAAAGTCCTGATGTTAGAGGTTTTTATCATTACTTTGCTGGGCTAAATACTTGGGGTTAAACTTGGCTGTTGGCCTCTCCAAGTGTTATTTTTCTTTCATGTGAGATCTACTGAACTACCAATTCTGTGTTTGAAAATTACCATAAATATATATAACACAAAATTTGCCATCTAAGCCATTTTTAAGTGTACAATTCAGTGGCATTAACTACATTCACAATACTGTGCAGCCATCACCATTATCTATTTGCAAAACTTTGTAATCACTCTAAACAGAAACTCTACTCATGGAGTAGTAACTCCTCATTTGCCATTTACTCTAGGTCCCTGGTAACCTCCAATCTGCTTTCTGCCTATGAATTTGCCCATTCTAGATATTTCATTTAAGTGAAATCACATAATATGTGTCCATTTCACTTAGTAAAATGTTGTGGGGTTACACTGTGTTTAAGATCCCAAACTCCTCTATTCAGGTTGAAGATCACGTTCCTCCTCTCTCCCTGTCCTTCATCATCTCTTTATGACTTCCTCTATCTTGTTTTTTTAACTGTCACTCTAGGAAGAAGACATGGATCTAAAACAATAAGGCCTTGTTCAAATGTGACGTTTTAAAAACACTAAATGATGAAGAAGCAAATTCAACAATACAAAGATTTTTTTTAAAGGGTCAGCATTCTTAAAAACAACTACCAGTCAGTTGTGGCAGCTCACACTTGCAATCCCAGCACTTTAGGAAGCTGAGGGGAGAGGATCGCTTGAGCCCAGGAGTTCAAGACCAGCCTGGGCAACAGAGTGAGACCACATCTCTATAAAAAAAAACACACACACAAAAACCCCACAAAAATTAGCCAGGCATGGTAATGTGCACCTGTAGTCCCAGCAACTCTAGAGACTGACGTGGGAGGATCTCTTGAGCCCCAGTAGGTTGAGAGGTTGAGGCTGCAGTGAGCCATGATTGTGTCACTGCACTCCAGCCTGTGTGACAGAGTGAGACCCTGTGTCAAAAACAAGATGAAAACAAAACAAAAACACACAAAATAAAAAACTCCCAAAGAACCAAACTACCATTCAGATGAATTATCAATGAAATATTTCCGTCTTTGTTTTAAGATGGGTGAGATCATAGAGCTACTACTATAAACGTTATTTAGAGGCTGCCAAGCTCTTATTATCTAATAATGGTCTACAAATGTTTAAATATGTCACAGTCCTTCAATATATGAGAGATATAACATGTCCATGCGTCTTTAATGCATGATTAATCTTTTTTGACATTTCTCTTCAGTGTTGAGGAAGATGGCTGAATTTGCTTGTGGCTGCATTGACAATAACTGATCTCTTCCTCTTTCATTCCTGAAGGGAAATGTCATAACGAGAACTCACCATTAAACACAACATGTACATTACATTTTTTTTTATTTTTGAAAAACAAAAGGGGCTGACCTCAGAGTCAGAATGAATTTATACTGAGCAAAGAAAAAATGAGACCTAAAAATAGAATGTTGCTTATGTGTTTCAGCATTTGCTAGTCTTTCCTGTGGCAAGAAAACTACTCCAGAGTGTATAGCAACAGAGAAGTAGCTTGCAAAATTATCTACTTGTAAAAATATCAGCACTGTATTATTTATAATTTGGTTCATTTAATCACTAATTCATCCATCCAGTCAATAAATGTTACTGAGCATCTACTTTGTGCAAGGTACCTTTGTCTGCTGTGTCCAATATGGTAGTCACTGGCCACATGGAACTTGTCATGTAAATTAAATACATTATATAAAATAGAAAAATCAGTTTCTGACTTGCACTAGCTATGTTTCAACTACTCAATAGTCACATGTAGCTGGTGGCTACCATATTGGACAGCAAAGATGGTAGACCATTTCCATCATTGCAGTAAGTTATATTGGGCAGCACTGGTAGAGAGTTGTATAAAAGTATAAGAAAAAGTTCTAAAGTTCTTTCCTTAAAAAAGCTTGCAGTGAGAGCAAAACTGCATTTTATCTGCGATTCACATGGTCCTATTTCAGAGTTGTATGATGAACAATCGGCACAGTCCAGTAAGTCTGTGAGCAGACTACATATTTGTAAAGAAAAGAAATGTAATTCTGATTTCATTCTGTAATACGATATAGTAATAAAATAGTAGTAGCTGCCCTTTGAGGGGCTTGTACTATGTGCCAGGTGCCTCTAAATTCTTTACACATATGGCAGAACAAAAATAACACATGTGTGGTCTTTTTCCTCTGTTTGTTGGTCTTTCCCTCTTTCTCAACCTCTGAGTGTGTGTGGGAGAGTATTAGCCTTTGCCAGATCTGACTGTATTGTTCTGCAAATTTGCAGGAATGGCCAGACATAGAGACCTTGAGAGGGGAAAAGAAAGGGGTAGGGATAAGAACGCAAGATTCTTGCCTTCTGGGGCTGGGAGAGAAGTTACTTGGAAGGCAAGAAAAGAAAGTTCTGAGCAGTTGTGGGGCATAAGGGAAGTGTATGGAAAAAGAAAGAGGATTATAAAAGGTTTGTTGTGAACTATATATTCCTTCCAGGTATAAAGAAAGGTAAGTTAAAAACTTGAGTTATTTTGAAGTTAATATTTTCTTACTGGACTGTGTTCATTGTTCATCACACAACTCTGAAATAGGACCATGTGAGTCACAGATGAAATACAGTTATTCTCTCATTATTCTCATTCATTTAACCTTTACTATTTCTCTGCAAGCCAGGCATTCTTTCTTTTTCTTTTTTTTTTTTTGAGACAGTGTCTCTCTCTGTTCCCCAGGCTGGAGTGCAGTGGCACGATCTTGGCTCACTGCAACCTGCGCCTCCTAGGTTCAAGTGATTCTCCTGCCTCAGCCTCCTGTGTAGCTGGGACTAGAGGTGTGCACCACCATACCCGGCTAATTTTTGTATTTTTAGTAGAGAGGGTTTCACTATGTTGGCCAGGCTGGTCTCCAACTCCTGACCTCATGATCTGCCTACCTTGGCCTCCCAAAGTGCTGGGATTACAGGTGTGAGCCACCACACCCAGACGCATTCTTTTTTTTTTTTTAACCCTTGGGCCAACATCTCCCCATTTTCCCCACTCATTGGCCCTTGGCAACCACCATTCTACGCTCTGCTTCTATGAGTTTGACTTGTGCATTGTCATTCTTATTCTACTAATGCACTTGAAAGTCAGAGAAGGTAAATACCCTCCCAGGGCTATATAACTAATAAATAGCAAAGTCAGATTTGAACCTAGGTATATATGACACCAATGTTCCAGTTTTTAATTGTTCTGACTTCCAGCCTCAATACAAGAAATATCAGATAGTATGTAATAAAGTGGCAAGAAAGCCTTATAACAGTAGTAAGAGCCATGAAGCCCAAAGAAACAGAGATTATCATGAGCTGGAGTGACTAGTAGCACATGTGTTACGAAGAAGGTGAAATATAAGCTGGCCTTAGAGGACTGGTAGGATTTAGATGGAGAATGGGGAGGGGAATATGAAAGAATAAACAGGGCAGGAACAACATCCAGGGATTCTCACTACAGCAGAGGGCTCATGGTTTTATAATGATATTCTAGAAGCTGGACCAAATTAAGGGGCTGGTGGAATATATACATACACACGTTATTTGATAACATTGCTGTTGGAAGATATTTAAAGATAGTGTTTAAGGTAATAATAATAATTATTATTATGTTGAGATGGAGTCTCGCTCTGTCCTCAGGCTGGAGTGCAATGGCTTGATCTCGGCTCACTGCACTCTCCACCTCCCAGGTTCCAGTGATTCTTCTGCCTCAGCCTCCCAAGTAGCTGGGATTACAGGCGTCTGCCACCACACCTGGCTAATTTTTGTATTTTTAGTAGAGACAGGGTTTCACCATGTTAGCCAGGCTGGTCTTGAACTCCTGACCTCAGATGATCTACCTGCCTCACCCTCCCAAAGTGCTAGGATTACAGGCGTGAGCCACCATGCCCAGCCCGAGATAATGCTTAAATTTCAGTCTAGTTGCAAATTGCTCTGTCTTCCCTGACAGCCTCTCTTAATGAATAGTAAGTAGTAGAGCTGGCTCTAAATCATCTTTCCATGAGATCCTATGATGTGATAGTTAATTTGATGTGTCATCTTCACTGGGTCACAAGGTGTCCAGGTATTTGGTCAAACGTTATTCTGGGTGTGTCTGCGAGGGTGTTTTTGGATGAGATTAACATTTGAATCAGTGGATTGAGTAAAGCAGATTGCCCTCCCCAATATGAGCGGACCTTATCCAATCCATTGGAGGCCTGAATGGAACAAAAAGATGAGAAAGGGAGATTCAAGCTCTCTCTGCCTTTCTTTGCACTGAGACATTGGTTTTCTCCTGCCTTTAGACTCAGATTCGGACTGGAACTTACACCATTGGCTCTCCTGGTTCTCAGGCCTTCAGGCTGGGACTGGAAAAACCAATATTTGTCCTGGGTCACCAGCTTGCCCTCTGCAGATCTTGGGACTTCTCAGCCTCTGTAATGGGATAAGCCAATTCCTTATAATAAATCATGTAACATCTATATCTGGTTTGTGACCAGACTTGGGCTGAGAATGTTCTATTCATGAGTCCACCTGGTATCACTCTGAAAACCATCTGCAAGTAGAATACAGCAATCCCCAAATTGAAAAATATCCAAGCTTCAGTTTTTCACCTAAGTAGGGCAATTTGTTCCACTGAATCAAACTTCTGGATTAGCCCTGTCCCAGCCAGAGAATGATTCAGCTATGAACTTCTTTAATTCAGGCTTTTAAAATGCAGAATACCCTTTGCCACATGGAACAGTTAGACGAGGGGTTCTCCACCTGGAGAGATCCAAACAAACAAACAAACTTGAAGCCAGGACTCCACTTCCAGATATTTTCTTTTGATAGAAACATAGCATGAATATGGTTTTAACACTCTAGTGATTCTAAAACACAGCCAGGATTGAGAAACATTCCTCTGGCCATTCCATGACAATGACCCACATAGGATCAAGACATTCCTGAATTAGCCTACAAATTCTGAGGCTTAGATTCCTGCAATTCTCTTAGACATAGTTTTGTCAAAATAAGGCAGAGCCCCCATTCTCCCATCTCTTAATCTCTCTTTTTTTGTAGCGAGTCAGGAGTGTTTTTTAAGGAACTTTCTTTCCTCCTTTTCGTCCATGTTCCTCTGGTCACTGTCATCTTCTTTTTCTTATGTTCGTCCTTTTCTATTCAAAGTATGATCCTCAGACAACCCCAGTGGCATTACCTGGATGCCTGATTGAAATGCAGAATCCCAGGCCCCACCAAATAAGACTCTGCATTGCAATAAAATCCCAAGGGGACTTTTTTTGTACTTTAAAATTTGTGATTCACTGATCTATACCACATCTAAATGGACCCCACTAGGATAATGCCCTGACCCCGGGACAGTTAGTGTGCAGAGGGGTAGGTGTATCTGTTCCTTCTTTCATCTCCTAAGAAATGAGGTCATTAGTTACCTACCATAAAGGCTACTCTTCCATGTTAGTTAAGTAAAAATTACATATAGTGTGTATTCAGAGTCAAATATATACATATATAAAAATGGGGAGAGAGCGAGAGAGAAGGAGAGACCAGCCAGTTGTCTCTGCAGTTGGTCAGACAACTGGTTGATGGGGACAGATGGGTGTGGGGAGGGGAAGGAGGTGCATCAGAATGCCAAAGCTCAGCACTAAATTATGTACTCAATGCACAACAGCTGAATATATGAGCTATTCACATGCCATCCACATTTCTTGAGTCTCTTGTTTCTGCTTGATTTGGCTTGGGTGTCTCCTAGCACGTGTTGGTTGGGATCTTTTTCTTTTATGGCTTAGTGGCTCAAAGGCAGGTTACTGGCAGCTGGGTCTGAGCAATGCCTTAGATATTTGACTGTTTCAGTAGGACATGTCAGGGGACTCATTGATCCAAAATAAATCTCTTGAGCTCATGCTGCACTTCATCGCATCATTATTAGTTGAGAAAGGAATCTCTTGGCATTGAGAGTAGAAGCCTAGGGAAGCTTAACTCAAGATAAGGTTATTGTCTGTCCTCTCATATTCTCTCACCTTGGTCACCACCATTTAGTGAGGTCTGTGTCCCATGTTCCAATAGGAGCAGCATAACAGTACTTAGCATTGCAATTGAGAATATTCATTTTGGAGTCAGATGAATTTTGCTTGACTCCTACTCCTGCCACATTGAAGCTTTAACTTTAGATATGCTTATTCTTGAATATTAGCATCAGTGTTCTTTTCTGCAGAATAAGAACAGAGAACCTGTCCCATGTAAATATTGTGAAGATTACATATACAGTACATAGCATTGCATCTGGTACATAGAAGTGCTCCATAAATAGTATTAATATGATCATTGTTATTCTCGTAGTCTGCATTAAACACATTAGCAACTACTGTTGATCCAGAGTGAGTCTGGGATTCCCTTAGGGATTGCAATTTAATCTCATGCATAGTGTTCTCTGTAAGTTTCTTGGGGGTATTATAAGCATGAAGAACATAGGCACCCTCCTCTTAAAAATAGTAATTATGTTCACTTATATACAGACATCTAGACATCTGAGGAAACACTCTTTCTGAAAAAAAAAGTTACAAGCTAGAGCAGTATTGGGAGATTCTTAGGTATCCAAGAATGTACAATCAAATTCAAGTCCTAATGCAAAAGGATTTAGCATTGTGTGTATATTTATTTACAGAAAGCTGATAGCAAAGTTTATTCATTGTGATCATTTTTGAGCCATGCTCTAGTTCCAAACAAGTGCTAGACTGCATTTACTGTCCCCCAGTTTCTCTGTGACAGTTCCAAGTCAGCCCTTACTGGAATGCCAGAGCTTGAAGGCAAAGAGTTTGAATCCCCTGATGCCAGGTTATTCTTGGCAATAACCCACTTTGGCCCAGATAGACTCATGAGGCTCTGTCCTCTTTATTTGGGACTGGAACCAGGAGAGAGTTATTCTGTGTAGAGTAATGTAGGCATGGAGATCTCACCTGGGGACACTCAGGGGCGCCCCTGCAGATAATGAAGGGGCAGGATGGGATCACTGTGATATTTAAACTATTTTCTTTAAATAACAGAATCTTTTTTTAAAAAAAATCAAGCAATGAATTACCCCCAATATATAAAACAAATACCAGTCCTTTGTTCTGATTGATAAGTATGCATGTGTGCATAAGGGACTTTTGGAGGCTCTGCTTTCCAAATATTCACTGCTATGAGTACTCATCACACATACATACACATATTCGGTGGCCTCTGTTGCTTGCCACCAAGGAATCTCAAGGCTCCTTTAAACATTGTTTAAAAATCACTGCAATAAATGATTTTTAAGGCATAGTCAGCTCCTGTTTTCCATGATACCAATGACCAACTATAGCTTCAGGTAGATAAGAAGGGGTTCTGTGTCTTGGAATGAGAATGGGATAGAGTCTATAAGAGAAGCCGAGGCTCAGAGAGAGAGAGAGAGAGAAAGCCTGTGGTTGAAGCAGAGAAAAAGCCAAGGGCCAAGGGAAGGGCTGAGTGTTAGTGGAGGTGGAGGCCAATCGCTAGGAGCAGACAAGGCGGCGGGGGACTGTTAATGAGTTCTCAGTCCTGAAACACAAGCCATTAGCCCACCCAAGGCAGTGTTTGACTGTCATCCATTTGTGGTCTGGATTGATCATTAACCTTCAAAGGACCAAATATACTTCCACATCCAGCTTGGCAAGACATTCATCTTGTATGGTTGGTATCCAGCATAGGCCCAGTCAGGAGTCCTGGGAGGTTAGCAGAGGGCAGAGGCCAGCAGGATGAGCCCAAGTCTCCTTTCAAAAGAAGTCCAAGTAGAATCCAAAAGCTCTTGGTCTTTCGAACTGTCATTTGCATTGATGAAGCATGTGAGTGAGAGCATTTTAGAAGCTGTAGTACTTACTCCCTACTCTGGGATCTGTAAGATATAAGTCTGACATTTGGCCAAAGATCTTCTAGGACATATCATTGAGTCTTAGAGAAATGGATGGTCTACATAGAAGCAGAGAAAAACAATAAGTAGAAATTGGGGCTGGGTACGGTGGCTCACGTCTGTAATCCCAGCACTTTGGGAGACTGAGGTGGGAGATCACCTGAGGTCAGGTGTTCGAGACCAGCCTGGGCAACTTGGCAAAACACTGTCTCTACTAAAAATACAAAAATTAGCCGGGCATGGTGGCAGGTGACTGTAATCCCAGCTTCTCGGGTAGCTGAGGCTGGAGAATTGCTTGAACCCAGGAGGTGGAGGTTGCAGTGAGCCGAGATTGCACCACTGCACCCCAGCCTGGGAGACAAGAGAAAAACTCTGTCTCAAAAAAAAAAGAAAAGAAAAGAAAAAAAAAGAAATTGGGTTAGGCAGACATGTTAGAAGGATTACAAAATTAAAAAATTTGGGGGAAATAATCCCAACCACTTTTAAAACGAAGCCAAGAATACCCACAAAAATAGAGACAATCGTTTACCCTTCTAAATGTCATCCTAACATCCCTCTCAGATATTTAAAGCTTTGGTATAAACATATCAAAACACTGTATACTGCAAATAGATACAATTTGTATTTGTTAATTGTACCCTAATAAAGCTAGGGGGAAAACATACCCTAAAAATTAATCAAGCAAGCAGACTTTAGATTTGTTAAATTTTCTGGCAGAATCTCTAATATAACCTGCAAAATGCTCTTCTCCGTGACCCAAAATATGCTTCTGTCCCTGGAAGGGACTGATACCTCCAAAGGAGTGTTGTAATGTCACTGAGTCTGATTTTTAAAGAGCAATTGCAAAATTGGGCTTTCTAACCCACAGTATCTAACTACTGTTTTTCCTTCTTTTTCCTCTCCTCCCTGGCACAGCTAGAGGGTGCAATCTGGGAATGAATCACTGGGCTGCTCTGTCCCAGTCCAGTGTAAGCAGGAGATCAAACGGTCAAAAGATTATGGGAGTGGGGCTGGCCGGCCAGGCCATAATCTCCATAAGGTCACAGAAGTGCTGCTTTCACATCAAAAAATTAGACTTCCGGCCCCTAAAATTCCCTGAGACTGAGTGGATTTCCTTTTCCTAATTGAGAGGCCGGGGTGGTAATTTATTCCAGCCCCCAGTTCCACCGTGGAGTGGACTGGGGAGTGGATTTAGCAGAAAGATTCTGGGGCAAGTGGAGTGGCGGGGAGGCTGGAGGGTGGAGTGAGAGGTAAGAAGCGGATTGGATTTGTAAGGAAAGTGGGGTAATTGAAGTGACTTTCTGGATTCTAAACATAGCCTAAGCAAGAAAATTGGGTTTCTCAGAATGGCCCACCCAAGACATTCCATCGGCTCCGGCCAGTCTAGTTTTGAAACGCCTAAGGCGTCAACAGGGAGCGGCTGTCTGGGTTCAGCTCCTCTCTTCTCATTAGGGAGCAGGGTGGGGTGGAGCGCAGGGTGCTGGCGGCCTGCGTGAGCGCCAGCCCTGCACGCTGCCTCCGCCGGCGCCCAGCATCTGCTCGCGCCGCCTGCCCAGAATAGAACGTCTCATTGTGATGGATTAATCCTTTGGCTCCGGTCCTGCCCGGGTCACCAGCTCAGCCTGCGCCCGCCGAGTGCTGGGGCGGGGGGGGGGGGTGGACAAAGGGCACTTTAACTCATTCAGCACATTCCCTCTTCTCTCCTGCAGAAGGGCCCTCTCCAGTTGCGCGGCCCTTGTATAGAAGCAGAGATGGTCTTGCAAGGTGGCGGCGCCTCCAACAAGGGGACTGTTTGCTTCCTTTTAATTGGTTCATGGACTCCTGGGGGCGGAGAACCAAATTAAGGGAGATCTTTTCCTTTTTCTGATCCCTCTGAATATTTAATTTCTACTTCTTGTTTAACCTCTCTGTATTTATTTTAATTTCCTCATCTGTAAAAGGGGGGTAATGATTTTACTTACCTCATAGGACCATTACTATGATTAAATGAGTTAATACATACAAAGTGCTTTCGACTTCACAAAAGGACAAATATTGTACCAGTCCACTTATATAAGTTTCTGGTGTCGTCAAATTCATAGAGAAATAGAAAGGTGTTTGCAAGGGACCCGGGGGAAGAAGGAAATAGGGATTACTGTTAAATGGGCGCAGTTTCAGTTTGGGAAGATAAAAAGTTGTGGAAATGGATAATGGTGATGGTTGCACCACAAGGTGAATGTACTTAATGTCACTGAACTGCACACTTAAAAATGGTTAAGGTGCTAAAAGGTTATGTGTATTTTTTCACAATAAAACAAATACACACACATACACACACAATGTGCCAGGTATATAATAGGCGCTATATAAAGGTTGGCTATTGTTTATTATTATTATTCACTTTAGATACTTATTATTTCCCACTTCATTTGATAAGTTTTTACGTCTATATCTTTTCTCCCAAAAAAGCCTCTTGTTCATGCATTAGAGTTTCTGTACCTCACTTAACATAGCAATCTTGATCTTGGGCAGCTCCAATCCATCCACAAGAAATGAATAAATGAATGAATGAATGAGTGAGTGAATGTGTTGGACCAGGAAATAGAATATCCCAAAGTAACTTATGTAGCCCTTAACCTTCTGACTGATCGAGGAGACAGTGCCCTCCATCAGTGGATAGTCCTGAAAATAGCCCAGACAAGACACTTGGAAAAGCTCCCACAGAGTGATGCTGATTGCTGGCTCTATGATTTTCTTCTTGGTGGGTTGGCTCTGAAGCTTAGGAACGATCAAGGTCAACCTAGGAGAGCTGCTCAGGGACCCACCTTTGGGTCATTTTGTGTTTGGAGGACTGTTTGGAGACTGAGTCCAAACAGCAGGTACCCCCAAGAGTTTGAGCTCACCTCAGAGTAGCCTTGAGGTTCCATTCAATATTCACTGATACGAGGCTCCTAAGGCTGGCCCTTAAGTGACAGAGCTTTGGAGGAAGAAGCAGGGAGTTGTGCATCCTACCACTCATGACAACATACATCCTTTCAGCAGGGAGCCCTTTCTCCTTTCCTCACTCTCCTGTCTCACCCCATCTGGTGTGAGCAAGCAGGAGAGAGCCAGTCTGTAGCCTTCAGTAAATGTTACAAACCTAACTGTGCTAAGTTAAGAGACATTATCAAAATGACCCAGGAATCACCTGAAAGGACTGGACAGCTCTGGAAATGAGTGAATGCATCTTGTAAGCAAGGAGAAAACTAGAGGGATCCGTCTGGGACTGAGTGCACCAAAACTCTTGTGTCTCTCACGGTAAGCATTGGGCTATTTTTGTGTGGAATATTTTCACAGGCTCATTGGTGCTGTGAGGCTTCACCAGAAAGCAACAGTTCACCTTGTAGGAGACTGAAGTTAATTTTCGGGGACCTTAAACAACCTTTGGCCCTGGCTCAGGAGGCTGGGGAAAGAGAAGGAATTGAGTGTCACTGGGCAGCAGGAATGAAAAGCCACAAGGCAGATGATTAAAATGGTGGCTGAAAAGGGCAATGAGAAAAGATGAGCCAAAGGCTTGAAGATTATGAGAGAGCACCTAGTGCTGCTGGAGAAGGGCAGGGGGACAGAATGTGTGTTTAGGCTCCGGTCCCAGTGCCGCCATTGACCTGAATAGTCTGTGCCCCAGACTGACCTCCCACTATACACACTTTGGTCTTATAAAGTGGGTTTGGTTTAAATGCCCAGCCAGCTAGAGATTACAGATGAGTCACTGTGTCCAAAGGGTTATACCTTCTGTGCCACCTTGGGAAGGCACTTTCTGCTGAGTAGGCCCAAATGCAGCAGGTGACAAGTCACCTTGTCAGCCAAAGGCTCCCCTTTGAAGACACCCCATGGGGCCTCTGCAGGGACAAGGGCAGAGCAGTATGTAAGAGCTTGGAACGTGACCCTTATCTGAGCTGCTGTGACTTTAGCTCCTGTGGATAGGATTAGATGCAAAGATGCTGCCCTCACAGGGGTCCTGAAGCCATTTGGGCTCTGAAGATTATCTTTATATGCACAAATAACACACACACACACACACACACTCACATATCCCCCAAACAGCACCTGGGACCAGCTGACAAAGCCAGGTCTGGGATCTGATGGGGCTTTGTTCCAGAGGAGGATGGAATTGCCTGCCAGAAATAGCAAGCTGCTGCTTTCAGCAATGGGGCTGAGGTACAAAATCCATGTGCACTTTGTGTGCAGACAGAAACCTGAAAGAAAAACTAATTCAAATAAAGGTATTTGACAATTAAGCTAAAGCAAGGAGAGGCAGACAGGCTCAGTGCCCAGATAATCAAGAAGCAGTCATTTCTAAATCCAGCTCTGCTGTTGGTGACCTTGAACAAATCATCTCACCTCTCTGTTTCTCCATTTCTCTAAGGTTAAATCAAGAACTATAATTCTGACCAGCTAACCAGCCACACAGAGTTTAATTGGGGGAAAAGAGAGAGAGAGAGAGAAAGAGAAAGTTAATAAAACTGTTTGCCTATATACAAAGTACAAAATGTTAAGTAAGGAATGCAATAAAGCCTCCTCAGTGACATTTGGATATGTACATTGTAACTTCCTGTCTCCAACCCATACCTTCAGGCTAAGAGCTCTCACTAATTCAAGCTGAGATACACCCACCCTCAACACTGAACACCCCACAATGCTGCTTGTCACAGTGAAAATGGTGTAATGAAATAGAGCACACAACCTCACATACCCCAGCTCCAGCTAATCAGGCAAGCCTTTAGGATGGACACCCTGTGGGGTAAGAGTCCAGGATTATCATTCATAAACATCTGTGATTCAGGCTTCTTATTTTGCTCAGATTTCTTAGAGATTTTTCTCTCCTCATAGTCCCGCAACTACAGTATCTGCATAAAAATAAAAATTTCACCATTTTATTAATTGACACTTAATTTACCTAAGGACTAACCATTTTGGAATTTGGATCTGAAAATATTCAATTATTCTGCGCTTGACAGAGGCAGAAATAATGGTTTCTCCTGAGCCCCATATTCTACTCAAGGGGATTGTACATTACAAACCAGCTTTAATTCATTCCAAAACATATCTATGAATATCTTCCTAATGGCTTACGTATTTGGATCTTTGTGGGGATGGGGTGTGAGAGAGAGGATGAAAGATTTGCATAAGATCTATAAATTCTATCAAGGAGTTGGGTCAGGGTTGTCACTTATATAAAATTTTCATCTATGTCTGCTAGCCAATTTGTTTATAGAATGAAACCTAGCCTTTTTGTTCAGTGCTCTACAGAGAGATTAATCTAGTATGTTTTTGGTTTACTTTGGGTCCATGCTCTAAAACATCACAGCCAGATGCTTTGTAAAGAAATGGGTTGATTTCTCTGTAGCCATTGTAGTTATTCCCATTGTTGTAAATATTCTGCACGTATGTGTTTTTTCTTCAGGATTTTAATATAAATGTCTAACAAGGTGGCCACCAGAAATAATAAGCTCTTGACATTTAGCTCCCCGTCTTGATTCCCTGACACCAACTTTCCTTGTCAGGAGAGCCCACAGAGCCTAAAAGCAAGGACATTTGAGCCTTTACAGATTAGCAGAGCTGAGGGATTTGTATGTGTATCTTTAAAATAGCTGAGGTGTCAAACAGGGCTCAATTTTCATGCAGGACATTTATGGTGAAGAGTCTGGTAAGTTACTCACATTGCTTAGAGTATTTATTTATAGTAAATTAACTATTGCAAAACTTGGACTCAATTTATTTCAGAGGCTATAGGGAAGTCAACCTCACCTCAGAGGGAGCAGTTGCACAAGCATGCAAGTGTTTATGCATGTGTGTGCACACACGGGACATAGACATCATCCAAACACCTTCTTCAAGTTTATGCTGCCTTATAATAATAACTTAGAGAAATTCAGAAGGGTTGTCAGAATCAAACATCCAAAGACTTCATGTAGAAATAAGGCTGTGTGCCTTATTCTAAAAAAAGGGATTTTTTTAAGCCACTTTTGCCCATTCGTGCCTAGCTTAGGATGGGGCTTCCCTAGATGGAGCCAGGAAGGGTGTTTCAGCCTTCCTCATCTCCTTTCTGGGCCTCCTTGTCTCTCATTACTCACTTTTCCTCCCAGGTCATGCTATCCACGGCCCCATTTCAAATACCCAGAGCTCTCTTATGGAACTGGGGCTGAAAGCAAGCTGGAGAAGTCATGACCAGTAAGATCTTAGGGGTCAGTTGTAGAGGGGAGGTGCCCTTTGAAAGGTTATATATGTTAAAAGAGAAGCCTAAAAAGGTGGAACTTAGAGGAACTATATTTTTAAGGCTGGAATTGCAGGTGTCTTGGCAGGATGGGGATGGAGGAAGAGGGATATGATTGTTTTGGAAGGAGAGGTATCTTCTTTCCAGCGCCCTCAAAAACACACTCTGTGTGTCATCTTCTATTCTTCTCCTTAGAAAGCCACTGCTTGGGCCGGGCGCGGTGGCTCACGCCTGTAATCCCAGCACTTTGGGAGGCCGAGGCGGGCGGATCACGAGGTCAGGAGATCGAGACCATCCCGGCTAAAACGGTGAAACCCCGCCTCTACTAAAAATACAAAAAATTAGCCGGGCGTAGTGGCGGGCGCCTGTAGTCCCAGCTACTCGGGAGGCTGAGGCAGGAGAATGGCGTGAACCCGGGAGGCGGAGCTTGCAGTGAGCCGAGATCCCGCCACTGCACTCCAGCCTGGGCGACAGAGCGAGACTCCGTCTCAAAAAAAAAAAAAAAAAAAAAAAAAAAAAAAAAAAAAAAGAAAGCCACTGCTTGGTCATTCAAATGAAAGGCACTTTGAGTGTTTTAAAAAACTAGGTTTCATTTTATATTGCTTGATTCTTTCTCAGAACTTGTGCCTAGGCTTGAAAACATGTTTATCGGTAAACATTAGACATACTTTTAGCAACAAGCAGTCTGGTAAACCTTTCCAGGGTTTCTGGCAGATCTGCTCAGGGCAGCCCATTTCTGCTCTTTTTTTTTTTTTTTTCTTTTTTTAACTCTTTCTTAAAACAATTGTCCTCCAGGAAACCTACCTGGTCCTGCCAATCACATTACTGCATCTCCTGGGCAATCTGGATCAAATAGTTAAACACTCCACGTTAAAGGGAAAATGCACGCAAGTACACTCAGCACAATGACCTGCACATGAGAACTTCTAACATGCTGGGGACCGTGAGGTTTCTGCCTGAGGAACAGCACGGTCCTGTTTTGAAAGATGAGGGACAGCATGGTCATCAGGGAGGGCTGAAGGGCAGAAAACACCATGTACTTTCCACTGTCTGTCCAAGCAGTCCTGGCAGCTGGACAGGGCAGAGATGGCTGGAGGCAGTGAGGGCACGTCCGTGCACCAGCTCTGAACCTCTTGAGCCATAGAAACAGTTCAGTTGCGAGGAAACGTGTCAGTTTGTACACACGTGACTTCCATCACCCATTTACAAAAAGCAGTTCTCAGAAATGATTATTATGCACATTTAACTTTTCAAGCTAGAGCTGGTTTTCATACTCAGTCAATCCAGGGAGAGAGTAGCAAGGTGCTGAACAACAGGTTTTAAGGTATAAATTAATTCATGTTGCTGATCATGTTTTGATCTGGAAAACATTGACCAGCACTATTGGTCTGAAAAAATGATGAACAGGTCTCAGGCTCTCACTGGAGGTATTTCATTGGATGCAGGCTTTGCCACCTTCCCTGTAGTTTAACTCAAACTCTTTTTACCCCTGGGTTCTTTGAATGAACTCAAGCCATTTCTATGAAGTATTCTGTATGGATTAATCTATCAAGTTAACTCTGTCTGGTTAACCTGTTTGTCCTTCACTTTCCTTCCCACGTAATTGTTATTTATCTAACATCACTTAGATGGCAGAACTTGGAGAGCATTGTTTGCTATTACTGTGTTTTGGTTGAAAACCATTTTTCAAGAGGTCCCATATAATGCAGCTCATGGAACCTAAATTCTGGTTTGGCCTCTGTCCTTCTGTGTGATTTGAGCAAATCTCTTTCACATTTTTCTGTCCCAGTTCCTCTGTGTCTGAGATGAGAGTGTAATTTATCTTCCTCTCTCAGGGATGCTATAAGGTAAGGAGAGAAGGAAGAGAAGTGCTGAGGCTATGACAATAAGGTCCTCCAAGAAGGTGACATTGGTTGCCAGAGAAAGTCACTTTGATTAGGAGACATGGGTCCTGGATTTAATTCCATCTATATAGACTTTCCTAAAGCTAGAGGGATCAAGCAGCCTGGACATGGATGTGACATATAAGTATTCTTGTATTGCACAAGCTATACTGCCAGTAGATTCCTGATTTTTTTTTTTTCATCACAAGATCCCTAATGCCTGGCAGAGAGGAGGTGTTCAATAAACACTTGTGGAATAATTGGCCAACTGACAGATTGACAATACCCTTTTCTGGACTTCAAATGCAGCACCCTATATGCAGTAGACACTTAATAAATGTTTGCTTGATGATGTGCTATTGTATTTAACCATCATTGCACAGTATTTGGAGCCTGCTGTCAACTGATTTAGCATTGCACTGTCCTTAAGATAAATAAGAGATGGTGCTCAAGGCTACCCACAACAGCACCTTATTAGCAAAGAGGGTGTAGATATCTACAAAGTGCAGTGATAGGGAGTGGCATTCTGTGGCTTTACTTGGGGAGCCCAAGAGATTCCGGAAGTTGCTAGACAGTCCTTGTTGACTCTAAAGAATGGATGGATCTATTCTTTCAGTGCATCACTGGGCAAATAAGCCTAACACAGCCATATCTAGTTATACCAAGTCAAGACTCTCACTGAGGTCCTAATCGTCAGTGTTTATTCAGGAAACTCAGAACCATGTTTACACTTGCTTCTAAGTTTTTCTCCAGGTTGCACAGTGAGGGAGCATACCGTATTTACTGTATAGCTCCAGGATTCCACAGCAACTGCAGGGGGCAGAGGCTGCAGGTCCACATACTACGCATGTGCTTTATCTGAGATGTCCCGTGCCTTTGGTCATCTCTCATCTGCAAGTTTTTATGTATATTTGACCAACACTTATCAAGAAAGTCCTTATACATAAACTGCCTTATGTCTGCATCTGGTTGCAAGTATGGCCATGCTGTCTCCTCTTTTCATTTGACAAAAATGCATTGTATGGAAATTCGTATTAAAGGAGTAATTATTCTGGTTGCTACCAAATTCACCAGCCTCTTGAAGGTAAATGATAACTGATCATAGAAGTAGAGATTGGGGTAAACAGAAAAGACTCCAAGTTTAAGGACATTATCAGAAAATGAAAGGGGGAAAGTAACATGAAAATCGTGACAAAAGGCAAGGAGAAATTCAGACTAGATTCACCTAAAGTGATGTGCATCTGAATGTGATGATTTCTGAAAAGCTTAAGAATTTTAGTTTTAACCACCAGCTTATTGGAATAAATATTTTATAAGCCTCTTAAGGAGGCTGCAGAAAGTCTGTGCCTCTTTCCAGCAAGGTGAGCACTGGTTGCCTGCATCTGTGTTGGGATGGGTGAAAAGTCTAGCTTGTAAATGCTTCAAAGGAACAATTATTATCAAGCTACTGAAATAAAAGTGGATTTTCCAAAAGCCCCTCTTGCCCCCTCTGCTCCATCTGCTACATGTGCTCAGGGCATTGCATGGTTCAGCATTTAGAACACTTCAATCATTTGAGGGGAAAGTGACCTTCCCCCAGCTTGGAAAACCTTGTGCTGTGACCTAATGAGGACATTCCATTGAGACCTGAGAGTTAGGAACACTTTCTCCTCTGGGCTCTGATGTGCTCATGACATTTGTGAACCAGTTTGGCTCTTCCACTCCTGTGCGTGCCTTCACAGATAATGGCCCATCAACAATGGAATTATAGCCTTTTTTTATATGTGCCTGTATAATGAAGAGGGTAATTCTAAAAACTACATCTGAAAATTAGTCTCATGACTGTTATGAAACATTGTATATTGAAATTACATTTGTCTTTTCTCTCCTTTGGGCTCATAAGTAAGTGCCTTGGATTGAAGCCCTTTTCCTGGTGTATAATAGCCTCCCTTCCTTTTTCCATTCCTTCAAGCATCACTGAGCTCTAGCTTCTGTCAACTTAGTCCTAGATGTTAAGAGGAGCTTCCACATCTGCCTCCCTGCCTCTAGTCTCTGTCTTCTCAAAAGGCAGCCTGGCCACCTCCTGTGTTAACCTCCCCAGTGCACTGTTTTGATCACATTCTCCCCTATTAGAGAACCTTCAGTGATCCCATTGACTACTAACTCACATCCAGTTTCCAGAGCCTGGCACTTAAGAGTCTTTCCAATAAATTTCCAACTTCCTTTTCTAGGCTTATGTCAGCTTACACCCATTTTACTCCACACTGTCATCAGAGGTATTCACAATTTTCAAATAAAAAGTATACTGTCCCTGCCACACACCTAATTCCCCATCTCCTTTTCCACCTTCTAACGTCCTCTGAAGTCACAGTTGAGTTCATGTGCCCCTTCTCCACAAAACCTTCCTGGTTGTCCCAGCAATAAGAAAGTGCTCCATCAACCAAAATCTTTATCTTTTATTTGAGATTTGTTTGTTTGTTTGTTTGTTTGTTTCACTCTGTCACCCAGCCTGGAGTACAGTGCTGTGCTCACGGCTCACTGCAGCCTCAATCTCTTGGGCTCAAGCAATTCTCCTGCCTCAGCATCCCATGTAGCTAGGACTCCAGGCGCTCACCACCATGACCAGCTAATTTTTGTATTTTTGTAGAGATGGGGTTTTGCCATGTTGCCCAGGCTGGTCTCAGACTCCTGGGCTCAAGTGATCCCACCCACTTTGGCTTCTCAAAGTGTTGGAATTACAGTTGTGAGTTGCTATGCCTAGCTAATATTTGAGCTTTAAAACATAACTTTCAAAATATTATATATTTATTCTGAAAAATAAAAATTATTCATACTCCCATTTCCGAAAGATAACCTCATCTCAGTAGAACATCTTGTTATGCCTACTTCCAGACTTTTTTTACGTACATCTACAGAAACATTTCACACATTCCATGTCACCTAATTGTCCGTGGTTGGTATCATTTTGAATAGCGGATATTATATAAGTGAATGCAGCCTGTACTGGACTGTAGTCTCCCCACGGGCCACAATTCTTTTTATCTCCCATAGCACTGAGTACAGAGTGATACTGAGTATAGTTTGTTGCAAAACAGAATGAGTGAATACACTTCTCTGAACACCAGGGAACAAACTCTCAATAAACTAATCCAATGACAATTAAGTGTCTGTCACAAAAAAAGAAATTGTATTTGGTGAACTACTTTTATTAGTTAATTGTGATGAGCTGTTGAGGTTTTGGCCCTATAAGGTCAGGAGGAGCCAATAAGCTAAGCCAAACAATAATCTGAGTCTATTTCTACGTACTTATTAGATACACAGATTTCCACTTAGTTTCCTAACAGAAGTGGGGATGGTGTAGGTGATGTAGAGTCCTGGGTAGGAGTATATTTTAGAAACCCCTATTGCTAGTTTAGCTTAGTGTCCCAAATAAGAATGCAAGCTCCCATCTCCAAACCCTCCACAGCTCCCAGGGCAAAATATGGTTTTAGTTGAGAAATTAAGAGTTTGGATATCTCAATGCCCACATGTTTAAACTATCTGCCTGGCTGCAGGTGCTCTCTTCTTGTACCCTCAGAAGCTGGTCTCTACCTCCAAATATAATGCAAATATCTTGTTTTTAAACTGAAGCTAATGTGATTTCTGGGTAGTTATTCAGAAAACATCTTCACAGGAGTGGAATGGCTACTCAAGAGCTGAGCTGCCCAGTTCAGTTTTTCAGGTGACTCAGGTGATGAGAGCTGGACTGACCGGAGGGAGCCAGCAGCCTGGGTGCAAGGCTGTTAGGTGAGGTGCTGCCCTGGCATTGGGTTGGATAAGTGAGTTATTGCTGTCATTTCCCGTGTTAGGAGTCACACAAAAAGAAAAATAATGTGGCTCCCAGAGCCACTCTAAGCATTTCTTAGGAAGAGGAAGAAGACTCTAGAGTGGAGCTGGGTGAAGTCTGGCAGTGCACATTGAAAAGGAAGGCCTGAGACTCATGAACTAGAAAGATGCTGATAGTTGGTGTTTTTGTTCTTGTTGTTGTTATTATGCTCGCTTGTTTGTTTTGGAAATAGAACTTTTTTCGCTAACTGCTTCAAAGTAAAGTGTAGAAAAAAGAGCAATTCTGATTTATAGTGTGTGCTTACAGAGAGGAAAAGGGAGAATGCATTTATCACAAATGAAAGGTTATTGTTGCCTGTTGGCCTGAGATGTCTTATGTTTCTTTTAATAAATTTTTACTTTACTGCCTTTTTTGTTTCAGTGCCAAGGTCTCTTGTGTTGCACAGGCTGGAGTGCAGTGGCTATGTCCAGCTGCTATCATCACACACTACACTACCACCTGAACTTACTCAGAAGTGAACTTACGACAAAAATCAGAAAAAGAGACTGCTTATGTTTGATAAGCATATCAGACATAGTGGAGAAATTATGCAGAGGTCTAGACATGTAGCAAGAAATGCTTAAAGTTTAAGGTCTAGTTCGTTGTAGCTCTTCTTTATTGTAGATCACAGCTTCATATCATTATTGTAGGTGTCACTGGTTCTCATAGTTACCATGGAATAGCTCTTCATTTAGGTAAATTTGTAACATCTAAAGCTACTGAGAAGATTAATTGAATAGGGAATTAGGATATTTTCTTTCTCTTCTTGGCTTAATCTTTCTCCTTCTCCATTGGATTCCCAAAGGCAGAGATGCCAAAATAACCCAGATTATCATTATCTGGGTTATTTGGGTATTATCCAGGTACAAGAGGCTCCTTCAAGATGCTATATAAGCTGATGTCAAGGTGGACGCACTCCATGTCAAGTCGTGAGCATCCTCCTTCTTTTGAGGAAGGACTGAAGAGACAAATATTTTGTGACTATGTGAATAAATAAAGAAATCCAATTCTGATTCTACTGAATTCATTTACAATTTGGACTACCTCTATGTACAGATAGGACCTTTGTTACTATCTAGTGGGGACCATATTGTGTTATACATCTTCATCTGTAAAATGGGAATATAAAGATTGATTTATCTAAGATAAATGAATTTTTTGTGGGTCTTGGGAAATTTGTCTCATTGTTTTAGCCATGTCTTGTAGAGACATTATTATTTAACAACAACAAAAAATCCCTGGAAGTGTTAAGAAAATTTCCAAATAACCAAATAGAAAAACATCTTTTTTTTCTTTAGGGAGACACACTCTGGTAATGGTGATTTTTTGGACAAATTAAAGTAGATCTAAATGAATTTCAGGTACAGGGACTAGGCTGTTGTTCTGGTTGAAGCGATTCTACAAGGGCTTGACATATGCTGTGGGAAATCACAACTGATGCATTTGCCCCGGTGAGTCAGTGCCTGTCAAGAAATGTTATGTCTTTCTTTAGGAAAGGAAGGTGAGAAGATGTCTCCAGGATGAGAGATTTTCTTCTCAGAGCCATTATAGGCAGGATACTATGTTTCACGGAAACTAGTTCACAAAATGAAGCATTCCATTCTCATTCATCAGTCTCCTAATATTTGCTAAGTGGCTGTTTTTGGTAAGAAACTCTGTTTAGGGCCAGGCACAGTGGCTTCTGCTTGTAATCCTAACAGTTCGAGAGGCCGAGGCAGGAAGATTGTTTTAGCTCAGGAGCGACACAGTGAGATCTCGTCTCTACTAAAAGCAAAAAACTAAACATTTAAAAATTAAAAAAAAATTAACTGGGCGTGGTGGCACATGCCTGTAGTCCCAGCTATTTGGGAGGCTGAGGTGGGACAATCGCTTGAGCCCAGGAGATCATGGCTGCAATGAATCATGATCCTGCTACTGCAGCCTGGGTAACAGGGCGAGACCCTGTCAAAAAAAAAAAAAAGGAAGAGAGAGAGAGAAAGGAAGGAAGGAAGGGAGGGAGGGAGGAACGAAGGAAGGGAGGGAGGAAGGGAGGGAGGGAAAAGAAACTCTACCTGGTGTTATTATCTGTGTATCTGTGTCTTGGTTGAAAACCATGTCCATGGGTTCCAAATAAAGTAGCTCATGGAGTCCGGAATTCTAGTTTGGCCTCTGTTCTTCTATGTGACTTGAAAAAAACCTCTTCTACTTTCTCTGTCTCTCAGTTCTCCCCTATCTGAGATGAGTTGCTGTTTGTCTCATTCTCTCAAGGATGTTGTCAGGTAGGGAGAGAAGGAAGTGGGGAAATGATGAGTCTATAACATTCAGTTCCTCCAAGAAGATGACATAGCTTGCAGGCAAAAAGTCAGTTTGAGTCGGAGACATGGGCCATGGCTTTAATCCCATCTATACAGCCTCTTCTAAGGCAGGAGGGGCCAAGCAGCCTGGACTTGGATGTGGTGTGAAAGTGGTCTTGCATTACTCAAGCTGTGCTGCTGGTGTATTTGCCACATGTCATTTTCTTCATCACAGGATCCCTAGCGCCTGGCAGATGTTTAAAAAATACTTTTTGAATAGTTGACTGACCAAATGAATGAAAATATCCCTTTTTGGATTTCAGGTGTAGTGCCCTGTATGTGACAGACACTGAATACATGGTCGATGACATGCTGTTCTATTTCAACCTACCTGACATACAGAATTCAGAGCCTGTTGTTAACTGCATTGGCATTGCATTATCCTTAAGATGAATGAGGGAGAGTGCTCAGAGCTGCGCACGCCAGCACCCCATTAGCAATGGGGGTACTTATATCTGTGCAGTGCAGTGACAGGAAGTAGCATTCTGTGGCTTCGCTTGGGAATGGTGAAAGGCATTGGTTATTGGTCGTTCTTCTACTTTCCCCTTGGTTTAAGGCTCGGTATTTGCAATGAAGAGCCCTGTTGAAAAGCCGTAACTAGGAGACAGGCAAACTTAATCAGTCCTGTTGAAATCTGCTAGGATTCTGCATCATAATGACCATGTTCACATGATGACAAAGAAGTCCCCTTAGATAAGAGCTAATGACTCCAAGCAAATGAGTTAATTACTGAGTAAGCAGCACAGTTGGAGGAGAGATGGGAAAGTCTGACGCCTAGTGGTCATTAGGAAGGGCCAGCTACTAAGCACATAGGATTCTAAGGAAACTACCTAAAGAGCATTCCTGAATCTTACATCTAGAAGGGGCTTGAAGAGAAACATTTCCAGGTTTAAAAAAAATTGTTTTAAGGCACCGGATCTGAGATTCTGTCTACACCCTGTCTGTGGTCTACAGGGTGGGGTTGGTTGAATTTGTGGTGCCAGAAAAATATAAACCCATTGAAGAAAAATCTAGAGCTTATAGCATTATATTGGTAGGATGACCTCATTTCAAGTTGCAGACACCATCCTCCAACTCAAAGGATGACTGGAGAGAGATAGCCCTGGGTTCAAGAATTACACACCTTCCTTCCATGGCCGGGTGCAGCGGCTCATGCCTGTAATCCCAGCACTTTGGGAGGCCGAGGTGGGAGGATCACCTGAGGTCAGGAGTTATAGACCAGCCTGGCTAACATGGTGAAACCGCATGTCTACTAAAAATACAAAAATTAGCAAGGCCTGGTGGCACACGCCTATAATCCCAGCTATTGAGGAGGCTGAGGCAGGAGAATCGCTTGAACCCACAGGGCGGAGGTTGCAGTGAGCCGAGATCATGCCACTGCACCCCAGCCTGGGTGACAGAGTGAGACTCCATCTAAAAAAAATTTAAAAAAAGAATTATACACCTTCCTTCCTCAATTGTCTACACAAATGGTAGGTTTGGATTAAGTGATTTCAGTGGGTCTCTCTAGTTCCAAAATATTAAGATTTTTAACAGATGGATCTGTAAGCACCTTGGTGAGTAACTGAACTACCTTCAGCAAGATATTGAATCTCTCCATGCCTTGGTCCATGCAAAAGTGAAAACTAATTTGATTCTCTTAAAACCTTTCTGAGGCTGGGTGCGGTGCCTCACATCTGTAATCCCAACACTTTGGGAGGCTGAGGCAGGGGGATTGCCTGAAGCCCAGAGTTCAAGACCAGCCTGTACAACCTGTCTCTACAAAAAATTCGCTGAGCATTGTGGGGCACACCTGTAGTCCTAGCTACTCAGGAGGCTGAGGCAGGAGGATTGCTTGAACCCAGGAGGTTGAGGCCGCAGTGAGCCATGACTGCACCACTGCACTCCAGCCTGGGTGACAGAGTGAGATTCTAACTCAAAAAGAAAAAAAAGTTTCTGGAAGTTAATTTAGTTATAGTTAACAAAGCAGTTTGCAAGTGGAAAAACTCTTTGATCCAGAGTCTAGGAATACCTCCTAAGACAGTAATTAAACATCAGGTCCAAGATTTATAGATAAATTGTTCATTTTAAAAACATTTGAAGACAATCTAAATGTCCATCAATAGGGAATTGGTTAAATAAAGTACCTCTATACAATGGAATACTATGGAAGACAGTTTTTTAAAAATGTTAAAGTATGCCTATATGTTCTAACATATTTTAACATGTTGAGAATATTTTGAATAAAAAGTAGGATAAAGATAAAATTTTGGGGGCAATATGCATTTATATGTATATTGATATGTTTGAAAATCTCAACACTGAATGGTGGGATTGTTTGTGTGATCTCTTACTCTTTATGCCTTTATATATTGTCTGACTTATTTTTGACAATAAGCACATATAACTTTACAATAAAAAGGATCACCAGTAAAGCTTCTTAAAATTTTCATTCCTATTCTTATATCACTAAGAAGATGAAAAGACAACAGATGAAAACTGTTAAGTTTTATTCTAAGGCACATGACCCCCAGTAAGGGACTTTTATTTATGTTGTTTATTCTTACTAATAAAGTACTTGTAAGTTTTGAAAGTATGTCACCAAGGCAAGCAGGACAGACCACAAGATTTGTCTTCCTGTGATAGACGAACAAGAGAAGCAGGCACAACACCAATTTCAAGACTGTCCACCCCCTGTTCTTGGTGTTATCTTCAAGGGGAGTTATAAACCTGTCCCAGGTGGAGCAGATGACCAGAAATAAACTGTGAATCTCTGGAGAAAGAAAGAAGGAATAGAAAAAAGTCATCTGAAAACAACTAGAATCAATTCCCCCTTTTCTCTCAATCTCCCAGTTAGATGCTGCACACTACACGTAAAGGGGTTCCTATAGTCCTCCTTTCTGCTCCACCCAACAAGACCAAGGGTGCTCATCTTCACACTTTTCCTGGCAGGCAGAGCTTTGGTCCCTGAGTAGCACTCACCAGGAGATGTTCACCTATCACAAGCAGGGTGCCAAGGTACTGTCCCTTACTGTTCTGCTGTTGAGTGGAGGTGGTAAGGAAAAGAGGGGAAAAGGACAGCAATTCCTCTGGGAGGAGGAGTCTGTTTGTGAACATGCCACCTGGAAGAGGACGGATGAGCAAAATGGGGAGATGGAGCTGTATTTGGCCCCCAGTATAGACCATTTCACTGAAATATAAGCAAGAGCCTAAAAATGACCATTTAGGCACATTTGGGGAGGGTCAAGGCCCAGTGAGCTCTTTGTCTAGAAAGAACTGTATGAGGGACACAGTTGGTCTTTAGTTACTGAGCAGCTTTCTTGTGCTGACATTTTGCTCTCTTCCCCATGTGATTTCTCAGGGCTCTATGTGATGTGTCCACCGCAGAGATGTAGAGCAGTGCATAGGGAAAGACACTTAGGCAGAACCCGCCTCGGTCTTTTTTTTTTCAGAAGCTCTTCCTGGGCTATTTTGCTTGCTGTTAGGAGGCAGCTAATAAACAGAATCTCTTAGGTTGCAGGTTTTTCATTTCTGTTTTTGTTTTTGTTTTGCTTTGCTTTTCATTTAAACTGTGAAGACAAGATCTGTTCACCAAGAAAGATCACTAAGGAAAACCAAATTCAGTGAGTATATGTAAACTTCAGACCAAGATCTGCCCGTTTGTATAGGCATTGTTGGTGATGATGATGATGATGATGGTAATGATGATCCCCAGGCAACCTGCTAAGTGCTTTTCATAATGATCTCTTTTAACCCTTACAAAAACCTGGGGCATAGGTAAAGCCATTTTATAGATGAGGAGGCCAAGACTCAGAGAGGTTACCATAACTTTCCCAAAATAACTCTTGTTTCTTCTCACTCAACTCCACTCCCGACTTTCTGAACTCCTCTAAAGAAGACCCTATGGCCACACTATTCATCCTTGAGCCTTTCAGCTTAATTGCTTCAAAATCATTACTTCACCAAGCTACTCATGAGGCCAAGGCAGGAGGATCACTTGAGCCCAGGATTTTAAGGCTGTGGTGCGCTATGATTGGACCTGTGAATAACCACTGCACTCCAGACTGGGCAACATAGCAAGACTCTGTCTCTTAAAAAAATCACTACTTCAGAATCAAAGTCAGCTTTTGAACTTTTGTCAGGAGTCAGTCATCAGTAGCAACAACCTAAACATCTAATTGTTATTGGATAAGATGAGATGCAATTTCACAATGTAGTCATGAGCTTGGCTTCTGAAATAAGAGTTGTGGCACCATCACTCACTAGCTGTCTAGATTTGTGCAAAATGCTTAACCTCTCTGTCTCTCAGTTTTCTCAACGGCAAAATGAGGAATGGCACTCTTACCACACAAGGTCATTATGAGTAGTAAATGAGGTACTCATTTAAAGTGCTCAGCAGAGTCTAGCACTCAGTTAACATCAATAAATGTTAGTCATTTTAGCATTATCATTACTGTCTTCTTAATGTTAGTATTTTGCATACATTATCTTATTGAGCCCTTGCAATAAGTCTATTCAGACAACGTAACTAAGGCTTACAGAGATTACAGCCAAGGAGAAGGGAGCTGACTAGGAGAAGGTCTGGGATTCCAGCTCAGATCTGAGTCCAGGCCCACCCTATACTTCTTCCCAATATTGCTCACCTAACCAAGACAATATCAAAATATCATGAAGTAAGGAGGACTGCCAAAATTACTCTCATGTTGTAACAGGAAGATTTGGGTTTCAGAGTATTTTCATACAAGGAAATACTCAAGCTGGTTCCTGAAGTGAGAACTATGTGGCATATTTTTTAAACGCCTGTGTAAGTCAGTATTTTTCAATGTAAGTGACAGCAGCCACTTTATTGGCTGAACTAACTGACAAGTCCAAAGATAGATCTCCCCTTCCTGCAGGTATGGCTCAATCCAAGCACACCAGAGATGCCATCAGGAATATTTCTCTCTCCAATTATGAGCTATCTTTCCCTCTCTGTTGGCTTCTTTTTTACCTAGGCTTTCCCTTCTTAGCAGCAAGATGGCTAGCAGAGTCTCTGAACTTACATCTTAATAGTCACATGCCCAAAGGAAAAAGGTTATCTTTCCCCAATTGTTCCAGGAGACAGTCTGGATGGCATCTCACTGATCTGAAGTTATATTCCCCTCCTGAACCAAACTTTATGGCCAGGGTGATGGAATCCTCTGACTGGCCAGGCTTGGGTTGAGTGACACCCTTGCACTCCTCCCACATTAAGTTGATGTACATACACTAAAAATTGGGGTCAGGTGGCTCTCCCAAGTAAGTGCTAGGTTGCTATTACCAGAAGAAGGAGGAATGGATGCTGTTTAGGCAGAAAGGATCTATGTCCACTCCCATACTGTTCACTTGTAGAATATGGAGTCTCGGATGGGAATAAGAAGACTTGGACTCCACTGCTGACTAGCTGAGGAACCTACACAAATTCCTTAACTGCTCACAACCTCAGCTCTCCCATCTGTAATAACACATCTAATACTTATGTACAGCCTTGTTTATTTATCATAATAACTCAATTCTGTAAATACTTTCAAGAGCACGTAACATGGATTTTACAGCTCAAATAAATAAAGTACAGACAAGTAAATCACCTGTCCAAAGGTTGCACAGGTGGAAAGCAGTTGAGCCAGGATTTGAACTCAGGCAGACTAAGACTGACCCCTGAGCCTTCACTCATAACCAATAGGCTTTACTACCATCTATCTGTAAAATTATGACTGGACAAGATGATTGCTAACATACATTGTAAATTTTTTGGTCTTAGTGTTCAGTACAAAAAAGAAAGAGAAGAAGAAGAAGAGAAGGAGGAGGGGAAGGAGGAGGAAGAAGAATAATTAATAACAGAGTGGAAATCCTTGAAACCCATTTTATAAGTGCTAATTTGGAGGGATAACACAGATCTGGTCTCTTGGTTTTATGCATTCGTACCTTGAGTGGATGTTCTCTGAGTTTGTAACAGGAAAACTGTTGCTATGTGATTTCTAAACAAATTTTGGATCTGCCTTCTGTAATAGCCAGCACACCAAAGTCTTCATCATTGTCAGCTAAGTTGCAGAAATTATACTTCTTAATGAAAGCTTAATCATTGAATAGAACTGTAAAGAAGATATTTTTCTACATAACAGTAACTTCCTTTTTGTTGTTTCCTTTTACTGAATTATTGAGTAAACATTAAAGCTGACAAATATTCTCCTGCTGTAAGCTGCTTATTTTCAAAATCTACTTCTGGAACTGTGCTTTGTCATCAGTTGACTTAAGCTAAAGGCAGTCTATAAATTAATAACCTACATCAAAGTGAGAAGTGGCTACTTAATGTTGAATAATGAATAAGGCAAAGCCTTTTGAGGTTGCTAATTCATGGTTAGAGAAATAAAAATAGTCATGCCATGTGAAAAGTTAACGTATTTTAGGTGGTTCAATAATATAAAAGGTTAAGCTATAGCCTTTGGTATAAAAATGTCAACATTACATATATATTATATTCAGTTTTTAAAAACTTTTCCATCAGAAGAATACTTAACTTAAACTTCTTGGTGTCTTGAGGAAATGTTTGAGTCTATAGGTTTCTGTGGTGGAGGGCTGTGTGTTCTGAATTGTCCTCTTCTTGCTTGGGATTTCTTGTTCAATCTTCTCACCAACATGACATAGTAAGATTTTTGAAGAGGTTACAACTGCTCTCATAATTCTAGTTATCTGTATGATAATCATGAGATTGGTCAGTCCTAAAAAGAATTTAGCAAGCATGTGTAAAAATTTTTTTATAGAGTTCCCTTCCTAAAAACACGAGTGGTATATACAACAATAACTATAAATATAACAATGACAACAACTTCTGCTGGTTTTTGTGTCATTTACCTTGGGACAGACTTTGTGCTAAGTATTTTACTTATGGTTGTTTAGTTATGTAATTCTAGCAAGTCTTGAAGTGAGTATGGTACTTTTTTTTTTTAATACCAAGGGTCAGAGAAGTTCATTGAAATTCCCAAAGTCACACAGCTACTAAGTGGTAAACTTAGGATTTGAACTTCCTTAAAGTTCTGTTCTGAGGATAACACTTTCCTCTCAAGTTCAGATAAATTTAAATTCTGGACTCTGACACAGGCAGAGTCTTATAAAGCATCCCTCTGTTAAGAAGAGTTCCTGAACAGAGAGGAATGTTCTCTATTTATGGCTTCCCGAGGACTGGGTCAATGGTCTATTTTGTAGGAATAATCTTGAGGGTGAAGAGAAATGACCATAAGTCGCGGCCCACACAGATACTATGTCATGTTGAAGCTGTGCTCACATCTCTGGAGAGATTTGCTCTTTCAGCCACTGGTATTGACTTTTTTAGCACAAAACACCACATGTATTATGCTGTCGTCAGAGCCATCCTTGGTGATAATTGCAATATGCCAGCCACGAAACACCCAGCCCTGGCTCCCATGGCCTACTTCTGAAAGGAACTGCATGGCTTTACAATTATCACTCAGACTGGCAGGGAGAAGGGAGGGTGGGAGCAGCAGGGGAAGAGATCATTTCAATCTGGATGAACAGATCAGCTGCCTTGGACACCATGCTGTGCTGGCCAAGCCAGGTTCCTGTGACATCATGCCCCATTCTCATACTGTCAGCAAAATTCCCTGAAGACAACAGCTGGCACTTCTGCTCACTCCACGTGGGAATGTATGCCAGCTCCTCCTTTCTGTGAGGCTGCTCATCTTCTCTCTGCTCCTGGAGTCCCTCCCTCACCCAAGGGGCAGGGTTCTGTGAGTGCAAGGACACCAGAAGAACTAATTTTCATGATAGTTAAAGGACCACGAATGAGGTGGTCCCAAACTGACATTTCCAGACATTTTTTACCAAGGTACTCCGATGGGTTCTAGGTGAGCTGAGATATAGACAGGTCTCTTTCACCTCTGAGACAGCAAGAAGGGGAACTGGGAGGCCAGAGCCCTAGCGACCTCCTCTATTTTTCTAGGGTGCTATTTACATGTTACCGCTTTCCATGTGTGCTGGGATGTGAAAGAATTTGGGAAGTACTGATAAAGTAGTTTGGAAAGACTCAAATATTATTACCATTATCATTACATAACAACATATCATTACACAATATACATAACAACATGCATAGCAACACATCATTACAAAACAACAACGTAAATACATAAAGACCCTCAAGGAAGCTAAATCCTTGTTTCCTGGAAAATAGGAAAAGCATATCAGATATCTAAATTCTACTTCTTTTAATCATCCATTTTGTGATCTATGATAAGACTGTAATTATGTCCAAATAACCAGAAAGTTCAAATGTCCAGGTTTTATCACTAGTCATCAGAGAAATGCAACTCAAAACCACAATGAGAGATCATCTTGCCCCCAGCTAAAATGGCTTGTATCAAAAAGACAGGCAATAACAGATACCGGTGAGGATGTGGAGAAAGGGGAACCCTCATTCAATGTTATTGGAAATGTAAATTAATATAGCCACTATGGAGAGCAGTATGGAAGTTCCTCAGAAAACTAAAAACAGAAATTTATGTGATCCAGCAATTTCACTGTGTATATATCCAAAATAAAGGAAATAGATATATCAAAGAGATACCTGCACTCTCATAATTATTGCAGCACTATTCACTGTTCACTATTCACTATTCACAATAGCTAAAATAAAATCAACCTAAGTGCTCATCAATGGATGAATGGATAAAGAAAACAGGGTATATATATACAATGGAGTACCATGCAACCATCAAAAAAGAACGAGATTCTATCATTTACAGCAGCATAGATGGAACTGGAAGCCATTATGTTAAGTGAAATAAGCCAAGCACAGAATGACAAATATTGCATTGTTCTCACTCAAATGCGGGAACTAAAAACGTGGATCTCAAGAAGACAGAGAGTACACTGGTGGTTACCAGAGGCCAGGAAGGGGAGAAGGGAGAGGAGGAGGGAGGAATGGATGAAGAGGGGAGATAAAAGAATGTAAATGTGTTTATTACCACTGAAATGTACAGTTAAAATGGTAAAGATGGTAAATTATATATGTATATTTTACCTCAATGAAAAAAAATGTTTTAAATGTCCAGGTTTTCAAGATTCAAACAGAAGTAGCGTAACTCTAGAGTACTGTGAAATTCTTAAAGGCCTCTGAATCATTGATGATGAAAGTGTTTCCTGTCATTGTTGGATATTTGTAGTTTAATTCATCATGTAATTGTAATCCATTTATAATGTGACACTAGAATATTCTACAGTTTTTTCACAGTAAGCTTAGCCCTTCTGAGGCAATTTGACTGCAATTAAGGTAAGCTACAAAATCCTTACTAATAAAACAATGATTATGCCTTGGTTATGAAGTCTTAACCTTATCATCCCAGTCTCCTCCTAACTTTGCTTCTTCATAACACGGTTAATGGAGAGACTGCCATGCTCTTCTCAATAGTCATTATTTTTTTTCTTTAAATAAGCATGGCAAATTTTATGGCATATTTCCAAAGAATGACACCTAAGGATACAGATTTTTAAAAATCAAGACCACAATCAAATGTTTTTATTCTTCGTTCTAAAAACAAGACAGCTTCTGAGAATTTACTTGTAGGTTCCTAGTTCTGCATAACAATTTGGCACCAAAAGTCTTAGACAACAAGGCAAACTATCACTGTATCCTTTTTTTATTTTGAGATAGGGTCTTACTCTGTCACACAGGCTGGAGGGCAGTGGTGTGACCACAGCTCACTGCAGCCTTGACTTTCTGGGTTCAAGTGATTCTCACACCTGAGCCTCCCAAGTAGCTGAGACTACAGGTGTGCGCCACCATGCCTGGCTAATTTTTTAAAATTTTTTGTAGAGACAGGGTCTCTGTATGTTGCCCAGGCTGGTCTTGAACTCCTGGGCTCAAGCGATCCTTCTGCTTTGGCCTCCCAAAGTGCTGGGATTACAGGAATGAGACACTGCTCCCAGCCTCTGTGCTCATTTGACTGTTGATCCTAAACCAACAACACTGTCATTCTCTTGGGTTCACCAGTTTTTCTTTATTTACATAATGCAAGTGTCAGGACAGATATGTCATTTATGCACTGCATCCACAATACTCTTTGGTGTTATCTTTTAAAATCAAGGTTTCTTCTGCTCAATTTTCAAATAAAATTTCTCCTACAACTCAGTCTTTCAATATTCAGGAGTCTATTTTCTTTTCTTTTCTTTTCTTTTTTTTTGAGATGGAGTCTCGCTCTGTTGCCCAGGCTGGAGTGCAGTGGCACTATCTCGGCTCACTGCAAGCTCCGCCACCCGGGTTCACACCATTCTCCTGCCTCAGCCTCCCGAGTAGCTGGGATGACAGGCGCCCGCCACCACGCCCAGCTAATTTTTTGTATTTTTAGTAGAGACGGGGTATCACTGTGTTAGCCAGGAGGGTCTCGATCTCCTGACCTCATGATCCACCCACCTCGGCCTCCCAAAGTGCTAGAGCCACCACGCCTGGAGTTCAGGCGTGAGCCACCGCGCCTGGCCCGAGTCTATTTTCTAAATTGTGTTTACCAGTTACTTGTATGTGATCATGCTCCAAAAATCAACTTGCCTGTGACAAAACACTTGGTTGACAAAATCCTGATTTACACTATAAACTGTTTTCTAAAAGTGCTAGTGTTCAAGAGCATTGCTAAACGAAGACTTTAAAGTACTTCACACATGGTAGATGCTCAATACATATTAAATTACATATATACAATGTATTTGATATTTCTTTTGCTGTCAACCAGTAAAAATTTACTAGAATGCAGCAGCATCATGCATAGAACCCTAGGGGAAAATGACAAAGTAGAAAATATTGCCTCTGTTTTACTGAATTGGCCACAAATTGGGATTAAAAACCCATACTTGGCCAACAATTAAAAAAAAAACAGTTTCTATTTAATTGCATGAATGTATAGCAAAGACTGTGTGCAGAATACGAAAGAAAGGCAGATTTCTTGAGACCTGGAGTGGTCAAATGTGGGTTGGAGGCAGACATGTGGGCAACTGGGGAAATCTCAAGCATAAGGAGTAAGAAAGTGGAGGTACAAGGACAAGAGCTCACACAAAAACCATCCCACACCTTAACCATTCTCAATAAATTTAGGCTAAATGAATTCAATTCAAATAAGAAAAAGACATAATTACTTGTGTTAAATTAAGTTTAGCCTAAAGCTGCCTCCTTACATATTTTAGGTTTGGCTTAAAGGTTTCTCTGTATATTGTGAACTATAAGAAGTGAAGGTGTAAACAGACTGTAGCCTACACTTATGTCAGTTACCAAGTTTTGGCCAATCAAATGTAGCCAACTGTTTGAACCATGTTCAGACAAGGCAAACGTCAACCTGTAACCAATCCAGCTGTTTCTGTACCTCACTTCTGTTTCTGTACGTCACTTTCCTTTTTCTGTCCATAAATCTTTTCCACCATGTGGCTGCGCTGGAATCTCTCAGCTTACTCTGGCTCAGGAGCCTGCCCAGTTCACGAATTGTTCATTGCTCAATTAAACTCCTTTACATTTAATTCAGCTGAAGGTTGTTTGTTTGTTTGTTTTTTTAACACTTTATTAGGAAAGACCTGGAAAGGCTGACTAGTGTACCCTGTTGCCTTCCAATAAGTCATTTCTTAGTCCACTTCTAGGCAAATATAAATTGGAGCTACTGTTAATGACCTGAAGAGGTTGATTTCACACTCACAGCCTCTTTAGATCACCTACCTGTTAACAGGCCTTGCTAATAGAAGAGAGGAAGTATAATATTCTCTCTACTTTTCACAGTTCTTCATGGACTCACAGTAACAAAACAGATGATCAGAAGTTCAATGACATGTATACCTCCTGAATCATAGGAGATAGGGAAATCTCCAAGAATAAATCTCAAAGAAGCGGCTTTGACTTCAGACTATTTAATAAAGAAGTACTATCCTTTGCTGAAATAAAGAAAGAAGGATGTGAGGCAAGGCAGGTTATAGGGAGAAGGCCAGGAAAAGGACAGTAAATGGGTAGGGTTTGTCATGCAGATGTAAGTGGTACCTTCTCCACTGATAAGAGTCTAGTGATTTAGTTGTCCCTGTCTTCCTGGTGAGAGAAGACATTCTGAGAAGTGGAGATTTCCTTTATAGATGTAAATTTATCATACAAAAGGGTAACTTCTACTCTGTTTTCAGAGCTTCCCCTGTGTCTGCAGTTTCTCAGAATAATCCTTAGGCCAAAGAGGAATGTTTTGGGGTGGCATATTCTTGTCTGCTACAGTTATATTTTGGGCTGACAGATCCTAAACTCCATCACTAAGAAGCAAGCTCACCTGTGAAGATAATAGTCTGGTCCTGCTCTCCTCTAAGTCTGCTTAGTTCTTGTTATGTCCTTTGTTGATGTTGAACAGAAATGCTTGGTTATGCTTTTGGTCAGGTGCTCTTTATGTAATTAAATCTCTCCTTGGTTTTCTCTTCTTTGTTTTCAAACCAGTTCTGTCTTCAGGCATTCTTGTCTCCTTTTCTGCTTGGCTTTTTCTTGCTTATTCTGACTATGTGTCAGTGAGAGGCCTAGGTCCTCTCCATTCCCTGAAGGCCTAATGGGGAGTGATGACTTGACTGGGTGGGGACTGCCCTGTCCCTGTGGCACTCTCAGACCACACTGCACAACCCCCGTGGTCACCCAGGAAATGCAGGGGTTTAGGAGAGAAGTCTGGTTTCCAGTGAAGGCTGTCAAGTGAATAGATTATAGCCACATCTTATTAGCAGCTCTGGGAACATCTAGCAAACCACATCATCACAGATCTGAGACAGGAGGGTAACACAGAAAATAAGAACTGTGAAAGGGGAGAAAAATGCCTTCTGTTTCTGTTTCTGTGCCGTGCATCTAGGCCACCGGGAGGTTACTTTTCTTCTCTAATTGGGAATGTTCATTTTCATTCAATTGGCTGTGTAAGGAGAAGAAAGATTCGCTTTCACCACAAGTGGCCACTGATTTCTCACCCTAAGAACTATGTTCTTCACAGCATTCCCCAGCTCAGGATTATGACAATGACTTTCTCTTGTCTCTAGCACCAAGGTGTGGTTCCTGCCTGATTTTCAAGGGCATCCAATAACCCGGCCCAGACTACCCATCCAACCACATTTCCCCAGAATTTTCTGGAGAGTTTCTTTTGTTGTACTAGAGAGATATACTCACCCCCACCAGGATAGGCCAGTGCTGTCCTACTGTTATCCTTCACTAACATGATATAGAAAGGTATCCCTTCTTGTCTCCACTCTACAAAATCCAGTGAATTCTTCTAGGCTCACTTCACCTTTCTCCTGGAATTATAGATTCTCAAGATCAGAAGGGATTGTTAAGGTTATTCAATCCAGCACCTAGCTTATAGCAGGCACTTTATAAATATTTGTGAATGAATTAATGAACCACACTTCTCTGAGAAACTCAAGCTGGTATTCTCTTTTTGATCATATCTACTGAAAATATATCCATGTGTCAAAAGTAGAGGCTACATAGACTCTCCTGAACTACTCACTGTGGAAAAACTTCCGTTCCACTTTTCAAAGAAATAAGATAAGCAATTTGAAGGGTGGTGTTGATTATTATAATTCACCAAGTATGAACACATATAACAATTGTTTCAAATGGTTAGGATTGGCAATGGAGGGGGGCATGGTAGCTCACGCCTGTAATCCCAGCACTTTGGGAGGCCGAGGCCGGTGGATCACGAAGTCAGGAGATCAAGACCATCCTGGCTAACACGGTGAAACCCCATCTCTACTAAAAATACAAAAAATTAGCCGGGTGTGGTGGCGGGTGCCTGTAGTCCCAGCTACTCTACTCGGGAGGCTGAGGCAGGAGAATGGCATGAACCCAGGAGGCAGAGCTTGCAGTGAGCAGAGATCGCACAACTGCACTCCAGCCTCGGCGACACAGCAAGACTCCGTCTCAAAAAAAAAGAAAAAAAAAAAAAAAGAATTGGCAATGGAAAGTACCCTGGCTCAGTGAGGCCCACAGCAATTAATTAAGAATTTTAGACCAGGGAGCTCTCAGTTAAGAGCATTCACTCCTGCTAATTCTTTTTTTTTTTTCTTGTGCTTTTTTTTCTATTTTAACTTTGATTTTAGGTTTAGGGGTACATGTGAAGATTTGTTACATAGGTTAACGTGTTATAGGGGTTTGTTGTACCTATTATTTCACCACCCAGTATTAAGTCCAGTACCCAATAGTTTTTTCTGCTCCTCTCCCTCCTCCTATGGGTAGATAACTACTGGGCCTGATACCTTGGTGATGTTGTTTCCTTCTTCGTATCCATAAGTTATCATTTAGCTCCCACTTATAAGTGAGAACATGTGGTATTTGGTTTCCTCTTCTTGCATTAGTTTGCTAAGCATAACAGCCTCCAGCTCCATCTATGTTCCCACAAAAGACATGCTCTTGTTCTTTTTTTACAGCTGCAAAGTATTCCATGGTGTATATGTACCACATTTTCTTTATCCAATCCGTCATTGATGGGCGTTTAGGTTGATTCCACAACTTTATTATTGTGAATAGTGCTGCAATGAACATTCGCGTGCATGAGTATTTATGGTAGAATGATTTACATTCGTCTGGGTATATACCCAGTAATGCGGTTGCTGGGTCTAATGGTATTTCTGTTTTTAGCTCTTTGAGGAATCGCCACACTGCTTTCCACAATGGTTGAACTAATTACACTCCCACCAACAGTGTGTAAGTGCTCCCTTTTCTCCACAACCTTGCCAGCATCTGCTATTTTTTGACTTTTTATGTAATAGCCATTCTGACTGGTGTGAGATGGTATCTCATTGTGGTTTTGATTTGCATTTCTCTAACGATCAATGATATTTGGCTTTTTTATATGCTTATTGGCCACAGGTATGTCTTCTTTTGAAAAGTGTCTTTTTGTGTCCTTTGCCCACATCTTAATGGGGTTGTTTGTTTTTCTCTTGTAAATTTGTTTAAGTTCCTTACAGATGCTGGATATTAGACCTTTGTCAAATGCATAGTTTGCAAATCTTTTCTCCCATTTTGTAGGTTGTCTGTTTACTCTGTTGATAGTTTCTTTTGCTGTGCAGAAGCTCTTTAGTTTAATTAGATCCCACATATCAATTTTTGCTTTTGTTGCAATTGCTTTTGGTGTCTTTGTCATGAAATCTTTGCCCGTTTCTATGTCCATGATGGTATTGCCTAAACTGGCAGAAAGAGAGCACAGATAGGAAGTAAGGAATGCCCACCAAAGATGTGACTAAATGGAAGTCATTGTGTCTTCTCAAAGGAAAAAGTGGGAACTTACTTACAGAGTTCTTTGTGGACTAAAGGCAACAAGAGGGTACGGTCTTATGTCCTGTAGAGCTTAGTGATCAGTAGTTTCTGGAAAAAGACTTCCTAGGTTCAAATCCTGCCTCTGCCCCTGTGAACAAGCTGCTGTGCCCCAGTTTTCTCCAGTATAGAATGAGGGAAATAACATCACCTTAGAGGATTTTTAGAGAAAAATAAGTGAGATGCTTCAATAAAGCATTAAGCACTGTACTTGCCTCATGGTAACTTTTCAGGAAATGTGAGACAAAAAATTATTTATTTTATAAAGGAAAACAATAGGCTGTAAAAGAAGCAGTTTCTCATTTTCTGAAATACATATATCTTCCTTTTGGCAGGGGCAGGGAGTAAGGTTTAGGAAGAGTATTTTTCCAGAGGGAGATAGTGAGAATGAATTAATGATTTTGTGACTCATGGGGCATGAGGTCATATGACACGGTTTCATGTAGCTTCCCACTGACATAGTTCAGGGCTGCACAAACAGCGTGGAAGGCTTTGGGCATGGGGCCAATGAAAAGTGAGAATGGATCCCTTGGAGGCTGAGGCTAGAGATGCCGGCAGAACACTTGGGCTGGGAATCCTATGGATAGTTGAGAAAAGCGGAACTAGGACAGCCCCTAGGTATGGAAATATGGAGGGAAGAAAGTCAAACTTATTTTTGTTGACTAGTGGCCCAAATACCTGAGGTGGAGTGTTTCTCAGTGACCACAGGATTGGCTCAGAGTAAATAGTTGATGGGGCAAGGGAATGTAAGTTGAAGAGAGGTGTTGTTGGAATGCAGGAGCAATCACATGGGCTTAAGGGCCTGAGCAGCTTTCATATTGCTCTTCTATTGAGGTTCAAAGATGGAGGGCTGGAGAGGAGGGCCAGTATAGGCAGAAATTGCCTCCCCCATTTTATAGAATGTGTTCCTCTTGGAGTATGCTCTGGGCAGTTCCAGGAGTTCTGAGCAAGGCATACATGGCTAAGTTCATGTTTAGTTACTCACATTCTGAAGTCACTGACACCTATCAGACCATCTTGTCCTTGAGGAAAGACTACTTTGCAAGCTCTGCCTGTGCCTTTCTGTGGGAAGCCAGAAGAGCAACGGGTGTCATTGTTGGCTCCATGAGAGAGGTCATTTTGCTTGGTGAGAGATTATAGGCAAAAATAGAAGCCCCAATGTAGTCTCCTGGGCAAATGACTTATTCATGGGTTCTAAATTATTGAGGTCATTGAAGAGAGTGCTATTTTTAACCTTTGAGAAAGGAAAGAACGGGGTGAACTGGGCTTTAGGGAGGACTGTGTCTTCATAGGGCAAAAGGCAATGGTGTAAACAGGCGCTGAAAAGAAAGGTAGGGGTCGGTGCATGCACCCTGAGAGGGGCATGTGCTCAGTGCATGACCCTCAGAAGTCTTCTGTGTATAGATGGGTATGCCTCATTTGCAACCAGCCAGCCACAAGGAAGGAGACTTAGAGAGCTGAATTGGCAATATAGGCAGATGTCTTAGCTAGAGCCATTTTTCAGAGAGCCAGGGAGAACTCTGTGCCACAAAATGCTATTCCTACATTTTGTATTCCTTCAGAGCTTAAAGGCTTTGTTTTTCTCCTGAAATGTAAATGTTCCCTAGGAGATTCCACACATTGATGGTTTATCAGTGGCCACCTCAATTATTGGTGAACACCTTTGCAGGAAAATGAATCAATAGTTGATTGAGAGCAAAAATGGGGTGTAGAATAATGCTTAGGGTGGGAGTAATGGAGGAGAGTTCCAGTGGATGAAGCGCCTGGGCTGTAAGAATGTAGGAATGAAGACCCTGAGAAAGTAGAGAAAAATTAACAATGGAAAACTTATGTTTGTGTTGGGCTCAGAATATGATACTCCAAAGCATGGCGCTTTGGTGTGCTGAGTACTTTGAACTGAAGAAAATTGGAAAGGCCTCAGAACCAAGGTCTTTCCCATCTTCTCCCATCCTCCTGTCTCCTGCTTCTCTTTCTTCCCCAAAGTGAGTCATAGAAGCCACACTTCCCCTTCCCCAAGGTGGGTCATAGAAACTAGAACTCCTCTTTCTCAAAGCCACCCGTAAAACCTAGAAAGGTCATTCTCTCCCTTCTCCCTTGAAGACCCTCATTCCAGAGGGACCCCTTCCTAGGAGGAAGAAACGCTACACAGAGAGGTCAAGAAGAAGCTGAACAGACAGGTCTTGCTTGCTTTCCCCCTCAGTCTGTTGCTCTCGGATTATACCCTTTCTGTCCAATCACATTTTTATACAGCTGTCCATTCTTCATCAAACCCAAGCATAAAAAAGAAAGTTCTTCCTGGCTTTTGGGTCTTCATTTCTCAAGGCTCCTATGTCGTGTAAAACTTTGGTTAAATAAATGTATTATGATTTTCTCTAGTTAACCTGTATTTTTTTATAAGAATATTGGCCATGACCCTTATGATGGGTTAGGAATAGTATCATAATTTCCTGTTCCTACATTTGAAAACACAATATTTCTACTGCACTATTTCTGACCTCCTTAAAGGAATTCTAGATTATTTCCTTTTCAATCCATTTTGTAATCCCTTATAACAACTTCTCACCCAGATCTGATCCATAAGTATTTATAAATAGCCTATACTTTGTATATGGGTTTGCTGGTTCTTTCATTTAATATTCTTTAATTCTTCTTCCTTGGTGGCTTCTGCCCATTTAGCATTCTTTTAAACTTCCCAGTGTTTAAGTCTCATTGCTCAAAGTGGGAAATCCCTAAACTTGTGAGGCGGAGCTTACTTCCCACTATAGAAGCTCCCTTGTAGCTATGAGTAAGCCCTAACCTACTCCACCCCAGACATAAGCCTCCACCTCAGATGAGTCTCCACCCAACCCAGCCACGAAATTAGAGGCTGGTGACCCAAGAAAGCAGGGAGGCTGCTGGATCCTTGCTGGGGAGAATGGAGGCAGCTACCTCCAGTTTCTATTGGCAACATTCTGAGTCCCACATCATGGCATCAGCAAAATGCAGCATCTATGGTATCTGTGCCATTTGTGCCTGTGGTGTCTTCATGGCACCAGCTCTGTGGTCTGCCCATCTCTTCCTCCTAGACATTTTATGAGCTAGCCAATATCCTCTTAACAAAATCCAATTCTGCTTAAATTGAAAAGGGTTTGTATCTATTATGAGTCACTTAGTGTTCTAATGGTTTACTTAATTTTACACATACCTTTTTCTATGTCACAGCACTTTACAAATATTAATCATTTCATTCAGCTCAGATGCCAAGTCTCTGGAGTAGAAAATATTATCCCCATTTTATACAAACGGAAACCAAGGTCCAGAGAGGATACTTAGTTTGCCTTAGATAACTCAGTTGGTAAGTGCAGAACTGGTATTCAAATCCAGGCTGTCCATGCTCTTAACCATTCTTTTCCCCTGATCCCCAGAGAGATCTTTCCCCATTATCTTCTCTTGCAAATCCCCTCTCCCCACCACTTCTCTCTGCCTTCATGCTTGGGCATTCCCTATCCTGTAATGAAAGAAAGAAAGAGAGACAGAGAGAGAAAGAAAAGAAAGAAAGAGAAAGAAAGAAAGAAAGAAAGAAAGAAAGAAAGAAAGAAAGAAAGGCAAATTTCATGCAGAGTAACAAAGGTAGGAATGACAATTGATTTCTTTTCAATAACAACACAAGTGAGAAAACAGTGGAGCAACATCATTTAAGAAATGAAAGTAGAAAGCTCTCAACCTAGACTTCTACACCCAGTGAAAATATTCTTTGAAAATGAAAGTAAAATAAAGGTCTTTTAAGACACATAAAAGCTGAAGATAATTATTACCAGCAGACCTGTCTATAAGAAATGTAATGAAAGTCCACTGTATTAGTCTGTTCTCACGCTGCTAATAAAGACATACCCGAGACTGGGTAATTCATAAAGGAAAGAAGTTTAATAGACTCACAGTTCCACATGGCTGGGGAGGCCTCACAATCATGGCAGAAGGCAAGGGAGGGGCAGAGGCGTGTCTTACATGGCAGCAGGCAAGAGAGCCTGTGCAGGGGAACTGACCTTTATAAAACCATCAGACCTTGTGAGACTTATTCACTATCATGAGACCAACACAGGTAAAACCCATTCCCATGATTCAATTACCTCCTACCAGGTCCCTCCCATGACATGTGGGGTTTATGGGAGCTACAATCCAAGATGAGATTTGGGTGGAGACACAGCCAAACCATATCATCCATCGAGTAGAAGAAAAATGCTACCTAATGGAAATATGAAAATACACAAAGAAATGAATAGCACTGGAAAAGATAACTAACTACATATGTAAATACGTAAGATTTGTTTCTTATCATTTAAATCTTTAAAAAGATAATCATACTGGTTTGCTAGGGCTGCCAACAAAATACCACAGTCTGGGTGGCTTAAACAACAGCAATTTATTTTCTCACAATTCTAGAGGATAGAAGTCCAAGATGAAGGTGTCAGCAGGTTTAGTTTCTTTGGAGGCCTCTCTGCTTACAGACAGCCACCTTCTTGCTGTTTCCTGTGTATGTACGCATCCCTAGTGTCTCTGTATCCAAATTTTTTCTTCATATAAGGACATCAGTCCAACTGGATTAGGACCCACTTTAATGGTCTTGTTTTATTTTAATCACTTCTTTAAAGACTCTTTCTCTAGATACATTCTGAGGTACTCGGGATTAGGGCTTCAGCAAATACATTTTTTATGGGGAAGGAGGTACACAATTCAGTTTATAACAATAATTAAATGTTTAAACACAATAATAACTATGTAGTATGGAGTTTAAAAAATATAAAGAAGAAAAATCTATGATAAAATTGCACCAGGGCCTGGAAGAAAAAAAGTATATACTTGAAAGGGTCTTATACTTCATATAATACCACATGAAGGTAGGCTATGATAAGATGCATACTATAAAATCTAAAGCAACCTCTAAAACAAACAAAACATTGTAGCTATTAAGTCAACCAAAGATATAAATGGTGCCATAAAACTACTCAACTACTCCAAACTAAAGCAAATAAAAAGGAAAACAGGAAATAAATTACAGACAGGACAAATAAAAAATAGCAAGGTAGGAGATTTAAATCTAATCATATGAATAATCACATTAAATATAAATGATCTAAGCACCCGAATTAAGAGGCAGAGACTGTCAAATTGAATAAAAGAAGCAAGATCTAACTTGCTCCCTATAAGAAACTTAGATTAAATAAAAACACACAAATAAGCTAAAAGTAAAAGACGGGAAAAATATACTATGCTTCTCTCTATTAAAAAAAATCTGGAAGGGTCATATTAATATCAAACAGAGTAGATTTCAGATTCAGATTTCAGAGACAAGATTATTTTATAATTTTAAAAGAATCACTTAATCAAGAGGACATCACAGTCCTAAATGTTTATGTACGTTAATAATAATGCTTCAAAAGACAGGAAACAAAAAATTTGATAAAATTTCAAGGAGGAATAGATAAATTCACAATTATGTTTGTGGATGCTAAAGAAACTCCGTCTTGAAGAGTAAACCACTATGTTGGGTTCTGATTAACCCGTTCCAGGAAGGGCTCTAAGACTTCCGGTTAATCTATTGTTCCTGTGTAACAGCAGGTACTTACCATAAATCCTGCCTTTATGTCAAGTAACCTTGATGCTATCATACTTCAATTGTCCTACACATCCCTTCTGAACCACTCCTGGTATATAAGTCCTGGGTCTGGGAGGTCTTGGTTCAGGGATCCACCATCTTGTTTTGTTGCCACCCTAGACACAGACATGGCTTCTGTTCTTAATTCCTTATTAAATATGACTTTCTTTTCTTTTTTTCTTTTCTTTTTTTTTTCTCAGACAGAGTCTCACTCTGTCTCCCAGGCTGGAGTGCAATGGCGCGATCTCGGCTCACTACAAGCTCTGCCTTCTGGGTTCACGCCATTCTCCTGCCTCAGCCTCCCAAGTAGCTGGGACTACAGGCACTCACCACCACGCCCGGCTAATTTTTTTTGTATTTTTTTTTTTTTAGTAGAGACGGGGTTTCACCGTGTTAGCCAGGATGGTCTCTATCTCCTGACCTCGTGATCCGCCTGCCTCGGCCTCCCAAAGTGCTGGGATTAAAGGCGCGAGCCACCGCGCCCGGCCTTAAATATGTGTTTCTAAGAAACTGCGTTCCTTAGCCTCTTTCTTCAGCCTTTTTGCTTCCTAGATCTGTGCAAACCTGCCTTCTGTGAAAGTATAGCCCTCTCTCAATTACTGATAGAATAAGTAGACAGAAAATCAGTAAAGATATAGAAATTTTAAACAACACTATTAACATCTTTACCTAATTGATATTAATAGAATATGCCAACCACCTAATAATAGTGCATATTCTGAGATATAAAGCAAGTCTTAATAAATTTAAAATGGCTCAAACCATACGAAGTATGTTGTGAACACAAAGAAATTAGTATCAGAAAGATCTCTGGAAAATCCCCAAATATTCGAGAAATAAATATGTAGTTCTGAGTAACTCACAGGTTAAAGAAGACATCAAAAGGGAAATTCAAAAGTATTTTTAATTGGGTGAAAATGAAAACACAGCATATAAAAATTTGTAGGATGTCCCTAAAAATAAAACTCAGGGGAAAACACAACTCTGAAAAGAAGAAATGTGTTAAATCAATGCCCCCAGTTTCCACCTTAAGAAAATAGAAAATAGAGGGCAAATTACACCCGAAGTAGATTGAAGTACAGATATAATAAAAAATTAAAGTAGAAATTAATGGAATATAAAATAACCAAAAAATTAATAGCAAAATTTAATAAAACCAAAAGTGATTCTTTGAGATATCAGAATAGATAAACCTCTACTCAGACTTATTAGGGAAATAAAGGAGACAGGAAGGAAGAAAGAGGGTGGTGGCAGGGAGGGAGAATTGTGTGTGTGTGTGTGTGTGTGTGTGTGTGTACGAGTGTGTGTATGTATGTGTGTGAGAATCCTTGGAAGACAAGTTGTATCTACCTGGACTGAACCATTTATCCATCCACTCGTTCATCCAATTGATCAACAATTTTATTCTAAGAATATATCATGTACCAATCTCTGTTCCAGATGCAGAGACAGTCACGGAACAAGATATATGAGATCATTTCTCTCACAGAGCTTATGTTTTAATAGAGGGTAGGGATAGTGGTTGGAAAAATTAGAGAAAAATATAATCAAATAAAACAGACAACATTTAAGTGGGGACTTGAACAACAAAGAGTCAATCATGTAAAGATTTGGGGAAAAGCATGTCAGGCAAGGGAATAATCAGTACAAAGGCCCTAAGGTGAAAATAAGCTTGACAAGAAAAATGGCCAGCATCACTGAAGTATAGTAAATAAAGTGACTGGAAGTATGACTGCAACTATGTTGTAATCATTCCCAAAATTGGATGGAAAGAAAGGCAAGGGCAAGAGCAGGAAGGGTTTTATAAGCCAGGGTAAGAAGTTTGAGTTTCATTTCAAGCATGATAAGAAGTCATTAGAAAGTTTTAGATGAGGGGAAAAGCGTGACCTTGTTAAAATTCTGAAAATACACTGGAAAATGGAAAATGAGTTTTAGTGGGGGAAGAATAGAAGCTGGAAAACCAGTCCAGGTGAGAGATGATGTGGCTTGGAGTAAGGTGGTAGCACCAGATGGAGAGGAGAGAAGTAGACATATTCACGATGTGTACTGGAAGTACTTACATATCTCTATGATGTATTCTTGTTAATCAGAAACATTTCATTGCTCTGCTCTATATGTCTTATATTCATCTGACCACAGAGGCTGGGACACAGACTTAGAATAACATATGTGAAATCTCAGCTCTCAATGTCAAGGTTCTACCTATAGAATTGATCTGTATATACAAAAAGAAAATTTCAATAAGTTTCCTTGGCAGCATTCTTTTAAAAATCCATTATACAACCTCCAAAAGGGCATCTGCAGGCAGTTCCATATGGACAGTCATGGCAGTGCAATAGAATCCTTTTAGCACTGCTGTTGGGCAGGGTGATCGTGTCATATTTCACTTTCACTAACTGGCTTTTCACTTAGGGACCCAAATCTTGGAAAACAACAACAACAACAACAACAACAACAACAACAACAACAACAACAACACTAGAGATGCTAAAGCTAGCTATAATCTGGCCCCATCCTACTTCTCCATATTATTTCCTACTATTCCACAGCATACTTCTCCCCATCTAATTCAGTTGTCCTCTTTACTGTCCCATCAATACATTGAACTCCTAGTAATAGCTTATGAGGAGTAAAACTTATAATAACATGAGTTTCAAAACAAATGATAAAGATTATCACTTAATGAATATTTATTGTATGCCAGCCACTGTTCTTAGCACTTTACCTGCATTACCTTGTTCATTCTTTAAAACGATGCTATGGTGTAAGTACTAATATTATTTCTCATTTCCAGGTGAGGAAACTGAGCTTTGCTAAGTTGAATAAACTGCTCTGGGTAACAAAATTGGTGGTAGTCCAGGAATTCTAACTCAGATCTGTCTCCAAAGACCAAGCTTTTCACCATATTGTAGTGATTCTTACCACGCCTTTCCCCATTTTTTTTTTTTTTTTTTTTTTTTTGAGACAGAGTCTCTGTTGCCCAGGCTGGAGTGCAGTGGCACGATCTTGGCTCACTGCAATCTCGACCTCCAGGGTTCAAGTGATTCTCCTGCCTCAGCCTCCTGAGTAGCTGGGATTACAGGTGCACACCACCACATCCAGCCAATTTTTGTACTTTTAGTACAGACTGGGTTTCGCCATGATGGCCAGGCTGGTCTCGAACTCCTGACCTCAGGTGATCCACCCACCTTGGCCTCCCAAAGTGCTGGGATTATAAATGTTAGCCACTTGGACTGGCCCCCATATTTTTTCTGCATATGAATTGTTATTCCCTTTTTTCTCAAACCTCACTCATTCTTTATGACCTGAACCAAATCACACTCCTTCCATGAGCCTTCTCTGGTGACTCTGGCCTTGCTGATCAAACTTTCATCTGAAATCCTGTTAAATTCAGAGACTACGTTACTACTCAGTAGAAAAACAGACATGTATAACCTATATTGTATTTGTCTTCGTTTCCTGTGAGTTAGCCTCATCTCCCAAACAGGACTTGAGCTACCCGCAAACTGGTAGGCTATAGCCATTCCTTGATCCCACCAAGTCATGACAATATCTGGAGAAAGGAAAGGGGCCACCTCTTTCTGTGCCTCTTTTCTAGAAATGAGGAAACTTCTTTTGTAACTCCTCCAATGGACTTTACCTCACACCTTATTAGCCAGAATTGAGTTAAATGGCCTTTCTCAAATCATACAAGGGAACTGGAATTACCATGGTGGGCTGCAGAACTGGGGGTTAGGTCATCTTCCAAGTCATCAATGGTGATGATGAAGCAGGTGAGATCTTCAAGCATTAAAAAAAAAAAAAAGGAAGAAGGGGGAACAAAGGTTGTGTAAACAGCCAGTGTTCTGGAAGTTCTTGTGCAGGCTTGTAAGTGCCTGTTGTTAAATTCAGAAATTTTTAATGCTGGTAGATAAACATAGTCATCATCAAAACTTAAATTAGGCTAGGCGCAGTGGCCCACACCTGTAATCCCAGCACTTTGGAAGGCCGAGGTGGACAGATTGCTTGAGCCTAAGGAGTTTGAAACCAGCCTGGGCAATATAGTGAGACTTCATCTCCATGAAAATTTGCAAATTGGCCAAGTATGCGCCACTGCACTCCAGCCAGGGTGACAGAGCTGAGACCCTGTCTCAAAAATACAAAAAAAAAAGAAAATTTAAATTGTATTAAATACTTACAATAAAGTATGCTAAAGATAACACTCAAAAGTCATCACTTTCTAATGATTTTTACACATACTATTATCTATGCTCTTGATGCTATTTATGGTTGTGTATATGTGTTGGAAAATACTATAGAATAGTCAGCTATTGCACATCTCTTCCAACTCTGTGTTCAGTGACATCACATTGGCCTTTTTTTTTTTTTTTTTTTTTTTTGAGATGGAGTCTCGCTCTATTGGAAGGCTGAAGTGCAGTGGTGCGATCTCAGCTCACCGCAACCTTCGCCTCCCAGATTCAAGCAATTCTCCTGTCTACATTGGCCTTTTGAAAAAGTTATAGTGCAAATATTTACACCATGGAAATGGTCAGATAATACAAATCATGGCCTGCTTTATTGTTTTGCTGATTGTCTAGATTTAAGGTATTGATAGAGAAAATGTTACTAATGCAGATTAAAATATGTAAGTATATTGTGCCTGTAGCCATTAAATTGTGAATGGCACAAAAATTATTCTTCCAGTTTTCAAAAGTCATTATCTGAACCAGCAATGGCTCACATTATTGACAAATGAGTGAAGGTTTGACATAAGTCTTCCTTATTTAACTTTCATAGTATTTAATAACATAAATAAAAATATTGACCAACATTCAGATCAGAACCACACTCATTTGTTTACTGCCACAGAATGGTTATGGATACAAGCGTTCAGAAAAAAATCAACAAAAGCATTCTGTAGAGTCAATTGGCTTTATGGAATTTATAATAAAAAGTATTGTACACTTTATTATTCATAAATTATATGTTGCATGTCCTTTGTATCAGTTAAATTCATATCTTATATATAAATGCTAATATATATTAGTATATATACCATATATGGCATATAAAATTATATATACATATATATGTATATATGTGTAATATATACTTTTTTCCCCAGTGAGCCAGGTATTAAACATTTACCAGCACCACACTGAGACTACCAATATATTTACTACATCTTTGTAGTAATTTAAGTTAATTTTGTTTGGATGTCCTTTAGAAAATATAGTGATCTGATTTTAGATTTCCTTAATAAGTTAAAAGGTAGATTCAAAATGGTGTACCAAGTTTATTTATGTGGGGGCAGGGATCTGAATGGACAACTTTGCTTTGGTTTAATTCACTGGAGACTTCGGAAAATCAGTGAGGTTTATTTTACTAAATCATGAGGTTTATTCAAGTCTGTAGCTTGAATCAATTCAAGTTCTTGGTAGTAATAATAAGCTACACTGATAAAGGGATTTACCACAATCACATTGTTTTCTTTGATCACGATGAATCATCCTGGGTATGGCACATCTGAACATGTTGATCCCCGATGAGAGGTGAGTGTTCAATGAGGAATGTGCCCAGTTCTGAGCTCACCCTAAGGGAAATGAGAAATTTCATTCGTAGACTGTTTCTGCTTCCTTTTTGACTCGCTTTCCCCTGGAGAACAAATACACATTCACCTGCTGTTCCATACCTTTATCATCTTACCCAGTGGTAGGAGGAGAGATCAGCTTTTGGCCCCTGGGAATGCATGTTAAAATTTTATTCTCTTCCCCGGCCAGACATGATTTGGGCATGAGCTCTCCTTGGGTAATTGGCCCTCTGGGCTTTATTTTTGAATGATGGTTTCTTTTCTCAGTAAATGTGATACGTGTTGAAATGGGGAATAAAAAGAATAAAATGGGGAATGAAAATCAGTCAGTATGACTTTCTCCATAATCTTATTTCTCTTTATTGCTTATCACAATAATGCTTCTCTTCTAGTTCTCAACATGGTTAAACAAATCTTGACATTTCATCTATGGTTATTTTTATGATAGTTATTGTTATATTGATGATAATTATTAATACAAGGGTAGTAACAGTTATTTATTGATCCTCTGCTATGCATCAAGCACTAGACCAAATACTTATAACTTCTCTAACCCCCAGAACAACTATGCTGATAATCATTTTCTCTTTAAAAAGAAGAAAATTAAAATCCAAAGATATTTAATAACCAAGGTTTTAACCAAAGCCTGTCTGACTCCAAAACTCCCATTTTTTCCACTGTAGTAGGATTTTTCTCTTCCATCAATAACTCATTAGGACTGAATCCTGTTGGAGGAACATGTTGAATGATGAGAAATTGCAAAAGTTGCGTTTGAGTCATATTAGCCAAGAATCCATATTGGGACCTTCTTACTTTAAGCTTGACCCTTTGCTAATGAATTCCTTAATGGCATTGATAATCAATGTGCTTTTGGTGTCCTCACCAAGATCAGGCAGAGCCAGGGCAATAAGTGTTCAGAGAAACTTCATGAAAACCCAGTGACTATCTGAGCACACAAGGACACAGAACCTTCTGTTTCATTGACTGCTGGTATTTGAGGTTCAGAAAGTATGCTGGCTTCAAACTTATAAAATATCCCATAGGTTTTCGTGTGTAGGTGGCATCCTGTAGATATCCAGCAGTACTAGAAATGAAATGTGCCCTATGTGATGTGGATATATGTTGTTTTCCTGGTGGAATCCCAGCCTTAGGGCCAGAAAAGGGGTGCATTCGGTGTAAGACCAACCAGGTAAGGAGCAAGTAGCCCTTCAACAAAACAATCCTTTACTGTTACATAACATCTTTGTTCTAAATCTCTTCATCATGCAGTCAGAAGAAATGAAAAGGACTAACACCTGGGCACAGGACTACTGCAACTCCTGACATACACAACTAAGTGGCATTACCCCTAGAGAGAGGGAAGCTATTGCTGGCATCCTTTTACTTCCATAACTTGCTTCTAAATATCAAAATCAAACACTTATGAAGAAATGCTTTTTGTCACAATTGAGATGCTCCTCAGAGATGTCTCATCCAAGAGGCATCTCTCCAGTCCCTTTATCAGGCTATTGAAATGATCAATAAGGGTAGCCTTAAAATAACAGAAATATCCTAACAGGCAACAAAGCCTAAGGCAGGGTGTCAAGATGTTTTCCTCATGTACCTACCAAAAGAATGATGAAAAACTGTATGCCCCTGATCCCTGTAACTTATTTTTCTTTTCTTTTCTTTTTTTTTCAGCAGTCCTCCTACCTCAGCCTCCTGAGCAGCTAGGTCTACAGGCATGCACCACCATGCCTGGCTAATTTTTTTTTTTTTTTTTTTTTGAGATTGAGGATCTTCCTATGCTGCCCAGGCTAGTGTCAACTCCTGGGCTCAAGCGATCCGCCTGCCTGGCCTCCCAAAATGCTGGGATTACAGTCCTGAGCCACCAAGCCTGGCCTCCTATAACTTTTAAATTTACAAGTTTGAACGCACCTTTCCAGTTGCAAAGCATGTGGTTTCCGTCATACCGCATATGGTGCATGTGCTTTCAAGATCTTTTCATCAAAACCTAGAAGCTAAAGATTAAGTACATTCAATGTACTGAAAATATCCACCATATAATCTAATTGACAAACCAAATCTTCACTGTCAAACTAATATGGAAATCAGGACTATTTTATGTCAGAGTAAAAGTAGTTTAAAAAATTCAAATAAATTATTGAATATACATTTCTTCTTGACAATCTTCTCCGTCTGTTTCCCAATTGTGAGAAAGAGAAAGAATTCGAGAGAAAACGGTGTGCCACCAGGATGGCGTGAAGCTGCCACCTTCTTCAATATTCCTCAGCCAGCCTTTCTTGGCTTTCTTTCAGGCTCTATCTCAGGAATGATGTGTTTCTTGTTTGAATCTGTTTTTGCTCCCTAGAGCAATGGGCCTTGCTAGGGTTGACAATGGTTAGCTGTGTGCCTTTCTTTTTACAGTGGGAGAAGGTCTGTGGTGGAAGTGGAGATGCAAAAGGAGATCCTGCAACAGCAGAGGGGTTCTTGGGCAGAGCACTTTTCCTCAGTTCTTCTTCCCTTCTTTCCTTTTTCCTTCTTCCCTTCCTCAGCTGATAGGAGAAAGAGGATTACCTCTTCCTCTCCTTCACTACTTGATGCTCCTACAGGCATTAAAAACCCTCCCCCAACAAAAAGGGAAGAAGTCGTTCCCTATCTGCCATACTTAGGCTGACATACAGATTTCCTCCTTGCATTGAGGCATGATGCAGGTGAATTTACCGTCAAGCTCATGAAGCAGAAGTGTCAGAGCCCCTCACTTTCATAGCCTCTTCCAAGGTCTAAACACTTCTTCCAGAAGATGTGTTTACAATGCTATATATTTTTGAAAATTTTTCAATGAAAGGTATTTTGGTATTCTCTTACTTAAAGAGGACTCCTCTCCCAAATTGTGTAAGCTTCCCATCCCTTTAGGGTTTCCAGATTTAGCAAATAAATATTCAAGATGCCTTGTTAAATTTAAATTTCAGATAAATAATAATTTTTTATTATTCCAAATATTACTTGGGACATACTTTACTTTTAAAAAATATTAATTAGACAACAAAGAATTCTTCATTACTGCAAATATTGCATGGGACATACTTACACACAAAAATTTATTTGCTGTTAATCTGAAATTTAAATGTAACTGAGAATCCTGGAGTTTGTCTATCAGCAGCCCTCTACCCATCCAAACCAGGATTCTCCCTGTTTAGACACTGAATAGCAAGGTAAGCCTTGCTGATCCTGAGCCAGATAAAGATGTCTTTGAATTTCATATTACAAACTCTTCTAAGACTGTAATTTGAGACTTGGAAACATCCCTGCTGACTGATCTTATGCAACCTTATTTTTGGCATATTTTTGCTGCAGAAACACAGATCAAAATAATTTCCCAGCTTTGTAGGAAAATGAGAAACTCTGCTTGTTCTCTAGTGAGAGATAAGTGAACTGTGAAATGTCACTGTTGTGCTTCGTGTTGGGGTCTGGCATGGGACATGTGTTTTTGGAAAGGAGGCACAGTAAATGGCTTCAGACAAGTAACATCTAGTGAGGAAGGAGAGCATGGTGGCCCAAGGGGATATTGGTTGAGATAGGAGATACTACATACTTAGTGTTTCTCAAATGTTTTGGGCCCCAACCTACAGCAAGAAATAATTTTCCACAGTGACCCAATACACACATCTGTATACATGTGATTGAAAGAAAAGTTTCATTAAACGTTTACCATTACTTCACATACAATTACTATATGTAATGCCCACTGCTTTTTCTATTCTCTTTCATTAAAAACAAAAGAATTGATTGCACTCAATTGATTTCACATCCAAGTAGCACATGATTATTGGTTTAAAAAACACTGCACTAGAGGAGCACTACTTGAAGTAACTTGTCAGGGAACTGGCTAAGGTGGTCTCCAATAGAAAAGGAGCTTGCATCATGATGAAAATTCATGAGCTGCTTCCTTCATCGAGGAAAATCTTGCTCTGAAAACAATCTCAGCTAAACAGCATGCTTAGTGACATAGCTGATTTATGTTCTGGTGTCAGTTCTTTATCCTGTCAGGATGGGTAACAAACAGTTTGCAGGTGGGCACCAGTCCTCAGATGACCCTTTGAGAAGCAGTGTGCACTGCAGCACGTCACAGAAGAGATGAGACAAACCCGTAGAGTGAGGGTCCGAGCAGTACAAAAGAGCAAATGATGAGTGACGCTTGTAATGCCCAAGAAGACTCATTGCTGAGACCCAGGGGCCTGCTTTGGAGAAGCTATAGACACATTTCCAGGGGTCCTACATTACTTGAGAAGGAAGTTCCTCTCAGACAACCTGCACAACAACAGAAATTTAATTCCTGCACACAGAGGAAAGGATCAGTGAAAATATGAAGATTTGATGGCGAAGAATTAAATTGATTACTCTTACCCCGAAAAAAGTAAACTCTGTCTCTCACTCTCTGTAATGTCTATGTCAAACCCTCTCCTTTCTCCTCAAATCGTCAGTTCCTTCATCTGGTCTTCTCACTCCAACTTAATGACCTCGACTTGCACTTCACAGAGAGAACAGAAGCCATCAGAAGGGAGTTCCTTCATCTTTTCTTTACCAAACCTACCAGTCTATCAGCGCTACTCTCAACCTCCCTTCCCAACGTATATACTGTGTGTTGACAAGGGGAATGATGAAAACCTCCATTACCCCAACAATGGGGGCATACACTCCCTTATATTTTGTATGCAAACTCTGGATTATATTGCTATGTTCAATGGCAAGGGAAAAGACAAGCAAGCAACACTTAAAAAATAGGTCCATTTTGGCTGCTAAACAGCCTTATTCTGATTGCACTCTAAATCTCTGCATGTGAGAAGAAATTCAGAACACGAAATCGCAAGGCCCTATCTCTCTTTAAGTACATAAATATTTTAGCCACTCCTCAAAAGTTGTCTCTATATCATATTGGTTGGTAGAAAACTATCAAATGCTAATCCTCTCATTTGTGATCAGATCCTATTCCGCCTGATGTTTCAGGCACTTAACCCTTCAGGTCTTTCTCTCCCACATCATCAATCATTCCCTCTCTACCAGAGCCTTTCCCAAGCATTCTAATATGCTGAGGTATGTCCATCTTTTTAAAAAATGCCTTTGTTTATTCCACATCCCCTCCTGTTACTGCACCCTCTATTCTTCACAGATTAGTTTCTCTAAAGAGTTGCCATCTTCATTGTATTAGCCTGCCTTCAGCACCCACCACTGTGCCCAAAACACACTTGTTACAAAAGTCACCAATGACTTCCACACTGCCAGCTCCAATGGAGGTTTTTTTCGATTCTCATGTTCCTCAATTTTTAGCTGCTTTAGACACAGTTGCTCACCCCCTTATCCTTGAGACACTCTTTGATCTTGGCTTCCCTGGATAATACACCTACACTTTGACTGTTCCTCCAATCTTTCCACCATTGCTCCTTTAGCTTCTTGACTGGCTTACCATCCTCTAACTGATCTTTACCTGTTTGGAGATCATCTCCCTCCCATCAAGAAAAAGATACCCCCTTAGTATTCCCCACCCAAGTAAATGGCAACTCTATCCACATGGTAGCTCCCTAAGCAAGTTCACTTTACTCTGTCTGCATTGCTATCACTTAAGGCCAAGCCACTATCATCGTTCTCCTCTACTCTGAAAGTTTTCTTGTAGCTCTCCCTGTTTCCACTTTTGCCGCCTACTTCCACCCCACCCATTAATTCATATAGCAACCATAGTCATATTTCTAAAACATTATTCACATTTTATCACTTCCTTCTTCAAAAATAACAAATCATTTCCCATAGAACTTATAACAGAATGCAAGCTCATGAACATGGTCTCCTAGGCCCTGTGTGATCAGCCCCTGCCCACCTCTCCAGCCTTCTCTCCTTCCATTCTGTCTTTCACCCACTGCTCTCCCACCACACTGCCCTGCTTTTAATTTGTTTTAGGTTAAGATCCTTCCTGCCTCAGATTCTTTGTACACCCTGTCCACACTTCTGGGATTGCCTCCCTTCCACTTCACCTGCATAACTCCTGCTCATCTGTCCTTCCAGTGGCAGTTGAAATGTTAATTCTTTAGGGAAGGCTACACCAAATATTCCACTCCCACTTCATCAATCTAACTCAATCACCTTTGATGGATGGAGAAGAACTCTGTTAGCATGCTGAAATTTCTTCATAATGAATACTACAATTTATAATTACATAATTTCCTCTGTGGTTTTTGTTTGTTTGCTTGCTTGCTTAATATCTGTTTTTCCCATTTAACTTCAAATCCCATAAGGCTAGTGCCTGGACCAGAATTGGCAGCATTAGTAAATGCTCCGCAACTTTTAAATGAGTGAATGAGAAATATGTTCACTAATTGTTTAAATTATATGCTAAATATTGAAAAACGGTCTCTTTTTCAACATGAAGCTTGCTGACAAATACACTTCACACAATTATGTGTGCACAATGGGCTAAACACCTGTTTATTAATGTCTACCAGTTGTGTGCCAGAGTGGGCTTGTATAAGCTTGATAGAGTCAATTCTGGGCATCTCTTACAATTTAATGTTCAAAGATATCATGTTGGTAGCAAATATTACAAATCAGGGCTTTTCTTTTCCTTTGGAGAGTTTGTTTACCGGCACACTATTTGTGTCTACTATATACCAATGCCATGTTAAGTATAATGGAGCCACTGTAAAAAATAAGTCATATTCCCCGTCCAGGGGAAGTTTCCAGTCTAGTTTAGGAAACATGATATACATCAGGAATCAGGGAGCATTAGGGTATAGCTGTGCAGTGTGAATACATCCATGATCAGAAAAGGACAAGATCGTTATAGGCTGGATTAGGTACCAGTGGACATTCAGAGAGTGAAACCAACTCTGAGACTGGTGTATGGAGAAGATCTATTCTGCAGCTAGAAAGGACCACAGAGGGCAATCTTGATGGAGGAGCAGCAAGGACCTGGGGCCACTCATGAGTTAGAGTAACTGTAGTTACAATGGAAGTGGGAAGAAGGAGGGGAAAGTGTCTTAGTTGTAAAGAGTTGCTCTTGACTTGCTCTTCTTCAATGTAATTTTGGTAAATTGAATCATATTTTTTAAATGAAGAAACTGGAAATCAGAATTCTTAAGGTGAATCCTATTTGAAAAAGATGGTGTTTAAAGGGTAATCTTCCTCTGTTTTTCAGATTTAAGTTTTCTTGAATAACTTCATGGAAGCCATGTACATCTCTACTACATCCTCTCAGGCACATCGCTACCTGTTGGATGCCCTGGCAAGTTAAAGACTTCCCTTATCTCTGACCCTCTGTCTCTATATTTGTGAAATAAAGTGGTCCAACTTGATCATCTCTAAGGTGCTTTAGAGCTCAGAAAAATCGCATGGTTCTTAATGGTTAGACATGTGAACAATATTTCTAAGTGTGTCTAAGAAGAAGGCCAGGACACATCATTCTGAAATGTCTCTTCCTTTGATCAAAAGACTCTCAGGGACTCTCTGTGGGGATAAAAGAAAGAAGTAAAATGATCCTCTTGCTACAGAGTCAAGTAAGTTTTCTTTTAGCTGAAGAAGACATTCAGCATCTGAGGATGGCAGATACAAGGGGTTTTCCTCATGAACACCACTAGGTAAATTCTGTGACCACTTGACAGGGAAATAATGTCACCATTTTAAAATCAACAGAAAAAGAGCAGAGCAGAAAGTTGGAAAGATGATATATCCTGTGGCCAGACTGCATAAAATTGACTGGAGAAACTAATCAAATCAGACTTGATAAAGCTGATGCTGCCGTATATCCCCCGTGCCTAGAAGCCTTGTCAGAGCTGGTCTACCATCCATCCTGACTTAGGATACAGGCTGACTCCTTTGCCTAATCTGAATAGCAGTCCAGCTGCATGCACTTCAATTACCTTGATTTTTTTCACATTACAGTTAAATAGAACACAATGCTTCTGATGATGCTGTTTGGCAAAACGCCGATGTCTGCTGAAGGGACCTGCTCCAAGTTGCCTATAGAATCCCTCAGTAGGGCTGGTTCTGGGCTCTCAAGGCCACCTCTTCCCTCTCCCTCCATGCTTCCCCCACATCCCTCAAGGCAGAAAGAGCTGATGCTAGGTTGGCTCCTTAAGTCCACTCATCCCAAGCCAGCCTGAAGCTGCAGTGTAGCAGGGAGTTAGCCTGACATCTTTTCTCCAGTCAGCACAGCCCAGCTGTCGCTCTGCACTGCTGCAGGAAGCCATGTTGACATGTGGTTCAGACAGAGGCAAGGCTCAAGTCTTTGAGTCTGTAGTTCCCCAGCCCAGTTGACTGCAGCCATGGCAGAAAATGGGGGTCAGGGCTACCCCAGAGGACAACTAGACATTTGTTTCGGCCTGAATCTTTTAATTTTTTTTGGTTGAAGGATGAAGACAGTAAAAATCTGGTGCTCAGGATGGCTCAGTTCACTGTATATTTAATGAGTTTCTGCACTAAGGGTGTAAAGGCAGGTGAGGTGGGCTAAGGGGAATAAAGACACAGTTTCTGCATTTGAAGAGTTCACAGTCAAATGTGTGAGATTTTACCTGCAAAATACTTTCAGTGAAACAGGACAAGTAACAATATAAAAATATGCACAGGTGGCTGTGGGAGTCTAGAGGTGTGATCTTATACCACAAGGAGCTGTTACTCGAGCTGTTGTGAAGGATAAGGAAGAGCCAGATGAAGCAAGTTAGAAAGAGAGTTCTGTGACAAAAGAACTTCACAAACCATAAACAGCAGGGCATAATGGGATTGGTGTAGAAAGAGTATAAAGCAGAAGACAGGGCTTGGGAGATACAGAGCTGGAGAGGGAGGCAGCAGTCAGGTCAGAAAAGGACCCCAGTGCCTTGGGACAAAACTGGGCTTTACTCTGTAGGGATTTGGGAGCTGTTGAAGGATTTTGAGTAAGGAAGTGAATGACCTATTTGCACAGATAGATCCCTCTGGTGCAGGAAGCGGTGGGGTTTAAGGAGAGCAAGACTAAAGGCAGGCAGATCCATTAGGTTTGTGCAAAGATACGGGAGTTCCAGAGCAGTGATAGTAGGGGTAGAAAGGAGTGGGTGAATCTTAGAGGTATTTAAGAAGTAAGATCAGAAGAACTAGAAGAACTTGATTATGGACTGGATATGGCAGGTGAGATGGTGAAGCAGAGGTATTTGTATAAAAAGACTGCCAGGCTTATTGCCTGGGTGATGTGGACAAGGCTACATTTCTCAAATTATGTATCTTATAAAATGCTCCTGCTGAATGTGAGGAGGTATTGTGTGAAAAGTGGCTGTATCCTCAGATAATTTTGAGAAGTTCCAGCTTAAACAGAACTAAAGTAGTAATAGGTCTCTCTTCCGCAGGACTTCTCAGAGCCTTTAATATGCAAATAGTAGTATCAAAATCATAATAACTGATATTATTAAGCACTTATATGAGCCTCACTTACTATGCATTCAGAGCTCTTAGCAAATTGGAAGGAAGCAAAGTCCTTGAGAAAACTTCTGGAACTGAAAGTGATATGTGAGCAAGTATATAGACACAAATTAATAATGTAGTAATATGGGTTAATGAAGCAAGAAGCTTCAAGTACACATGGTTCAAGCCAAAGGCATTCTGGGAAATGGCCAAGTAGAGGGCTAAATATTTTATATTCATTATTTCAGGTTCCCATAGCAATGCTGTGTGGTACATATTTTGTACCTGTTTTACAAGTAGGGAAACTGGGTCTCATAAGCTAACTCACTAAACAACTAACCAAAGCTCACCCCACATCTAACGAGGGGTAGAATATCATCCTTAACAATTTCCATGTGCCAAGATATATTGTGAATCTGCTCGGGAAGGATACAGCACTCAGTGTCTCCCAAACTTAAGTGACCACAGCACCTTGTGTTTATGGAGTATCTCATGGGATAAGTGGTACTTGGAGCACATTTTATAGAGACTAGTACTATTCACTAAGATCTGAAGTACAAATTTATAAAGGGAAAATTGTATTTATGCAAATCATGGTAGCATAAGGTTAAAACTTTCCATAATAGAAATATAGCTAACATGTTACAGAAATTCAAAGTAGGCAGAGATTATTTCCAGTATTGATGTTCATTCAGGGAAGATGATCAGTTAAGAAGTTGTCAGCTGCAAGTAACAGAAGACCCAACTAAAAGTAGCAAAACAAAGAAGTGTATTAAAACACATAACAAAAGTCCAGAGGTAGAACAATTCCATTGTTGGTTAATTCAGTGACTCAACACCATTAAGGATGCAAGGTTTTTTTCCTGCTTTGCCATCCTCAATGTGCTAAATTACCCTCCTGTACCCCAAGATGGCCAGCACAGTTCCAGGATGGAGACTGCAGCACAGGAGGTGAGGTCTGATATGAGAGTGCTGAGACTGAACACTGGGTTCTCATCAGGGCTCTCAGCAATGAGTGGTTGAAGAAGCCAATCATGTTACTAGGAAGACATCTCCTTAGACTCCAAGAAGAAACTGAAGCTCCCTGCTAGAAAACATTTGAAACATTTCTTGAGTCCACCGCCATCTAAGGAGTGAACTAGGCAAAGCCAACACAGACACAAGGCACTTAGGTTGAGGAAGACAAAGCTGCCATGAGCAAGTACACAGCTGGTGTTAAACTGAGGATGCCGGAGGGAAGCCACACCTCTGGGAGGACTGCTCTTCAAGCTAATCCCATTGCAAGAAGTGTCCTGATACACATGGCTGGGGCCGAGAGCACTGTGGACCCAGAGAAGACACAGAGATGGTAAAAGTTTATCATCAGTTCCCTAGTGGATTATGTGATTGACTGTCACATGGGGCCTTAGAAAAGAGGTATGTTGAGTGTATGGTCAACCAATTCTCAAAAATCCTATTGTTATCCTCATATCTGAGTAATAAAAACACTTCAGGGTTTTGTATTTAGAAGTATCTAGACTAGGTGAGACCTGTTTCTAGCTCAGATTGATTCTAAGAATCAAAGTGAGCAGAATTTAAGAACTCTGTCTTATAGAGGTTCATTTCTGAATTGCAAAAGCATTTGGTAAATGGTAAGCCCCCATGCCAATAGTGTTCCCGAGTATCAGGAAATATATTTCATGAGTTCTTGGCATGCATTTTGGAGGAAAATAAATCTAAAAGAATAGGCTGGGCGCAATGGCTGACGCCTGTAATCCCAGCACTTTGGGAAGCCGAGGCTGGCAGATCACCTGAGCTCAGGAGTTCAAGAGCAGCCTGGGCAACATGGCAAAACCCTGTCTCTATAAAAAATACAAGAATTAGTCGGGCATGGTGGTGTGCGCATGCAGTCCCAGCTACTCAGGAGGCTGAGGTGGGAGGATTGCTTGAGCCCCGGAGGCAGAGGTTGCAGTGAGCCAACATCATGCCACTGCACTCCAGCCCTGGTGACAGAGTGAGACCCCCATCTCAAAACATATATATACACATACATATATATATGTATGTATGTGTATGTATACACACACATACACACACACACACACACACACACACACACACATATATATATAAAGTTAGGGATTGAAAATAAGGGAAAGGTAAAATAAAGTAAATGTGAGATAATTTATACAATAGAAAACAAGGAAATCTGACCAAGAGAACACCTCCAATGTCAACTTTCTCATAGATAATTTCTGTTTTTCAAAAGCATAAGAGGTGTGGCAAAGCCGATAGATCCTCCTCTTATGATGCGATGATGACAATGTAATGGAGTAACAGGGTAAAAACAGTCAGAAGGCATCTCACCAGCAGCCTCTGGAAGAGCTCTATAGTCAAATAGTTTGGAGTTTCAACTTTTAAGGCAGAAGATGACAGTGAAGTGTACTCAGTTCAGATTTCATCTGCCAATGTTGAAAGGTTGATGAGAAAGGACTGCTATGCTGAAGAGCAAGGTTTCCAAAAACAGAATAGCTCAACCTACAAAATGATGTTGGAAAGAAGTTGCAGAGGAGCAGGCGAAGGCCAAGGACCTAAAAAGGAAAAGCAGGCATGGGGAAATGGGGCTGGAGAGCTCACAAATATTTATGGGGCATGCAGCTCCTCTGCTAAGTGCTTTCACAGCTCAAATCATTTAATTGGGAAGGTATAATCCCAAAGCTATATCAAATAGCATTTAGAGTTACAAAACAGAATTTATATTTCAGGCTAAAAGCAATATCAGGGTTAGAAGGAAGCGACACTGCCTGAGAAATAGATGTGGGAAGAAGGGCCATAGCAACAATGTGTCTTGGAATGGGCCATAAGAACCAATTATTGGCCGAGGTTATCGGGAAAATACTAGGGCATATGTTGTGATCATAAGCAAAGAGTTTATTGCATCTTATTTAAAAGCATGTGTGGCATCAGGGGGATTTCTTTTCTCTACTTTGATGTTACAAGTGGAAGGGTCTACAGCTTCCGGCTCCACCAGGAAACTCTCCTCTTCCAGGAAAGAGGAGTAGCTTATAGGATGGTAAGCTTGGAAGAAGCTGAAGGTGCTTGTCCCAGTCCTTTCTTCCTTCCTCTTTGGGGATTTGCCACCTACAAAAAGCACATCTCACTCTGCTCTTCCGCAGCACCCAGAGGAGACACCTGCATACCTGATGCTGCCCTGACTGATTGGGGAGCTAAGTCTCTTGCAGCGGGCATATTTGGGAATCCATTGTTGCTGCACATGTAAATCATGGCCTTCAAATCCAGCTGACCCTGTAGCAGAAACACAGGTAATATTTTTATGTCCATCTATCTGACTCCCACATCTACATTTCAATTGTTTCTAAACTTAAAAAGGGTGTGATGGATACTATTCCTGACTCACTGAAATATTTTAACTGGGGAGTGAGGAAGAACAAACAGAATCAAAACTTTTAAAAACATAATCACGTGTAGTTAGTCCACATTTACTTAACCAAATTAAGTTAGATTCTATTTTCTGGCATTCAACCCCATTTATGATCTGAAACCAATATATCCTTGCATGTCATCCAACTCCACCTCCCTGGGTACTCGATACCCTCCAGTAGCATCAAACAGAAATGCGCTCAGCACTTCTTTCCTGTCCCTGTGCCTTTACTCAGGGTATTCCCTCCCAATGGAAAGCGCCTTTTCACATTTTTTCATGTCTGTATCTAACTTAAGGACTAGCTCATATTTCACCAAATCCATAGCTGCTTTTGTGGCAGATTCTATTGGTTCTCTATCCAACAATCACCTAACTTTCTTCTTTTTTTCCATAGAACCCCACTACTACTTCCTCTTCCTCTCCTTCTCCTTCTTCAGACAGGGCCCCGCTTTGTCACCCAGGCTGGAGTGCAGTGGTGTAAACACTGCTCACTGCAGCCTCGCTCTCCTGGGTTCAAATGATCCTCCAGCCTCAGCCCTCACTCTCCCCCACCACCTCTCATAGCTGGGACTGCAGGCAAGACCCACCACGTCCAGCTAATTTTTTTTTTGGTAGAGATGGGGTTTCACCATGTTGCCCAGGCTGGTCTCCAATCCTGGGCTCAAGTGATTCTCCTGCTTCGGCTTCCCAAAGTGCCAGGATTACAGGTTTGAGCCACTGCACATGGCTCCTTCTATTTTTTAGCTCTTAAATGGCCATATTCTTTGGATGAGGCAGCCCTTATAAACCCTGATCATCTTAGACGAACATGGTAGTGCCATTCCCTTTGCTGATGATTGCTTTAAGAGTGAACATGTGACTCACTTTTGGCCATAAAGACATCTAGAAAGAAATTCAAGGCTGGGGAAAGATTTTATCCTGATGCCTGATACGCCAAAAACACTACAAAAACCCCTTCAACACCAGAAGTTTATCTTTTAGCAGCATTTGGCCTTCCTCCTTTTTCTCTCTGTAAGCCTGCTACCTTTCTTCTGTCCATCTCTTATATTTTTACAGACGTTTCATTTCATTCTTTCTTGCCTTTCTCATAATCTTGACTCATAACTTTGCTCCTGTTTTCTTTTTGTTTTGCTTTTTTTTTTCCCCCATTAGTATACTCCAGTAAATTCTCTCACAGCCAGGAATGTCTATTTTGGTTTGTAAATCCTTCGGCCCTACCTAATTTCTTGAGAGATTTCTGTATATCATTGCATGTTCATGTGTCTCACCTGTTAGATACCTTCGGTTTTTCTTCCTGTCCTAGAAGAAATGTGCTTATCCTCTGCTGCCTTCTGACAGGATTAACTTCAGCAATTCTTGGGCTATATCTTTTACTTTACATTTGACCATCTGTAATTTTTCTTGCATACAAATCAGATCTTGCACATCAATTCCCCTAGCTCACTCCCTTTTTAAAGTACAAATGACCAAGGTACAATAAGTAAGCAACGTTTTATTCTGTTATGTTGCATTCTGATTCTATATGTTTGGTTTCATGGATCACTTTATTACTTCAAGCCCATTCTTTCACTTTTCTCCAAGGTTGTGATTAAAATTCTGTTCTAAAGTCAACTTCTTAATCTAAGTAGAAACGGCTTGCAAACCTTAAGTACTTGAAATCCCTTTCTCTTTCTTTGTTGGTTGTTGGTTGTTTGTAGAGATGTTTCTTGATAATTTACACTGCAATCCAGTATTCATAGATATAGGGAAATGGATAGATTTATGAATAGATATATGCTCCCAATTTTCCCCTTTTCCTCTCCCTCTCCTATTAGGACTAGGTAAATAAGAATGCACAAGCTTTCTCTTTCTAAAATGGAGAATATTTAGAGATGGGAGCCTCTGATAAAGGCTGGTGAAAAAGAGCTGGACTTAGCAGAGAGGTTAAGGTGATCGACAGAGTAAAGAGCTGGGTGAAGAGGAGAAAACACCTAAAGAAAAAGCCAAAAGAGAGAGAAAAAAATAGGTTGATGTGCAAGAGGCTCCAGAACATCCTTCTGCATGTGAGAAATACAGAGGGAAAGAATGACTTTTGAGAAGTTCCTGTGAAGAAATTGCCAGTAGTGGAAGCACAAATGAACAATGAGAAATCAATAGGTCTACTCCTAGTAGAATATTTTCATTGGCATCACTTAAAAGTAAAATACAATGGAGACCTACTCAGAGAAGAAAGCAGTTAGCCCCAAAATCCTAAATTTTTATGAATTTGTGATACTTACATTCATTATTTTTAACAATGAACCTCATCTTAAGTTCATAATGTGCCTTTAATTATATGCTAGTGATAATATGAAGTCATCATGCTAACTAGGTATAAAATATATTTCTTTCACCCTTAAATCATCCTGTTTTGTGTTTGATTAAAACTGAGTGGAATATAGTAATACAGGAAAATATGTATATGATTTATGAAGAAAACATAAGAATACTCTGAGAGCAGGCACTCACAATTTTTATTGACAGGGTTCATGATCAAAATTGTTTAAAGAGTACTCATTTGTGTCATACTACTTTTTATAGCTCCAGTCTCAAACATGTGTCCAGGACTTCCTAGGTCCTTTGCACTCTGAAAAAGAAATGGAATGAGGAGATAAGACAATTAAGAGGCAAACAAACCCTAAGCAAAGCTTCCCTGATTCTCCTGTTTAAAATAGTAGCCCTTTGGTGGCTCATGCCCATAATCCCAGCACTTTGGGACGCCGAGGTGGGTGGATCGCTCGAGCCCAGGAGTTAGAGAGCAGCCTGGGCAACATAGCGAAACCTCATCTCACAAAAAATACAAAAATTTAGCCAGGTGTGGTGGCATGCTCCTGCAGTCTCAGCTGAGATGGAGGATTGCTTGAGCCCAGGAGGTTGAGGCTGCAGTGAGCCATGATCACACCACTGCAATCTAGCCTGGGCATGGGACTGAGACCCTGTCTCAAAAAAAAAAGTAGCCCATGACTTTCTCTATGCCGGTCCTAACTTAATTTATCTCCCCAGCACTTATTACGTTTTCATATCCTGTTACATTTCTTTATTCATTCCGCTTATTATCTGTCTCTCTCCCACTAGTCTGTATGCTCCACAAAGATGAATAAATCTTGGTTAAATGAATGAATAAAATATCCATTCCTCTCTGAGAAGCAATTCCAAGAACACCTATGCTTGTAGATTTGGTAGCAATTCTAAGTCCCTGAGTCTTCAGCAAGGTTGGCCTTAGGTAAAGTGGTGAAGGTGGGAATTCTTCAGCATCTTTCCAGCTCTGTTGCTCATGTTCTCATACTGCTTTGTGGCTGCTCAGAGGAGATATAACTCTTCCCTCCCCTGTCAGTTGAGTGCTCAGTATACTATACTTCTCCTTCTCTTTGTCCCCTGATTCATGCTCTAGGGTTTTGTTTTGGATATCGTTTCCCAATGCATTGATGTGCTGCACTGGGCCATAGACTGCTGTGACCAGGTACACACTTGCTTTATAACTGATGGAGCAACTCCTCAGCAGGAGAGTTGCCAGTCTTGTGCAGGAACATATCCAGCTCCATGGCAGGTGGGTATGGAATCCAGAGCAGAGAGATCTTTGGGTGGGAGAGTTTGGGGCATCCTCAAACCACCCTATTGCAGGGCAGCTGCCTTGGCACCAGCCTTGATCATCAGATCTATGAAAACCACACCCTTCTGACTGCTCCTGAGTTTCTAGAAATTGCTAAGTTGAGAAATGGGCTGATGTTAATAATCAATAGGCATTGGATGGGCGTTGCTTCCCGTCCGTAAGTCTTTGGATAAAGGGCCTGAATCTGAGATGCAGACTTTTCAGGCTCTGGGTAGTTGTCAACAGAGGCAAAGGAAGCTCTTCTGTGTTTCTTTCTGCTCTAGTTGGTACTGAGTGTTGCAGCCACTAACCAGGACTGAACATGGTATTCCCTAACTCGAATCTTACAGGAAAAGGCGTTTGAAATCTCTGTGTGCCTGAAAACCGGTGACTTGTTTTTCTGTCATGAGCTTGGTTTCTAAATAAAGCAACAGATGTTTTGCTTTTGCCTCTTTCCTTTCTGTCCATGGCTCCTAACGTGGGTGATATTAACCAAGTGTGACAGGTTTCAGGTTTTTATTTATAGCAGTGGAGAACTGTTTTCATCTATCTGCAGAGTTCTGGGCTTCTGAAGCTGAGTCTTTCTTCAGCTTCAACTTAAAATCCTGAAGGGTAGAAGTTAAGAAGCTTGAAGGTTCTGAAGATAGGAGCCGTGTTCAGAGGGGAAAAGAGAACATGAGGAATCTGATGAAACTTCCTCATCTCTTTCACTGAGGCAAGATATCTAATGGCTTAGCTGGAAATGTGAGGCTTGTATCTATAAAAATCTTTACACCCTTATAGTAGAAGGCCTCCTATTTGAAACCATCAAAATTCCTAATAAGATTGAAAAACTTTATTAAATTGAGGAATCAAAACAATGCCTACCTTAAGCATTTATTTTAGCATATATATATGTATATATATATATTCATTTGCCAATCATTTGATAGAGAGCCACAGCCTTTTACTTTGAGATGAGTCTTCCGCTTATAGTTCTATATTACCTTTTTAAAATAAACTACATCCATAATGCATTTTCTTTAATTTGTAGTCATCATTTCTCAAGTGGAAAAATAACACTTGCAAGCCAGGTGCGGTGGCTCATGCCTGTAATTCCAGCACTTTGGAAGGCTGAGGATCGCTTGAGCTGAGGAGTTCAAGACCAGCCTGGGCAATATAGGGAGACCCCATCTCTACAAAAACTAAAAAAAATTAGGCAGGTGGCATACATCTGTGTTCCCAGCTACGCAGGAGGCTGAGGTGGGAGGATCACTTGAGCCCAGGAGGTCGAGGCTGCAGTGATCCATAGTCATGCCACTGCACTCCAGCCTGAGTGACAGAGTGAGACTCTTGTCTCAAAAATTCCAAACCAAACCAAACAAAAAACACTTGCAAAGCACTTTAAGTACATCTTCCTTCTGGATTTTTGCAAATTCCACCCACCTCCCACCATTACCACATACATACTGCCCAGTCTTTGATGTTGGTTTCTCCTACATCTAAATTGATAACAATTTTAAAAATTCAGATATATTTTTGTTGGGTTATTCCAAAGCATTTCAACTATATTTTTATAGAACAATCCCCTTTCTGTTAAAATTCCTTTTTAAAACATTGAAACATAACTTAAACTGCATGTATTTAACTTGTACAATTTATTAATTTTGATATATGTATATATCTGTGAAACCATCACCATAATCAGGATAATGAACCTATGCATCATCCTAGAAGTTTCCTCGTGTCTCTTTGTAATTTGTCTGTCCTGTTTCTCCCAGACCATGACTCCCTTCCCTTCCCAGGAAACCACTAATATGTTTTCTGTCACTATAGATTAGTTTGCATTTCCTAGAGTTTTATATAAATCAAATCATACAGTATGTACTTTTTTTGGACTGGCTTCTTCTACTTGGCATAATTATTTTGAGATTTACAATATGTCAATATTCCTTCTCTTTTTATTACTAAGTAGCCTCCCATTGTGTTTGTATAGAGCAAGTTGTTTATTTATTCTGATGAACATTTGAGCTGTTTCTCCTTTTTTGGCTATCACAAATAAAGCTGCCATGAACATTCATGTTCAAGTATTTGTAAAAGGTCTGCTTTCATTTCTCTTGGGTGTAAATACCTAGAATGAAATGGCTGGATCCTATGGTAAAAGTATACTTAACTTTCAAAAAATTTGCCAAACTATTTTCCAAAGCGCATTACCATTTTGTACTTCCAACAACAGTGAATGAGAGTTCTAGTTCATCCACTTCCTTGTTAACCACTGGTACAGTTAGTCTTTTTTAATTTGGGTCATTCTAATATGTGTGTAGTATCTCACTGGGTTTTAATTTGCATTTCCCTAATGACTAACGACATTGAGCTGGTATTTCATGCTGGTATTTGCCATCTGTATATGTTTTTGGAAAAGTGTCTGTTAAAAATCTTTTGCCCGTTTTGGTCGGGTTGTTTATATTCTTAATATTGAGGGTTTTCTTGGGTTTGTTTTTGGTTTGGTTTTGTTTTAGAGATGGAGGTCTTGCTATGTTGCCCAGACTGGAGTGCAGTGGCTATTCACAGGCACCATTATAGCTCACTGTGATCTTAACTCCTGGCCTCAAGCCATTCTCCCACCTCAGCCTCCTGAATAGCTGGGACTACAGGTGTGTGCCCCTGCACCAGCAGTATTGAGCTTTGAGAGCTCTTGGTATATTTTGGATACAAGTCCTTCTTCAGATATATGATTTGCAGATATTTTCTCTCAGTCTATAGCTTGTTCTTTTTATTGTAGTTGAAATTTTTGTGAGGATAACTGTAGACGCTCATGCAGTTGTAAGAAATAATGCAGAAATATCCCTTGTGTACCTTACCCACTTATCCCAATGATAACATTTTACAAAACTGTGATATAATATCACATTCAGGATAGAAACCTTGGTGCAATCCAGTCATTTTATTCAGATTTCCCCAGTTTTACTTGTCCTCATTGGCATGTGTATATGTGTATTAAATTCTACTCAATTTTATCATCTGTGTAGATTCATGCATCCACCACCAGTCAAGACACTGAGCAGTTTAAATCCAGCTGTGATTCTTCTGTTGCTTTTTATAACCCCACCCACTTCCCTCTTAAAGCCATACCCCATCCCTAATCCCTGGCAATCATTAATCTGTTCATTTCTCAAATTATTTTATTTCAAAAATGTTCTGCAAATGGAATCATACAGTATTTAACCTTTTAGGATTTGATTTTTTTTTCTACTCAGTATAATTCCCTGGAGATTCATCCAGTTGCTGTGTGTATCAATAGTTTGCTCCTTTTTATTGTTTTGTAATATTCCATGGTATGTGCGTATCACAATTTGCTTAAGCATTCACTGGTTGAAAGACTTCAGGGCTGATTCTACTTTTTAGCTATTACAAATCAAACTGCTTGGGGGGAGGGGGGAGGGAAAGCATTAGGAGATATACCCAATGTAAATGATGAGTTGATGGGTGCAGCACACCAACATGGCACATGTATCCTACGTAACAAACCTGCATGTTGTGCATATATACCCTAGAACTTAAAGTATAATAAAAAAATGAAATAAAATAAAACTGCTGTGAACATTATGTACGGGTTTTGGTGCAGACATAAATTTGTATTTCTTTGCACTAAATGCTCAAGAGTGTAACTGTTAGGTCATATGGCAATCATATGTTCAGTCTTTTTGAGAAAATTTCAAATTGCTTTTCAGAATGGTTGTACAATTTTACATTCTCACCAGCAATGTATGAGTAATGCAGTTATTCTGCATCCTCGCCAGTATTTGGAGTTATCGCTTTTTAAAAAAAATTTTAGCCATTCTAATAGACATGTAGTTATATATTATTGTGGTTTAATTTGCATTTCCATAGTAGCTAATAATGTTGAACATTTTTTCATGTGTTTATTTTCCATCTGTATATCAATTTTAATGCATTGATATCTATTCATTAGATTTATGTCTTTTGCCCATTTTGTAATATGATTATTTGTATTTCCCCCCTTGAGTTTTAAGAGTTCTCAGTATATTTCAGATACTAGCCCTTTGTTGGACATATTGGCTACAAACATTTTCTCCTAATCTGTAGCTTGTCATTTCATCCTCTTCATATGAGCTTTTGGAGAGCAAACGTTTTTAAATGTGATGAGGTTCAATTTTTCAATTTTTCCCTTTACAGATTGTGCTTTTGGTGCCTAGCCCTAGACGCTGAAGATTTTCTCCTGTTTTATTCTAAAAATTTATATTTTTACATGTTACATTTAATTCTGTGATTCATTTGGAGTTAATTTTCTGTGTAAGTGTGAGATTTAGGTAGAGGTTTTTTTTTTACATATAGATATTCAATTACTTCAGCACTATTTATTGAAAAGGCCACCCTTTCTCCATTGGATTACTTTAGCACCTTTGTCAAAAATCAATTGAGCATATTTGTGTGGGCCTATGTAAGGGTTTTCTATTCCTTACCATTGACCTAGATGTCTATCCCATCACCAGTACCACACTTTCTTGATTACTACAGCTGTAAGTAAGTCCTAATATTGTTAAAATGACTCCTCCCAAGTGATTCTTTTTATCAAGACTGTTTTAACTGTTCTTAGGCCTGTGCCTTTCCATATAAATTTTAAAATAAGCTTGTCTATATCTATGTAAAATCTTGCTGAGATTTAGACAGGAACTGCATTACACTTATAGATCAATTTGGGGAGAATTGACATCTTTGCTATACTGAGTCTTCCAAACCATGAACATGGTATGTATTTCTACTTATTTTAGTCTTCTCTGATTTCTTTGATCAGCATTTTGTAATTTCCAAATCCTGCATTTGTTTTAAGTATATATCTAAATATTTAATTTTGTTTACAGAGACTGGAATTGGTATTGTGTTTTAAATTTTGGTTCCATTATGTCCATTGTTAAAATATAAAAATGCAATTGATTTTTTATCCTGACCCTGAGAACTTGATGAGCTCACTTATTATAGTTTTCTTATAGATTCTTTGTGATTTTGTATTTAGACAATTAAATCATCTTTTTTATATTGTAATAAAATATGCACAAAATAAAATTTATCATTTTAGTCATTTTTAAGTGTACAATTCACATTGATTTTGGATATTGAACCAGCCTTGCACACCTAAAATAAATCCCGCTTAGTCATAGTGTATAATTCTTTTTATACACTGCTTGATTTGGTTTACAATTATTTTGTTGAAGATTTTGTGTCTAAGTTTATGAAAGACATTGGTCTGTAATTTTTTTTTACTGTCTTTTTCTGGTTTTGATATAAGGGTAATGCTGGCCTTATTATAAATGAATTGGGAATTTTCCCTCTTATTCTATTTCCTGGGAGAAATTGTGTAAAATTGATGTTAGTTAGTGGAGTCTCATGTTGAGCAGAAATGACTAGGTCCTAATAACCCCCTCTGTGCTCAGTCTTTGATCAGGGGCTGCTCAGGAAAAGTAAGACTTCAGCTTAAAAGCTAATGTAGATTCTAGGGACACAATTAGGAGGCTGTCACCTAAGTGAACTTGATGCAGTTCCATAGTAAGTACTTTCTTGAGAAAAGATCAGAATGGCAACTCTTCCTTTGTTGCCACATCAACATCCACTGTTCCTAGATTCTCTGCAGGTTTTTTCTTTGTCTGTTTACTCTTCCTATCCTCTCTGTTTTGTCTGTATTCCTTGAAAACAGCCTAATGGCTATCTCCTTCACATGTGGAGAACTAACTAAATGTTTCTGAGTTATTCTTTGATGCGACTATCTAGTGTTAGGCAGACAATTCTAATCCAAAAAAGCGATTTACCTAACCCATAGTTACTGATTTTTGCCTCTTGAGTTGGAAGACAACTACACTGCCATGCTTTTGTTAGCAGGTACTATAGATTGAATGTTTGCTACTATATAGGCACTGTACTACAAACTTAACATGCTTTATCTCATATAATCCTCACAATGAAGGGCGTATCATTATTCCTGTTTTATAGCTAAAAATGCTGAGACTGGCAAAGCTGGAATCTGAACCCGGATCTCTCTGGCTGCAAAACCTGACACTTAATCAGTCGTGATACAGGAGAGGTGAAGTTGGTTTTGCTACTGTGCTCAGCCTGCCAGCTTTCCTAAAGCCAACCTGCAGGTGCTGCATCTTAGGAGTGAGCAAGAATTCATTCAGTCCCATTTCAATGACCTCTTATCTCCTTGCTGCCAGTCCATGGCCCTCTTCAGGGGATTCCTGGGTCCCAGGCTCATGTCTACCAGGTCTATATTTCACTGGAAATGCTCACATTACCAACCCTCTCCAGAGTCACCAAAGTGGAGGAGGCCCACTGGAGGGAGGCTCCCAATGCCTCTTCAGTCCTTCATGTTTGTGCCTCACCTTCTCTATGTTCCATGCTCTTTATTTATACATCTCAAGTTTTCTGCTCTATTACTTTCTCTCTCTCTCTCTCTCTCTCTCTCTCTCTCTCTGAGTCATTTAGCTTCTGAATGTCTTTGTTCTCCATCACCATTGGTTCTCCAGTGGCCTCTCTGCTCAGCTGTTTCTCCAACCCACTCATATTAATGTCTCTCAAAAACATCACTCCAAATCTTTTTTTTTTAATTCTTCATCTTAGCCATCATACTTTTGTGCATTTTTGGAGGTGATATTTCTCAAATGGATTATTGTAACAATATCTTAAATGATTCTGTTGTTTGCATGATCATACTTCTTTCCCTAGTGCATCCTCCGTTCTTTGAATAAAATGCACATCTCAGAATGAAATGCAAATCTGATCCTAAAGTCCATGTGATAACTCTTCAACCGCTCCCCAGTACCTTTGGGGAAAAAGCCTAGCTCCTGGTATGGCTCACGGGGCCTTCTATGATTTGGCCTCTGTCTTCTCCACTTTCTTCTCACTCCAGTCCTCCAAATGGTTTCTATGCTTTTACCATGCAGAACACTTGCAGTTCACTGGCAGGCAATTTCTCCTATACCTCTTCCTTTGGACCTGTGCACAATGCTTCCTCCTCCTTCCTTCCCAGCAAGCTGGTTCCTTGTCTGTTGGGACTCTACCTGTACTCAGGATCCTGCTCTTCTTGCCCCCTCAAGAACTTTCTTTTTTAGTGTTCCCATCTCTCTCACATTGTTAACCTCTCTTTATCTTCCCTCCACCACTCCCACTACTGTACAAATATACTTTTCAAATAGCAACAACAACAACAGTAATAATCCTTCCTTGACTTAATACTTCCCTCAAGCTACTCCTCTATTTCACTATGCCTTTCATTCAAATTTACTGAAAAGAGTCATCTGTATCCTCACTACTCAAAGTGCAGCCTATGGATCAGCAGCACTGGCATTAGTGGGAGCTCTAGTTAGAAATGCAGGATCTCAGGCCCCACTTCAGACCTACTAGAAAATGTATATGCGCTTTAAAGTTTGAGAAGCCCTGATTTATATTAGTGCTTCTCAGGTTTGGCACACTGATGCCTGAGACCCATCTATGGAGATTCCTATGTAATTGATATGGGGTGATGCCTGGTTATTGAGATTCTTACAGACTTCCCAGGTATTCTTAAATTCAGCCAAGTTTGAGAATGATGAGTCCACAATACTTCCTTACTTCCCCTTAGCACTTCAATCCATTACAATCTGGTTCTTGCCTCCACCATCAACAGAAAGGCCTCTTGATGAGTTTACCAACTGTGATGGTTAATTTTATGTGTCAATTTGGCAAGGCCATAGTACCCTGATTTTGGTCAAATGTCATTTTAAATGCTTCTGTGAAGGTATTTATTTATTTATTTTTGTTGTTTTACCTTTTTTTTTTTTAAGTCCCAGCTCTTGCAGAATGTGAAGGTATTTTTTAGATAAAATTAACATTTGAATCAGTAAGTAAACTTCGAGTTAAGCAGACTGCTCTCTATAGTGTGGGTGGCCTCATCCAGTCAGTTGAAGGCCTTAATAGAAAGAGACTCACCTCCCTGTAAGAAGAAGAAATTCTGCCAGCAGACTGCCTTTAGACTCAAACTGCAACTCTTCCCTGGGTCTCCAGCCTGCTGGCCTGCCCTGCAGATTTTGAGCTTGCCAGCCTCCACAATTGCATGAGTCAACTTCTTAAAATTAATCTCTCTATGGAGATTCTTATGTATATTTATTTTATTTAGGCAATTTCTCCTACACCTTTGGATTCTCTGTATATATTTATACATACTGTTGGTTCCATTTTCCTGGAGACCCCTGGTTAATATACCAGTAAACTTAATGTTGCCAAAGCCAATGATTAATTCTCTACCTCCCATCTTACCTAAACTCTTAGCATCTTCCTTCTTGAAAATGTCTTTGTCTTAGGTTTCATGACAGTATACTTTCCCGGATTTCCACTTACCTCACTGGCCACTCCTTCTTGGCTTACACTGTAGACTCAACATATCATCCCAAAGTTCCTTATGATATGATCAGTCCTAGGTGCTTTGCTCTTCTCTCCGTTTAATCTTTCCCTAGGTGATTTCATCCAATCACTCTGAGGCTGATGACACCCAATTCTTCATTGCAACCTAAGCCCTCTACTTTAAATTAATATGTGCATATTCAAACAGGCTACTCACCTCCTCCACCTGTCTGTCTCATTAGCACCTCAGACTCAGCACATTCGAACTAAACTGATTTCCACCCTGCACCCTGTACAAACTCATCCTCCCTCGGCTTTCTTTATCTTGGTAACTGACAATCTGGATATGCAGCTGCACCAGGCAGATTTCCAACAGTCATCCTGGACACCATCCTCTTCCTCAACCACACATCCAGTGTGAGGATGCTTCTGATCCAGTCTACCTCTGTAGTATATCTTAAATCTGTCCACTTTTTAATAAAATCTCCACAAGTCTCTTAGTTTAAGCCCCCCATTTGGGTATCCAGCACCACCCAGTGTTTTTCAGTGTGTGGACATCATACATCACCTGCTCTGGGAAGCATTCCCTGACTTCTTTGTCTTTGTTCTGCATACTTTCATAGCACTTTGTTTTTGAAGTAGCATAGCACATATTTTACCATATTATAATTTGTGTTTACTAGTTTGTCCATCCTGATAGACCGTGTTCCTTGAGAGCAGAAAAAGTGATTTTTATATCTTTATTCCTAGTGTCAAGCATAGTAGCTGGTACAGAATAGGCATTTTGTAAAGGTTTGTTAAAAGTTGAGTAAACAAGTGAATGACAATGTAAAGACAGCAGAAGTGGAAAAACCATATTTGAAACCAGTTGCTAGTTTATGATAGTAGTAAAAAAACAGCATCTGCTCTAAAGACTTCTATTTCTGTATCTTAGGGAAGATTGACAAAAAGGAAATTCTTTTAAAACTCTTTACCCAAGGCATAGTAACAAAAACTATGATCAAGTCCATGCGCAAAACACTTTATTTTTCGAGACTTAACTTTTGCATTTTACTCTTATTTAAAGTTCAACCGTGGGGATGTCCTGTCTGCTGTTTCTATGCAGTCACTTCTGGATCCCTTCTCTCTTCACAAAACAGGCACAATACTATTTTTACCAGAAAGGGATCCCAATCCAGATCCCGAGAGAGGGTTCTTGGACCTCGCGCATTAAAGAATTCGGGGCAAGTTCACAGAGTAAAGTGAAAGCAAGTAAGGAAGAAAGTAAAGTGAAAGCGAGAAAGTAAAGGAATAAAAGAATGGCTACTCCTTAGGCAGGGCACTGGTATGCTCAACTGAGCTACTCAACTGAGTATACTTACAGTTATTTCTTGATTATATGCTAAACAAGGGGTGGATTATTCATGAATTTTCAGGGAAAGGGCAGGGGATTTCCCAGACCTGAGGGTTCCTTCCCTTTTTAGACTATATGGAGTAACTTTTGGACATTGCCATGGCATTTGTAAACTGCCATGGAGCTGGTAGGAGTGTATTTTAACACGCTAATGTATTATAATTAGTGTATAATGAACAGTGAGGATGACCAGAGGTCTCTTTCATTGCCATCTTGGTTTTGGTGGGTTTTGGCCAGCTTCTTTACCACATCCAGTTTTATCAGCAAGGTCTTTGTGACCTGTACCTGTGCCGACCTCCTATCTCATCCTCTGACTAAGAATATCTAACCTCCTGGGAATGCAGCTCAGTACGTCTCAGCCTTATTTTACCCGGCCCCTGTTCAAGATGGAGTTGCTCTGGTTCAAATGCCTCTGACACTGACACTATGACTTAGAACACAAGGAGAAAAAAAGTTTGAATACATTTTTTTTTTCTGTTTCACAGACTATCCATACCCATGAGATTTTCTGGCTTAGAATCATTCCATTGGTCTATTAAATCTGTTTTCTTGCTTGAGGCAGTATCTTTGAGAAGGGAGAAAGGAGTCTAAAATCTACTTAGGCAGCTATACTGTAGAACGCGGAGTAGTGAGTACCTCTTTCTGCCAGGCCCTCAGAATCTGTATGCATACTCCCTGTAGGTACAGGTCTTCACATATTCCGTTTCAAGTGTCAAGGCAAGTGTCTGACACAAGCGCTAAGACTTACTTCCTCAAGCATCAGAACAATTAAGCTCTTCAAATATTCAAACAAGTCCATTTGATTTTCAAATTTTAGTCCCCATTCTGTTTCAGAACTTGGTTACCAGTGATTTTTATCTGCATTGGATCTACTTTAATAAACCCCACAGCCTGAATAGCAGCTACTAGGGTAGTGCCAGTGGATGTATATGGAGACTGGGCTGGAATGGCTGAGTGTGTGGGTGCGCAGCTGGGAGCAGCCATGGCAGTAAGGTAAGCAGAAGATAGGCACTGGGAACTGAGGTAAGTAGAAGATAAGCACTGTACAAAGTAAGTAAAGGAAGTAGGGTAAGTAGAAGATAGGCACTGGGAAGCATTAAAGGATAATTTTTAAAAGAGGATGTAACCATGACTCACACAGTTACAGAATGAACATGTGTCAAAGATTTTATTTAACTCGCTAGTTAATGAGGTAACTAGTAAGATGTTACAACTTGCTCAAATGAAGATAGAGATTTATATTTTCTACCAGACAAAATCCATTTGCATTGCCATATACAGGAATCATATAGACGAGAAACATTTACATTACCACTGGTTTTCTACAACTTAACTTCTATCTCTATAGAGTGGAAAATAAGCTTTGACAAAGACAACCAAAAGCTAGCGTAATCCAGATAGTTGAGCTAGACAGGACACCCACTAATCTCTGTTGTTGCCCAATTCAAAGTCTCCTAAGTTTTCTTAGTACAAGAATGTAAGCTTGTGGAAAGATGTGCTCCAAAAGAAAGACTAGAGACTGCTGGAATAATATTAATCCTAATGAGCACTTACTGAGCATTTAGTATATGCCAGAAAATATACTAGGCCCTTTACATACACTATTTCATTTTCCTTAGCTAGTAAGGAAGGTATTACAGACACAACAATGGAGGCTCATTGATACTAAGTACCATGAACAAGGGCACAGTGCTGAGTTAGGACTGAAAATCAAATTATCTCACCGGACTGTAGTAACGCAGCATCCCTACCTCCAACTGTAGTTTTTATATTTGGAACAACAGTAAAGTTGTGGTTTTCAAGGTCACAAATCTCCAACCCCAGAACTCTTCGCACTTGCCACTTTGCCTTATAGATACGGTGGTAAAAAGAACTGAATCAGCCAACAGGAGAGATAGTTCTACTCTGTCATTATCTAGCTATGTGAACTTGGGCAAGTCAGTTAACTACTGAGATGTTACTTCGCTTTCGAAATAGAGAGAACATATCCGATCTACCTAAGTCAAAAATTCTTTGAAAATCAATAGGTAAAATAGATGTGAAACACTTTGAAAATATAAAGTCCAGCGTGGCTGTTAGTGTTCTCTGTTGTTGGGTTTTGAAAGTGAAAAGTGAAGGCAAGCACTGGAAGTGGGATATCTAATTGCCATAGAAAGCACTAAAAAAAGTTTATTTATTTATTTATTTATCACAGTAGACAGCCAGTAACTTCTGATAAAAGGGAGTATCTGAAAACTGAAAGGCCCCATAGGAATGCCAACAACATTTCAGAAGTTTTCAACCCAAATTAAAGACGAAAAAAGTGAAGTAGATGGTAAGTGGAAGTAGCTTCTGTGTTTAGGGTCTCTAGTGTTTAATTCATGGTGCTCTCTGGGGCAGCTTATGATTCTTATCTAATTGCCTCTCCATGGATCTTACTGGCTCAGCAACAAGCTGAGCCAGCACCTGTAGTGTAGCACTCGGCCCTCAGATCACATGGTGGGGATGTACCTGTGGTTCACAAAAGTATTCTACAAGGTGTCTCTCCTGCTAAAGTAGAGAGAACTTTAGTAAGCATCTTATCAAACTAAGCATGGAAGGGACTGGCTTAACCCTCCCTAAACGTTCAGTACTTTCATTCCCTCTAAGTGGGAAAATGCCAATAGTTTGCAGTTCTTGGTCTTGTGGGATTACCGATTCTATTTTAGTCCTCATACATTATACATGATAAGTATAAAAGGAATTCATTTTTTTCTGATAGAAAAGAGACTTTTACCTTTAGAAACGAGAATCATAACTTAAGTTGTGGTAAAAAACAAAAACTCAACTTGTCTTATTTAAATGCTTTTGGGTTTAATTGTGGAAGACAGTGTGGCGATTCCCCAAGGATCTAGAACTAGAAATACCATTTGACCCAGTCATCCCATTACTGGGTATATACCCAAAGGAATATAAATCATGCTGCTATAAAGACACATGCACACGTATGTTTATTGCGGCACTATTCACAATAGCAAAGACTTGGAACCAACCCAAATGTCCAACAATGATAGACTGGATTAAGAAAATGTGGCACATATACACCATGGAATACTATGCAGCCATAAAAATGATGAGTTCATGTCCTTTGTAGGGACATGAATGAAGCTGGAAACCATCATTCTCAGCAAACTATTGCAAGGACAGAAAACGAAACACTGCATGTTCTCACTCATAGGTGGGAATTGAACAATGAGAACACTTGGACACAGGAAGGGGAACATCACACACCAGGGCCTGTTGTGGGGTGGGGGGAGGGGGGAGGGATAGCATTAGGAGATAGACCTAATATAAATGACAAGTTAAGGGGTGCAGCACACCAACATGACACATGTATACATATGTAACAAACCTGTACGTTGTGCACATGTACCCTAGAACTTAAAGTATAAATAATAAAAATAAAATAAAATAAATGCTTTTGGGTTTAAGTGAATGAAGTCATGAAGAAAGTGAGTAAAAATCTACTGCTAGCACCTAGCAGTAATTCAACTTTGTGAATTTAAGAAAAGCACCCTCTTCGGGCAAATTGACAAAAGGTGACCCTACTGGACATGACAATGGACATAGGCAACTCTCAGATGAATTAGAAAAGAGTGCCCCTTCCTATGAGCTGCCAGAGCTAGAGACCTGGCCCCAGGAGTGGAGGCAGAATTCAGCCCCACCCCTTCCTTCCTCCTCAAACTCATTATCTCATGGCAGGGGCCCAAATAACACATTTTATCCCCCTGTGCAAAACAAAGTCTATTTCTTAGAATTCAGCCTTCTTAGAAGGTCAATAATGGGAAATGCAGGGCTGTGTAAATAATTACATCTTCTTCCTACCATAACATCATAACTAGCACAATTATAAAAGACAGATAGGAAAATAATAATAGTCATGAAAATGATAATAATGTACTTTGAAGAGGAGGAACAGGTAAGGAATGGCATCAAAGGCTGGAGGCTGAGTAAACTTCATAAGGAAAAGTTCTTGGCTGATGGCCACCCAGCTTCAATATTCTGCCAGGGTGCCACTTGCATAATTTAAGAGAACTGATCCTTTTCCCTCACCTCTATTGCCACTTGTCCACACATTTATAATAATAGATTACACCTGGGCAGAGCTTGTATTGTACAGTGCCAAGTACTGTATATATATACTCACATCAACTGTGAAGCTGCTCTCTCCACTTTACAGACAAGGAAAGTGAGACAGAGAGAGGTTAAATAAACAGCCCAAGATTGTAGCTGATGTATTAATCCACAGCTAAATGGGTCTCCTTAAAGATCTGGAAAGCTGCTGACAAGAAGCACCGTCAAAGATGAGGTCAAAAAGGAAACTCCTTTTCAGTGATCCAGTACAGGACATTCTTTTTAGGCATGGAACCCTGGGATCTGTCATAAGTTATGAAACTTTGAACAAACCATTCCACTTCCACTTCCTCATCTTTGAAAGGAAGGCATTGGATGGCATGTTCACTTCCAGCTCTAAAATGCTGTTCCTCTAATTTACATGCAAAATAGCATGTAGACAGCCTTTAGGGCCATCTGAATGTAAATACCACATCTACCTTTTTGAAGCCATGGGGCCTAGCTAAAACTCAATTTACTCATCTATAAAATGAGAATAATAATAATATCTACCCCTTAGGGTTATTGAGAATATTAAATAAGAGAATAAATGTTAAAGCCTTTAGCATATCATTTAGCTTTGGCTATGTGACTAGTACATAGTAAGTGTTCAAGAAATTTTCCTTTATCACTATCATCATCATCATCATCACCCTGTGTGTAGGTGCTACTTGCGAAGGTGCTCCAATTTTAATTCCCTGCAGATGCAATAAAGAGTTGGCAAATTCCCAGCTGGGCGCGGTGGCTCACGCCTGTAATCCCAGCACTTTGGAAGGCCAAGGCGGGCGGATCACGAGGTCAGGAGATCGAGACCATCCAGGCTAACACGGTGAAACCCTGTCTCTACTAAAAATACAAAAAAAAAAAAATTAGCCAGGCCTGTTGGCGGGGGCCTGTAGTCCCAGCTACTCGGGAGGTTGAGGCAGAAGAATGGCGTGAACCCGGGAGGCGGAGCTTGCAGTGAGCGGAGATTGCGCCACTGCACTCCAGCCTGGGTGACAGAGCAAGACTCTGTCTCAAAAAAAAAAAAAAAAAAAAAAAAAGAGTCGGCAAATTCTCAGAGTTGGCCAATTTGGAACCAAGTATACTATGACTACCTTCTTTTAATGTTAAAAAATGTTATTTAGCTTGCTCTTGTAAAACTGACATTTCAGAGACTTTGGGTAAAGTGATCATTCAAAATCAATTCCCTTGAATTACCCCTACATGTTTCTGCAGCATGGTCTATAGAAGAAGAAAGAATTCATCATCATTTCTAGGAATATCCCCAATCATAATCCTAAGACTCCAGCTCAAAACAATAACTGGCAACTCTTCAATAATTAATTAAAGGAAGGCACACCCTCTTTTCAGCTTTTTGGGAAATTATACTATGCTATCCCACTATCCAATTTCATGTTATCTATCATTTAGAGGTAGCACAGTATTGTAAAAAAAAGGCATTGAACTGGAAATTGAGTATGGAAACTCAGATTCTAATTCCAGATTTGCTACTAAGTAGCTCTATGACTTTGGGCAACTCATTTGCCCTTTCTGTGTCCATTTTCCACCAGCAAAATGTGGGGCCTGTACTAGACAGGATTTATGGGCCCTTCTAAATCCAAGCTTTTGTGGTTGACTCCTAATAAATTATTTCATTGTTCTTATGACAGAGTGTAATCTCTTTACCTCTTTCCTCCCGCTCAGGGTGTACCCAAATGCCTGAATTCATACCCAGAATTAAGGGCTTCAGTTCAGCTCCCAGAACCTTGCTTATATAGAAACTATAGGTCATTAACAAAAGAGGTCTCCTGCTACTGTTGGGAGGACAATGTCAGGGCCATTGGAGATTGAAACCTCCATCCTGAAGAGTCTGTAAGGATGGATAGAATTTCAACACCTAATGTCTCCAGACATAAAACTGCTGAAGACATAAAAAAATTATTTAAACAAAAGAATGTGGCTCTAATATGTTGAAATTGCCATGGCAACTCACACCAGGGTCATAATATCAGTGGAAAGCAAACATCTGAGAATTGCATTATTATGTCTTCTGGTTCTCCAGCAGCTGACTAGCTGACTGCTTCAGAAGAATGAGGAGGCAGAAGTCAATACAGTCATAGCAAATGTCTCCTTCTTGTCACTGTCCACCCACACCACCTCCCCATGTGTTGAAAATACCTTGTGGCTGAGCCATCTGACTGGACATAACCCTTCTTTGAGGGAGGAGGGAGGGTTTTTCTATTCTTGCCCTGACTCATCTAGTGGGTAGGTGTCCAGAAAGCTGGTAGCCCCTGGGTTTGCAGACACATCACTTGTGGTTCTAGGGACCACTTGACCTTATAGAAGAGGGAGGCTGGGAAATGTCTTTATGTGAACCCGGGAAGAGGCAGCGTGGGTGAACATACAGCAGTGACTGTCCTTTAATTTAGGCAAAGATTCAACATGTAAAGAGCACCTACCATGGGCCAAGTATTTTGATGTATGGCTTCCTTTTGTCCTTGAAGTTTGTTTTAATTTGATTCTGCTTATACAAAAGTAACTGAGTTTCCTTGGGTGGGTGTAAAGGAAGGGTTCCCTCCTACCAATACTACTATAAATTAACTTTTATTGTATAGTTTTTATGACATAAATATATAAAGAGGTCTACTTTGTGCAAAACACTGGCAGGAAGAAGGAAAGACTGTGGGTATAAAGACAGTCCTTCAAAACAGTTTGCAGTTCTCATGGGGAATCAAAATGTGCGTCAATAATAAGGAGAAATCAGACAGAGGAGTGCTGGATATACAAATGGTCAGCCTCGATATTACAAAATAGGATTCTGATGATGCAAACCCACTCTTTTAAAGTTTGCTTTTTAAAAAATAAGTATTGCATCCACATGATACAAATTCCAGTAGGAACAAAATGCTATTCAATGAAAAGCCTCTCTATCTCCCTTTTCCCTTGGCCTTCCACTTCACATCTCCAGATGTAACCACATTGATAGTTTCTTGTGTAGTCTTACAATGTTTTCTATACATCTACATACATGCTTGTATTTTCTTCCTCCTTGGTTTGCTTAACTTAAAAATATATCTTCGAAATATTTCCATAGCTGTATATATAGACTTGCCTTATTCTTTTAAATCAGGTAGGTAAACTATAGCCCACAGGTCAAATTCAGTCTCTACCTGTTTTAGTAAATAAAAGTCTTATTATAACACAGCCACATCTGTTCTTTTATGCATTGTCTGTGGCTGTTTTGTGCTACAAGGGCAGAGTTGAGTAACCGTGGCAAAGATTGCAGGGTCTGCAATGACTAAAATATTTATTATCTTGCCCTTTACAGAAAAATTCTGCTGACCCTTCCTTTAAATGACTGCCTAGCTGGGCATGGTGGTGCACAAGTATAGTCCCAGCTATTAAGGAGTCTGAGGTGGTAGGATCTCCTGAGGCCAGGAGTTCAAGGCCAGCCTGTACAACATAGAGAGACTATCTCTCTCCAAAAAACAAAAAAGACTGCCTAAATTCTACATATGAATATGTCATAGTTTATTTTAATAGTTCCTTAATAAAGGATATGTAGGTTATTTCTAATCTTATGTTATTACAAATACTGCTGTAATTGATGTAATAATATATGTGTCATTCTCAAACATGTGCTTATATCTGTATAAGTCCCTGGGAATGGAATTGCTGAGCAAAAATATCATGGGTTTTTTTTCATGGATATATTTGTTAATTTGGTCTTCCTGATATCAGTGATGTTAAGGAAGCCAGAAGACAAACCAGCTGTAAGAAGCAATGAAGGGCTGTGCTGTTAGGAGAGGAAATGAAGAACACTATTTTAAACACGAATGAATGGTAGTTCCTTTCAGCCATGCCCCCAGAATTGGAAGCAGATAGATGGAAAATGCATAGGGTAACTCCGTTCAAATGAATCTACGGATGTATCAGGGTTGGGAAACCAATGCAAGAGCATTCACTCCTGTTAAGGTCATTCTTTGTCCTAATTGCAAACTCCTCCTCACCTCCCTCTCTGTTTGCATTTCCTAAAAAGAGCTGTGTCAGAGCCTTGGAAGTAAACATGTGTTGCTATTGGAGCTGCTGCTTTGAGAGGCAACTGTGTAGTAGACCACCGAGGGCACGGAGTTTGACTTTGTGTGGACAGGTTTGCTCAACTCTGACATTAGCCTGAACAGGTCCTAGTGATGGGGCTTTTGGTTCTCTAGCTATTGCAAGCCAGTTTGAGCTCATCCTTAGGAGGGGGAAATTCTGGAATGAACAAACATCAGTGATGCTACAGACAGTCACCTGTAGGAGACTCAGAAGAGTTCACATCTTCCTGGAGCTGGAATCAGGAACAATTCAGACCTCTACTTTCACCTATTGACTCCCTGCGATGTGCCAGGCACTGTGTTAGGGTGAGTACATATGGATGAATGAGAGAACTTGGCTGCCTGCCAGAGGAACTGCAGGTCTATCTGTTTCCCTTTGCAAGACTGCCTGCCTCACAGCCTTGTAAAGGGAAACAGACCTGCAGTTCCCAAACTGTATCTTTTAATTTTTGGAGAAAAACACAGGAATACTTGACATCTGTCAGACAAAGTGTGAACAACTAACTCAAAGCAGTTCACAGCTTCAACATTAGATCACACTACATCCCTTTTGATAATGCCATATGTTTGCAAAGCTAAGTTTTCAGCAGTTGCTTTGCTAAAAAGCAGGTACTGTGCAAAACTTAACATGGAACAGGAAATGAAGGTGGTGCTGTCCAATTTCATTCCAAGTTCAAGAAGCCCTTGCATGCCCAATGGGTGCACCCATCCCATTAGTCGGTAATTGTGGTTATTTAAGAATGAAATAAAACATATTATTTTTCCTTTAATGTGTGCATATTATTCTTTTCAAACAACTACTAACTTATTAGGACAGAGATAGTTATGAAATTGTTTGGACCTAAGTAACTAAGAAATGGAAGTGGTAAGTATTTCTTTTTGCCTGTGTGTACTGTGAAAAAATGACTAAAACACGAAGGACACTGTGAACTGAAAACGCTTGGGCACTTCTGCGATGAACACTTAACACTACTTACCAACTTTGTGACCTTGGAAAAGTTAACTCTTCAAGCTCAACCTCTGGTTCCACAACTGTTAAACAGGGACAGCAAGACTTAGGAATTATTGTGAAGGTTAAATGAGATAGTGCAAGTGAAGAATTAGCACAGAGCTTGGCACATGGTAAGAAATCATTAAACACTGGCTAGTACAAATCCACAGAACCCTGGCTATCATAAGAGAATTAGTATTTAACCCTAATTACCCTAACAATCTCAGCTTCACATTCATTTTTAAGCCTACAGCTTGTCATATCAAATGCTGTTGCCATGGTGCCTGCTGTAATATTTGGGACCAACCAAATTATTCTGAAATCAGGAAATTAACAATCCCCCTGAAGCTTGTCGAGGTACTATTTGAATGACTTCACTGTCAGTCTTTTGTTAGGGTTTTCCACCTTATATTAGTTCAGAGATTGCTTATTCTGTTTGGTTAAAAAAAAGTCAGGGGGAAGGCGGTGGTAAATTTAGTGACACTTTAGGAGGAAGTAAATTTAGGACAAATTGCATCAAAATTATTTTCTGGAGTCTGAGAATATTTCTATGTTTAATATTTATAGAAACATATTTCTATGTTTCCAAAAGCTCTCGTGACTTGACTATAGTATGATTTTATTGTGACTTGAGTTTTTTTAAAGCTAATTTTGGATCGAAGATCATCTTCCCTCTGAAAGATCAGTTTATAGTAGGATTCATGACTCCTCACTTAAAAAACAAAAAACTTTTATTTTGGCTACTACTCTAATTCCAAACCATTCATGAAGATGGTTGTTTTTGTTTTCGTCATGAGACAGAGCCTTCCTGGCCTTTCAGCAAAGCTGGTAACTCTTCTGCCATTTCCAGATGAGTACTAAGAAGTTACTAGGCTTGTTAATTTTAGGAAAGACAGAACAGAGTTAAATAAAGGAGGAGAGAAAGCCAACACTCCCTTTGTCTAGATTAGTTGCTCTCACATGGGAAGGGAAAAGGATTCTGCACAGCAGGGGACATTTGGTAATCCTGAGAGATATTTTTGGTCTTTGCAACATGGGGACACAACATAAGGGTGGGGAGCTGCTACTGGCATCTGGGGAGTAGAAGCCATGGTAAGCCATCTTACCATGCACAGGGAACTCCTTACCCTCCTTACCCTCCTTACCCTCATGCACAACAAAGAATTATCTGGCCCAAAATGTCAAGGATAATGAGGTTGAGAAAACCAGACTAGTCTAGATGTTATTTCTTTTCTTCATTAAGTCACACTTAAAAAAATTCTTTCTTGTATCTCCTCTTCTTACCTAAGGGGTTCTTTTGAATGTTAGCTTCTGAGATTAGAAGTAATCAGTAGCTGCAGAAAAATATCAGGTTTTCTCCAAATCAGTGGTTCTCAACATTTCCGCACATTAGAATCATATGGGAGAACATTCAAACTATGTCCATGTCCAGACTGTACCCTGAGACCAATTAAATTCAAATCTCAAGGACTGAGACTTGATGACAGTATGTTTCAAAGTTTCCCAAATGGTTCTACTGTGCAGCCAGGGTTGAGGACCATGAATCCAAATACTAGAAAGGTTATTTTCTATACCTTCCATGCACCCACAAAGAGAGAAGTCAGTGGAGGGGACTATAGCAATGTCTCTCTCAATGTAGAAATGCTTTTTTTTTTCCTCCAGGAGTTATGTTGACTATTTGAATCAAGAGTTATTTGAGAGTTTTCTTTCTTTTTTTTTTTTTTTTTTTTTTTGAGATGGAGTCTCGCTCTGTTGCCCAGGCTAGAGTGCAGTGGTGCGATCTCGGCTCACTGCAAGCTTCGCCTCCCGGGTTCACGCCATTCTTCTGCCTCAGTCTTCCCAGTAGCTGGGACTACAGGTGCCCACCACCATGCCCAGCTAATTTTTTGTATTTTTAGTAGAGACGGGGTTTCACCCTGTTAGCCAGGATGGTGTCGATCTCCTGACCTTATGATCGGCCCGCCTCGGCCTCCCAAAGTGTATTTGAGATTTTTCACACATGTGGCTTGATCACTTGTGATCTTTCACTTTTTGTGGATGATCAATGCACGGCCAAAATTTTAGGTATCTACAACTTTTCAAGGGTTTCCTTAATCTTTTTTAATGAAATTACAAGGGAAAGAGAATTATATAGCCCTGCTCCAGTATCCCAGAGCTTGACTTTCACCCGTACTTGAATCTGAAGAGGACAGCAATGTTTCTGCTATGGATCTCACGCATCTGTTGAACCTGGAAGCTCCTGAGCATCCTGAAAGGCAAAGGAAGGTTTTTCAATTTACTCTCTCTTTGTCCCTTCCACCCCCACTCCCTGTGCCCGTAGCAAATACTAGTCAAGCAGATGGTTTTGGTGTGATGCCCTGGAGGTTAACAGATGTGAATTCTAATGGCATAAGAGGACAAACATTTTCCATTGCTGCATTCAAACCAAGCACATGGTCTGTCCCCCACAAAAACAAATGGTGCTTTAATACGGGTGACTTTTAAAAACTCCACACCAGGGTTAAAAGACTTCTCAGAGTAAGGGGAGAAAAAGTTAATAAGAAATACCTGGACATCACAGGAAATGAACTATTTTTAGTAAACCATCTACTTCTTATATCCAAAGAGTTGGGTATTAACATGATAAAACTGGGGATCCAAGAAAATGAAAAGCTCAGCACTCAACCCCAAAGAGTAGGAATAATTTATTGTCACTTGATGTCCAATGCCCTTCTTGAAGTCAAAGTGTCCCTATAAACCTCATAAAATTAATCAGAAAAAAGTAAGGAAGAGAAACAAAAATAAGCCAAACTTGCAGCACATTCAGCATTCATCACTAGGTCAGCTTGCTCTCTGACTGCTTCCTCATAGTTGTTTGGTGCCTACTGTTCTAGAGTCAGGTAGACCCTTGATTATAATTCCCCTTAACTGCTCTATAAATAACTAAAACATTATAAAATGTTGTTTCCTACTTAAAATATTCTTTTAGGTCCTGCATACCAGTGAAACTACTAACATCAGCTGGTCTAAAGAACCCCACTGATGTCAGCTGATCTGGAGGACCTCACAAGGAGCTGACTCACCCAACAATGAGGTTTCCACATCCTGATGTTTTCATCCTTCTGACCCTGACCAATCAACAACCTCAATTTTCCAGTCCCTTGCCTTCGATGATCCCTTTAAAAACTCTAGCCCAGAACTCCTCAGGGAAATAGATTTGAGGTCTCCTCCCATCTCCTCATTCAACTGCCCTGCAATCATTAAACTCTTTCTCTGCTACAAACCCTGCTGTCTCAGTATATTAGTCTGTTATTGCACAGCAGGCTAATATAAATAGGAACCTCTTGGTCCTGTAACAGAGCCATAAATGTTTAGGAAAATAGGTCTCAAGAATCCAGGAATTTTATTTTAATAAATGTCTTCAATAATATGCAATCTTTTCATTCTAAGCAGTAGATCTAACACTATTCTGATCATCTGAGTAACTACCTTATAATTAAGTTGCCACTTATTATCAGTACATGAGGTTGTCTGTGTGTCTATATGCAAAACCTGCAAAAGACAAGTGATGTTGCAGACTGTTGCCCTAAGGCTTTGGAAAAAGATGGGAGAATGGAGTCATCACATGGCACAAAGCACAGCAATCCTACAACATTCACTTTATAAATGGGTACACCGCACAGATACCAGTTGTGTACACTCCACCTTGAGACAACAGGTTATTAACAGTGACCTGAGCCACAAATAGACAGTAAAGCATTCTTTTATTCCAAATTTAATTAAAATATTTCATTATTAGGTTATTATCATTTGGTAATTTCTACTTATGAAAACATACATTCTCTGCTTTAGCATTTTTATTTTAAAATATAAAAATAAACTAAATTTAGTATTATACCAGAGGCTGGCCAGGCGTGATGGCTCACGCCTGTAATCCCAACATTTTGGGAGGCTGAGGCAGGCAGATCACTTGAGGTCAGGAGTTCAAGACCAGCCTGGCCAACATGGTGAAACTCCGTCTCTACTAAAAATACAAAAATTAGCCGGCCATGGTGGTGGGTGTCTGTAATCCTAGCTATTTGGGAGGCTGAGGCAGGAGAATCACTTCAACTCAGGAGGTAGAGGTTGCAGTGAGCCGAGATTGTGCCACTGTGCTCCAGCATGGACAACAGAGTGAGACTCTGTCTCCAAAAAAGAAAAGAATTATACCAGAGCCTACATCTTTCTAGCATTAAACCCCAAATCAGCTGTTTTGCCGAGGCAAATAATAATTTATCATATTTAATAGGTATTTATAAATTTAATTTTAATTAGTTTTATGTTTTGCTTGTACTTATTGTTCAAATTTCTTTTGGTTTTACATAAGAGCCATAAGCGTATTCATTTTCATACTTAGATACTATTACAAAATGTTAGTAATTGCTGCAATTCTGTGAGCATTCTTATTTCCTTTATAAAAGATTTACACATTGGTTGATTTTGAGAAACACAGGACTAGAAGATTTTCTTTGAAACCAAGCAGGTTGAATTCACATATTTAGACTCCATCTGTGCTGGGAGTCTGGGTAAGTCAACTTAGACTTACAATTTCCACTCTGCTGAGAGAATCCGAAGACAAATTTTACCCAACTTTCCCTGCCTTGACCAGAAAGCTGTATTTCCTTCCCATTAAGCCCTAAATGGGCCTGCTGAATACTTGCTCAGGAATAAAGAGAAGAAAGAAAGTAGTTAAATATTTAAAATCTGAAAATAACATTGCAAACAGAAAGAATATAGATTTTAATCTTTATTTTAAACTAATGCCCATAATTATTTTATCTAAAATCTCCTGTAACCTGTTTCAGAAGATTTTCAAATCTAATTTCAAAACTAATGCCCATAATTCTTTTATCTAAAAATCTCCTGTAACCTGTTTGACTTCATGATCTCAGCTCCCTGCAAAGTCCTCCTAACCAAATACTGTGGGGCATTCTCAGTCTCACAGATGCTCGCAAAGATGCCTGCTCTGGTATCACATGTTGTTCGTGCCCCCACTCCCCTCCCTGCAGTAGCTCTGTAGTAACCAGTCCTCCTGTCATGGCTGCCACCGTGCAAGACACTGCTCCCAGCGCTCTGGGCTGTTGAGTTCAGAGCAGTGAAGTAGAAGAGAATGCCCTCCCCCTGTTTTTATGTAACATTCTGTTAGCAGGATACCAAAATACAGTGGCCTTGTGCTTTAGTGTCTTACAGAATTTATTTATAAAGGAAAAGAAAAAATAAACTTAGTTTTTAACCTATAATTCTCTATCCCTAGGATTAAGAAGTAAAATTACTAGGTCAAAGGTAGAAAAATCTCTATAGTTTCAAGGCTATATGAGAATTTCACTTCCAAAAGATGGAAACAACTTATATCTTTTAACACTGTATGAAAACTTGAGTGAAGCAGTTTCTTATAGACTTGCTGATACTTAACTTTTAAAAAATGATTTTACTGGCTGGGCACGGTGACTCATGCCTGTAATCCCAGAACTTTGGGAGGCTGATTTAGGAGGACTGCTTGAGACCAAGAGTTCAAGACCAGCCTGAGCAACAATAGCGAGACATTGTCTCTACAAAAAATAAAAAAATTAGCCAGGTGTGGTAGTGTGTGTGTGTGTGTGTGTGTGTGTGTAGTCCCAGCTGCTCAGGAGGCTGAAGCAGGAGGAATGCTTGAGCCCAGGAATTCCAGGTTGCAGTGAGCTGTGATCACACCATTGCACTCCAGCCTGGGCGACAGAGAAAAACTCTGTCTCAAAAAAAAAAAAAAAAAAAAAAAAAGAATCAAAGAATCATTACCACTTTATTCTATTTTCATTACCATAATGTATATTTTTATCTATTCACATTTACTAGAAAGTTACTAGTAAGGTCAAAGTCATAGAAAACTAATAGTAATGTAAATGATTCCTGTCATGAAAAGGTAATTTGGGCTAGGCATGGTGGCTCAGGCCTATAATGCCAGCACTTCAGGAAGTCAAGGTGGGTGAATCTCTTGAACCCAGGAGTTCAAGACCAGCCCGGGAAACATGGTGAAATCCCATGTCTACAAAAAAATGCAAAAATTAGCCGGGTGTGGTGGTGTGTGCCTGTAGTTCCAGCTACTTGGGAGGCTGAGGAAGGAGAATCGCTTGAGCCCAGAAGGTTAAGGCCACAATGAGCTGTGATCATGCCACTGCACTCCAGCCTGAGCGACTGGAGTAAGACCCTGCCTCAAAAAAACAAAAGCAAACCACAAAGGTAGTTTGCATCTGGCAAAATGCAAGGGACTATTGCCTTGTAGATAATAACCTGTTTTGTACCTGCTAAGCAAATTCACTTCAGCATTTCTGATGGACTTACATATTTGACTGCTCTTTGGATTCTCCTTTGAGCCAGCTGTAAAATCTTCATTTCCTCATGAATTAATAAGTAAAATCTTTGACATGTGATCTTTTTATAGGACAACCATGATTTACCTTTTAAGAAAGATCCTTTGACCAATGTATGTAATCTCAGCACTTTGGGAGGCCAAGGCAGGAGGACTGCTTGAGGCCAGGAGTTCAAGACCAGACTGGGCAATGTAGTAAGACCCCATCTCTACAAAAAAATAAAAAATTAGTAGGGCATGTTTGCACATGCTTGTAGTCCTAGTTACTCAGGAGGCTGAGGTAGGAGGATCACTTGAGTCCAGCAGGTTGAGGCTACAGTGAGCTATGTGCTACAATAAGGCCATGTCTATGCAGACATGGTGAAAAGGTAGAAATGAAATTCAAAGTTACTTCAAAATAGTTTATCTTCCCTGGCACAAACTGAAACTTTTATGATGCTGTGGAGAGTATGAATTACTACTAAGTCCAGTTGACTAAAATATCTCGAAAACACAGTACATCTTGACACATTAAATAGAACCTCAAACTGCCTGTATGTTCCAAGACTCACTGAAAGTTTGTCAGTTGTTCTCGTGTTTGTTCTACTTGAGGCAGCCCACTCGCTTTCTTTCCTTTCTTCCTCCCATCCTTTCTTCTGTTCTTATTTCCTTCATTTTTCCTCCCTTCCTTTTTTTCAGTTGGCTTTCTAAGCTACTCTAAATTACCAATATAAATCCAGTGCCTTCTTATTTATTTGCAAAGAGCAAATACCATTCGTGTTATTCAGTGGCCACCTTGTGAAAGCTGACTACTTCTACAATGATTGAATTTCTATCTATAATCATTAAGTGGGGCAACAGAAGTAAAAAGACATAAACGGCATTTAGCATAGTATATTACTTTGAAAAACAGATGAATTTTTTATGTAAAATGCTACTGAAGCACTCACTTAAACACAACCATTCAATTTCCTACCTCGAGCCCAGAAGCTCTCTTTGCTGGCCTAAGATATTTTTCTTTATCTAGCATGCCTGATGTTGCAGGTCTCTTTCTCACTCTTTATTCTGCAAGACATGCTCAGATTCTCTTTCCATTCAATTTATGACATAATTCATTGAATGCTACAGCCTACTTGAGGATTTTTAAAAAATATTTTCTAGCCCTGCAATAGAAATTCATTTTTCCAATAAGAAATGTGGTGATGACCCTGTCAGCTAAGTCTCCTAATTCATCTGTCTGTGTGAAAAAGCTCTTCCCTCCAGGCCCCTTCAGAATTCATATATAAATTGCTCTCTATGTATTAGCATCTGCAGTGAAACTAGCTTTCACACTTTTTAAAAAATAAAAAATATGTATATTTTACAATTCCAGAAGTAGAAGATAATAATCAATTCAAAGTATTATTATCCAATTTTTTTCTGGTTCTCAGGGATCTATCCACAGTTATGAGAGGAAAGAATTTCTAAATGACAGTGTACTAACAAAGCATTAAAAATGAGACACATTATTCTAGACTCGCATTGTACTGTTACCAGTAGCATTTTTCTAATCAATATAATAGTTAATCTTAATTCAGGAATATGTCCCAAGTGTTTAAAATGGAAACTTGAATGTTAGTAAATATTTAAAGGATCTAAACATGTTTTTTTTAAAAAACACAAAAATAGGAACTTATAAGTCATTGTGTGCTAGCATTAGAAATTTTAAAAATTAAGTAAAGTGCCTCCAGTAGCATCTCTGGTGTGGCATAAATAGAAAATGCATTGTAAATATGAAATTATGTGGTCAAATGTGATTAACTTGCAGGGGAGAGGAACAAACAGGGCCAGTTTCCCTTGTAGTCTCATACTTTGTTTGTGTAATCAATTGGCCTGTTTTATCCTGGGAAGGTTTTAAGAAAGGATGTTCTGACTGACTACAAGCTTCATTATATCCTCAAACCCTTAATACAGTTTTCCCAGGATTTATAACCAGAGATGGACATTGACAGCTGCACCTCCCCTAACCTGATTTAGCTAGCCTACTCCATCATCTACATATACTTTCATTAATTCAACTGTTATTGAGTATCTCCTATGTACCAGGCATTGAGCTAGGTGTCAGGTAATACAGATGGTTGCTAAAGGGAAAGATGAATAAATCAAAGTCCCGCATCTCAAAACTTCTAAAATCTAGTAGGAGAGACAAAAATGGGCCGGGCGCGGTGGCTCACGCCTGTAATCCCAGCACTTTGGGAGGCCGAGGCGGGCGGATCACGAGGTCAGGAGATCGAGACCATCCCGGCTAAAACGGTGAAACCCCGTCTCTACTAAAAATACAAAAAAAAAAAAAAAATTAGCCGGGCGTAGTGGCGGGCGCCTGTAGTCCCAGCTACTTGGGAGGCTGAGGCAGGAGAATGGCGTGAACCCGGGAGGCGGAGCATGCAGTGAGCCGAGATTGCGCCACTGCACTCCAGCCTGGGCGACAGAGCGAGACTCCGTCTCAAAAAAAAAAAAAAAAAAAAAAAAAAAAAAAAAAAAATGTGTAAGTATGGTAATAATAAAAAATATAATATCTCATTGAAACAAGTAGAATTTTTTTTTTTAATGTTGAAGCACTTCAGTAAAGAGTAGCCATTAAGCTGGACCCTGTCAGTTAAATACAACTTTCACAGGCAGGGATGGGGGAAAGGAAATCTAATTCAATCAAATAGTTTGAATTATTACAAAAAGGAATGTACATGTAAATCTTAGGAATCGTGACTAATTCATCATTGCTAGTGCATAAGGAAAAAAGAATCTAGAAGAGTAATTATAAAAAGCAAGTTCCAGACCATGATAGAGGCGTTCATTGCCATGATGTCTTAACAGCATTGTCATGGAATTGTGTATGAGCTTTGTATTAGTAAATTCTGAGACTTTCCTGATGATACTGAATGATACAATTTGGAAAAAAAAATTATTATCACCCTTCTTCTGATGACTTATAATTCATATTAATTGAAATAATTATGTCTTCACACATTTCTGAAACTCTTATTTCAGCCCCAGGCCAACACAGTAGGATAATGGGTATGCAAGGGTTAAAAAACAGAAAAACTGGGTTGTCCTCCCAAAGCATTGCAGGATGAAGGATTATTTGAACCGGCTTATTTTCTCTATAGTCAGGAAACTCTAAACAATTTGCTTGATAATACATTTTTTAATATTACATGTAAAATATTACATTTTAAAAAAATACAACATTAATCATCTGTTAATTACATGTGATTTTCGATGTTATGTACATAAAAAGAAAGTACTAGCCCTATGCTTCTACCCCCTACTCCAAAGCAGCTGGAAAGTAATATTGTTCAGTGCTGATATGGATGCAGAGAAATGGGTTTTCGTGGATTGCCAGTGAGGGTGTAAATTACTAGAGCCCTTTGGAAAAATGTCTATTATCATATTGAAATGCCAAGAAATATGAATATAAACTTAAAAATTTGAGCAATCCTTATATGAAATCCCAATATGTTTACAAAGGTAGATGCTGCTAGTTATTACTCATTGTAATGTGGGACTAAATAAATAAATGTTCCTTAAGATGGAAAGGACAATCAATTTGGCAAAAGCATATTATTGAATATTATGAAATTCCCAAAAAATATGAGTTAGATATTTACACACTAGCTCACTGGAATGACTACTACATGTTGATGAGGAAGAAAATAGAGTTTAATGTGTGTAGTATACAGATTAATCATATTTTTATAAATACTATCTTTAACTAAATCTTTACTATGAGTATATATGTATATGGGAGCATGGGAAACATGGTTCAGGGCTCTATTTCACGATGTTATTATGAGTGCCCTTGAGATACATTTTTAAAAACCAGGAAAATGAAACATACACTAGTATTTTATTCCTAGCTTAAACTCTCCTCTGTAATAGAAATAGAAAGAACAATTGTCTCACATTCCTTACGGAAGATGTTTACCATTCTCCCTGAGCTTCTGATCCACTCCTGTCTCTTGCATAGCAATGATAGTGCCTCCTAATTCAGAGAAAATATAAAAGCCCCAGCTTAGGGAATTCATCACCTTTCTACCCACCAATGTACAAAGTTGTCCATATTCATTTCCAATCTTTTCATCTATTCCAGGCTGTCTTCTCCCCACTCAAAGCTATTGTCTACTTCTGCGCACCCTGGGTTCTTCTCCCATCCCCTTTCTCCTTGATTTTAACATTTACATCTCTACCCAACTCTTCCCTTCACACTGTAAACATGCATAATCCTTCTCCTCTTAAAAACAAGACCAAGAAACAAAACAAAACAAAACAAAACACATTACTTCCTTTAATCTTGTGTTCCCCTGTTGGGGTGTTATGAAAATTATTGAATAATCAGTATGGCACCATGTGTACAAGAGCCTGAGTAAGGGCCTGAAGCACCTATAGAGCTATGAGTGTCCTTTTAGTTACTGGATCCTGGGGATGTCACTGAGTTCTGTGGAGCATCCAGGGCAGCTGGGATGGCAGGGGGCATTGGGAAAACTTGGGACAGTGGCTGTCTACCATGTTTTCTATTGTCATTAATATCCAAACTTTCAGTTTCATCCACAGTTTATCACTGAAATGTTTTTCCTTTGAAGTATCAACTGATCCTCTAATTGCAGAAATGACAGTCAACTCTTAAATATGCCTGATGATTGGGCTCTCTGCTCCATTTGTCACTTTACCGTCGAATGCATTCTATCCCTTTGGAACGTTGTTCTCTCCATTTTCATCTACGACATCTGCTGCTCTGCTTCAGTGATTCGAAGGTCTCATCTTCAGTTTTCTGGACTTCTGATTCTGAAAACACCCCCTGGATGACCCCCACCCAGGTCATTTTTTACCAATCACCATGACATCCAAATTCATGGCTTTCTCTCTCATTTCTCTCTTGAGATTCAGACTTTCAATCCTGGCATTCCTCCTCAGCCATATTAGAGCCAGCTTCCACTTTGCAGTGAAGGCAACTGGAGCTCAGAATATGAGTATGACATAATAATTTTCTAACTTCAAAAAAGTTATTACCATGAAATACTATGTAACAGAGTTAGACATGTTGAAAGTTAAATGACAGCAGAAGTTACACAAAATTTACCAAAACACAACTCCGTGTGGTATTTCATAGCTAAGGTACTAGAAATGCAACAGACTAGGGCCTCTTTGTGGTTATTGACATGATATTTTTGTTTTTTCCTTCCTTTTTTGTTAATTTAATGTTTCCCCTGTGGCCTAAAAGACTAATGAAGCTTCTTAAGTTCCTGCAGCAGTCCCAGACTGTAACTTAGGCACAAGAAGCTGGGTCATTAAGCTAAAGGTCTCTGGATGAGCATCATCTCTAACAAGCATAAAGGTGATTTTGACCCATATTGTCATTCAGGGAGTAACTTTCCTCATTCCCAATAATAAAACCATAATTGAGTTTCACAGATGAAAGGCAATCAGATCAAAAAGTTTTTGGTTAATTTTGATTTCCTGTACAATGAGATCTTGACAAGGTCCTTTGAAAACAGAGATCTCTAAAATTTTTTAATAAAAGAAAATTAAAAATAGGTGTTTCTAATAGTAATTTAGATATTCATTTGATTTATCAGAAAGTTACTGGTGAACACAATTTAGAAAATTTTAATTTGTCTTGGGAGTAAAAGATATATGTATATTTCTCTTATATATTTAAATATAAATTTGACTCAATATATAAATATAAATATATATATTGAAATGTTAAATTATCATATATCTTACTTTTAATTTCTGATATAAGTACTTTCAAAAACCCCTGATTATTCAAAACCTCCAAATTATTCAATTTGGCAAAAACAATTTAGCAAATAATTTGGCCAAATTATTATAAGAAACCAAAAATTTAACTGCTATATAGAATGGGAACAGATTTCTTATTTGAGCATAATAATGCTTTTAAAGTTTTAAAAAATATATTTTAAAAAACATTTAAATATATTTAAAGTAGTAAATAAAATATTTTGAGTCTGAATAATTTGTCCCAGTCAGGGACTGGGATTAATTAAAACTAAGAATTCTGAAGGAAGTGAGTGTAAATATGATGGTAAATGTGAACAGAAAAGGTATTTTCTTAAACATAAAGTGAACTTCAAAATATATGTCATATGATATTTAAAAGTGCATTAAAATTTGCCTAAAGATTGAATTCACATTTATATTATGAAATAAATTTATGATTAATGAGCACCCATGATTTTATGAATATACTTATATCAAAAAGAGCTAATCTATAGATCACTCAGTATATATTCATAATTGAAATATTAATAGTAATATGAAGTGCTATATTTTAAGCAGAACAGATATTTTTTACATATATGGCCAGAGGTAAACCAACATTGCCACCAAATCTAAATGTATGCTCCTGTCTCTGAAATACAGCAAGAAAATTTGCTGTACTGCAGATGAAGAAAGGGTTCATAAATTTAATATAAAACATCAGCAAATGAAAACTGAAAAGTTTAAATGAAAAGGAATGGAGGTCAAAACTATTAAAAAGTAATGACTTTCTGAAAAATAATTATTTTAATGTCGATATTTATGATATCAACCTCCTATATAATATCACTATTCAATAGTTTCTAATTACAACATTTAGAGTATTTATTGTCAAAATTTTTCTGAGTACATAGTGACATACAATATTTAAATTTATTCTTAGTGCTCAGTGTTTTCTTCTGTGATCATTCCCCCACACTATCACTTTAAATGCATTTATTTTTATCTTTAAATAAACTACAAAGCAGAGTAACCATGGCAGGTCAAGACATTAGTAAATGGTGTGGTTAAAGAACTGTAAAGTTCTAGTTCTAAAAGATTTATAATGACTCAGTTTTCCTCCTCCTAATGGATTTAGCTAATTTTCTTTTTTTTTATTATTATACTTTAACTTCTAGGGTACACGTGCAGAATGTGCAGTTTTGTTACATAGGTATACACGTACCATGGTGGTTCGCTGTACCCATCAACCTGTCATCTACATTAGGTATTTCTCCTAATGCTGTCCCTCCCCCACCCCCATCCCCCACCCACCAACAGGCCCCGGTGTGTGATGTTCCCCTCCCTGTGTCCATGTGTTCTCATTGTTCAACTCCCACTTATGTGTGAGAACATGTGGTGTTTGGTTTTCTGTTCTTGTGTTAGTTTGCTGAGAATGATGGTTTCCCACTTCATCCATGTCCCTGCAAAGGACATGAACTCATCCTCTTTATGGCTGCATAGTATTCCATGGCATATATGTGCCACATTGTCTTTATCCAGTCTATCATTGAAGGGCATTTGGATTGGTTCCAGTTTTTGCTATTGTGAATAGTGCTGCAATAAACATACGTATGCATGTATCTTTAGAGTAGCATGATTTATAACCCTTTAGGTGTATACCCAGTAATGAGATCGCTGGGTCAAATGGTATTTCCGGTACTAGATCCTTGAGGAATTGCCACACTGTCTTCCACAATGGTTGAACTAATTAACACTCCCACCAACAGTGTAAAAGCATTCCTATTTCTCCACATCCTCTCCAGCATCTGTTGTTTCCTGACTTTTTAATGATTGCCATTCTAACTGGCATAAGATGGTATCTCATTGTGGTTTTGGTTTGCATTTCTCTAATGACCAGTGATGATGAGCTTTTTTTCATATGTTCATTGGCCGCATAAAGGTCTTCTTTTGAGAAATGCCTGTTCATATCCTTCGCCCACTTTTTGGTGGGGTTGTTTTCTTGTAAATTTGTTTAAGTTCTTTGTAGGTTCTGGATATCAGCCGTTTGTCAGATGAGTAGATTGCAAAAATTTTCTCCCATTCTGTAGGTTGCCTGTTCACTCTGATGATAGTTTCCTTTGCTGTGCAGAAGCTCTTTAGTTTAGTTAGATCCCATTTGTCAATTTTGGCTTTTGTTGCCATTACTTTTGGTGGTTTAGTCATGAAGTCTTTGCCCATGCCTATGTCCTCAATGGTATTGCCTAGGTTTTCTTCTAAGATTTTTATGGTTTTAGGTCTTAGGTTTAAGTCTTTAATTCATCTTGAGTTTATTTTTGTATAAGGTGTAAGGAAGGGGTCCAGTTTCAGTTTTTTGCATATGGCTAGCCAGTTTTCCTAACACCATTTATTAAATAGAGAATCCTTTCCCCATTTCTTGTTTTTGTCAGTTTTGTCAAAGATCAGATGGTTGTAGATGTGTGGTGTTATGTCTGAGGCCTCTGTTCTGTTCCGTTGGTCTATATGTCTGTTTTGGTACCAGCACCATGCTGTTTTGGTTACTGTAGCCTTGTAGTATAGTTTGAAGTCAGGTAGTGTGATGCCTCCAGCTTTGTTCTTTTTGATTAGGATTGTCTTGGCTATGCAGGCTTTTTTGGTTCCATAATAAATTTAAAGTAGTTTTTTCCAATTCTGCGAAGAAAGTCAATGGTAGCTCGATGGGGATAGCATTGAATCTATAAATTACTTTGGGCAATATGGCCATTTTCACAATATTGATTCTTCCTATCCATGAGCATGGAATGTATTTCCTTATGTATGTCTTCTCTTATTTCCTTGAGCAGTGGTTTGTAGTTCTCCTTGAAGAGGCCCTTCACATCCCTTATAAGTTGTGTTCCTAGGTATTTTATTCTCTTTTTAGCAATTGTGAATGGGAGTTCACTCATGATTTGGCTCTCTGTTTGTTTGTTATTGGTGTATAGGAATGCTTGTGAATTTTGCACATTGATTTTGAATCCTGAGACTTTGCTGAAGTTGCTTATCAGCTTAAGGAGATTTTGGGCTGAGATGATGGGATTTTCTAAATATATACTCATGTCATCTGCAAACAGGGACAATTTGACTTCCTCTTTTCCTAATTGAGTACCCTTTATTTCTTTCTCTTGCCTGATTGGCCTGGCCAGAACTTCCAACACTATGTTGAATAGGAGTGGTGAGAAGGGCTTGTGCCAGTTTTCAAAGGGAATGCTTCCAGTTTTTGCCCATTCAGTGTGATATTGGCTGTGGGTTTGTCATAAATAGCTCTTATTTTGAGATACATTCCATCGATACCTAGTTTATTAAGAGTTTTTAGCATCAAGGGGTGTTGAATTTTGTTGAAGGCCTTTTCTGCATCTATTGAGATAATCATGTGGTTTTTGTCATTGGTTCTGTTTATGTGATGGATTCCATATATTGATTTGCGTGTGTTGAACCAGCCTTGCATCCCAGGGATGAAGCCGACTTGATCGTGGTAGATAAGCTTTTTGATATGCTGCTGGATTCGGTTTGCCAGTATTTTATTGAAGATTTTTGCACTGATGTTCATCAGGGATATTGGACCAAGCAGACCTAATAGACATCTACAGAACTCTCCACTCCAAATCAACAGAATATACATTCTTCTCAGCACCTCATCATACTTATTATAAAATTGGCCACATCATTGGAAGTAAAACACTCCTCAGCAAATGCAAAAGAACAGAAATCATAACAACAGTCTCTCAGACCACAGTGCAATCAAATTAGAATTCAGGATTAAGAAACTCACTCAAAACTGCACAACTACATGGAAGCTGAACAACCTGCTAATTTTCTTTACTTAATATATTTTTAGTTTTCTAAGAAGGCAAGCTGGATTTTTTTTCAAACTTTTAGGATTAGTAATATATTAGTCATCATTCTCCAGAACCAACACTATATAATTAGCAATGGAAAAAGTTAGGTGTGCATTTTTACCTATGTATTTCAATATAATTTCAAATTTATAGAAAATTTTCAAAAATTGTACAGACTCTAGACACAAATATAACTTTTGCCAAGTGTGATGGTTAATACTGAGTGTCAACTTGATTGGATTGAGGGATACAAAATATTAATTCTGGGTGTGTCTGTGTGGGTGTTGCCAAAAGAGATTAACATTTGAGTCAGTGGGCTGGGGAAGGCAGATCCACCCTTAATCTAGTGGGCACAATCTAATCAGCTTCCAGGGAATATAAAGCAGACAGAAAAACGTGAAAATGAGAGATGGTCCTAGCCTCCCAGCCTGCATCTTTCTCCCATTCTGGATGCTTCCTGCCCTGGAACAGCAGACTCCAAGTTTTGGGATTCACTCAGACTGGCTCTCCTTGCTCCTCAGCTTGCAGACAGCCTATTATGGGGCCTTGTGATTGTGTAAATTATATATATATATATATATATGGGAGTTTATTTTTTATATATATATTTATATCTCCTGTTACTTATGCCCCTCTAAGAGAACCCTAATACACCAAGATAAACTAATTATTTACATTTTGCTCTATTTACTTTGCTCTATTTACTCATTCTTTCTCACTCTCCCACGTACACTCCAGTGTATATATTGTTTCCTAAGAACAAGGAAATTTTCATATTCAATCACACAATAATTATCAAAATCAATAAATTTAATATTAACATAAATCATTCTCATTATGTCCTCAATAGTTTTTCCCAGTATAGGATCCAATCTTGGATCCGGTCCATGATCCTGCATTTTGTTGCCTTACTATCATATTGCTTTAGTCTCTAATATGAAGTAAGTCTTTTTTCTGCTCTTATTTGTCATTCTTCCCCTTAAAATTTTCAAAGAGAAAAGCCTACTTCTTTTTGGAATCTCCTTCATATTTAGTTTCCCATTGGAAACGATGATGATAATGATGCCTGCCCCTTATCAAAATATTACCCATTAGTGGTAGCACATATTGATCATTCTTGGCTGAGGCAATTATTATTATTATACCTACAATTTAGTGACTTTCTAACCTCTTCTTTTTTTCTACATATTTTGTTGATATTCTATTGCAAGAAGAACTTCCTTTCTCTCTCATTTATTCATTTCCTTATATCAGTTTGGGTTCATAGATTCCTACTTTATTAAACACATTATGATCTTTTACTGTAGTTACTCATTTCTGATACTCAAATTGTGCCGGGTGTGTACATTTGGAGCCTCTTCAGTTTGGCCCTTAGGTGCTTTCCACCTGTATCTGACATTCTTTGAGAAACCATTTACTTTCTGGAAAAAAATATTCTAGGTAGATGTTGTAGTTTACCTACCTAGGCCCTGGAACCATCCATTTATCCAAGGAGTCCTCATTATTTTTATTGGAGAATGATATTTGAAAACCAGGATCTGTGAGATAGTTATGATCATTGCAATCAATATGACATTGCTGCTAGGTACTGTTAAAAAGTAGAACACGGAAGTATTTGTGTGTGTGTATCTGTGTGTCTCTATCTATCTTCCCACCTACCTACCTACCTATCTATATTGGAAGAACATTAATATTATAGTTCCAATTCCAGTCCAATAAAACAAAGTTAAAATTTGTCTTTCCCTTTTCCATATTAGTACACATTCTCTAACAGTTAGGAATAGCTCCTCCTATCATCCTCAATATATTCATTCATTTGATTGCAACTAAAGTGCCAGAAAATAGTTTCAGGATTGCTATCCCACACCACTACAAAATAAAAAAAATCTATTAACTGTTCATTACTTGTTAATATGTCATTATTTGTATATTATATGTCACTAACAGTCACCCCTCATACACAGTTATTGTGTATGTATGAGGGGTGAGTGTGAGTAGTGATATACAGTGAAATGCACAAACCTTAAATGCACCATTCAATGAGTTTTTGAAAATGCACACTCCAATAATCTATAAAGATAAGAAACATTAAGGTAATCTGAGAAAGTTATCTTTCCACTCTACACAAAGCACCAATGTTCTGATTTGTGCACCACTAGATTTCAATATTAAGTACTTCATGTAAATGGAATCGTATGTTGGCTTATTTCACTCAGCATAATGCTTTTGCTATTCAGCCATGTTGTTGCATGTATCACTAGTTTGTTTCTTTCTATTATATTCAGAACTCATTGTGTAAATACACCAGTTAGGTTACCTTTTCTGCTGTTGATGGATATTTCCATTTTACCATGTTGGGCTATTTTGAATAATGATGCTGTGAGTACGTATAAACAAGTCTTTATATGGATATATTTTAATTTATCTCGGGTAAATATCTAGTGATATATTGCCAAGTTAATGAGTAAGGGTTGTGTATAACTATAATAAAGTGTCAAAAACACATTCCAAAGTGATTATATCATTCTAAACTTCAATCAATATAGGAGTTATTCTATATGCTCAGTAAGAATCAGTTTAAGTCTTTAATTTCAGCTGATTTAATTTATGTGGCATGATATCTCATTGCAGTCTTGATTTACATTTCCATGATAACTAATAACTGAGCTATGGTCTTGATTTACATTTCCATGATGACTAACAACTGAGCAATCTGTATATGCTAACTGCCATTTCATATTTCATATATCTTCCTTTATGATCTAAGTGTCTATTCATGTCCTTTGTTCTTCTATTTGTTTGTCTTTTAATAATTAAACTGTAGGAGTTCTTTATATATTCTAGACCAGCCTTTGCCCAATATAGATTTTATGCATATTTGTTCTAATTTGTGCCTGTGTGCATATTATAAGTGTCTTTTCATGAGAATACTTTTCATTTGGATGCAGTTTACATAGCATTTTTAATGTTTTGGTTATTCTTTACTGTGCTGTAAGTCGAGAAGATATATTTTTGTATTCTTTTAAAAGCTTTACAGGTTTTATACTTTTTAAAATAATTTCTATCAATACATAATAGTTGTATATATTTATGGGATACACCTGATATGTTGATATAAACACACAATGTGTAATGATCACATCAGGGTAATTGGGATATCTACCACCACAAGCATTTATCATTTATTTGGTTAGAAACATTCCAATTCCACTATTTTAGTTATTTTGAAATATAGATTTATTGTTACTTATAGTCACCCTATTATGCCACCAAACACTAGATCTTACTTTGTCTATCTAACTACATGTTTCTACCCATTCAACAACTGCTCTTTATTTCCCCCTCCCCACTCCCCTTTCTTGCCTCTGGTAACCATCTTTCCACTCTTAGATTTTGTATTTATGTTTAAGTCTATGATTCATCATGAATTGATTTGTATGTATGGTGTGACATGCACACACATACACACACAAAGACACATTCAATTGAACAGTGTTTTTAAATCATTTATTAACAGTGCTTTCCTTTACCAACTGAATTGCTTTGGCAACTTTGCTAAAAGTTCATTGAACTTACTTTTTTGCTTTAGTGATCTATCTGTCTATTCTCGTGTCAGTTCCATACACTACTGAATACTCTGGCTTTAATTTAAACTTTGATGTCAAATAGTGTAAATGCTCCAATTATAGGCATCATTTTCAAGATTGTTTTGCTTATTCTGTCTTCTATATGTCCATATAGATTTTTAAATACTTTGTCATTTAATATAAAACAGCCTCTTGAGATTTTGGTATTTCACTGAAAACATACATTAATTTAGGGGAGAATTCACCTCTTAACAATACATAATGTTCCCCAACTTATGATATCTCAACTTATGATTTTATGATGGTATAAAAGCAATATGCATTCAATAGAAACTGTATTTCAAATTTCCACTTTGCACTCTTGATAGATGATAGATAGATATTTAGAGAGATAGAGACAGATACTGATATTCCACCTCTGTTCTTCCAATGTAAACATATTTACGTTTAAGTGCTTGAACATATTTAATATGACTGCTTGAAAGTCTTTATCTGCTAAATGCAACATGTAGACATCTCAAGTTTATGATTTATTTAATATTAACTGCCTTTTAATTTTACTTTTGGTCCTGTTTCTCATATTTCCTTGCATGTATATTTTTTATTATTTTCAACTGAAGTTTGTGGACATGTATTAAACTCTGGATTCTGTTATCTTCCTCTGAAGAATGTTATTTTTAGTTAACTCATCTGGACTAACTTCACAATCTGTCTCACTTGTGGTAGCCAGCATCTAGACTTACTACTTGGTTCTTTTAGCCTGCCAGTTATGTTGCTTCGGAATGTTTGGAGCCTCCCTCATGTAAGTACTGTTGAGGAGTGAACCAAAGATTTGAGAACAGTTTATACATGCAGAGTTTTAGGGGGACACAAACATTCACAGCATCACTGCTACAAAGTGTATTCCTCCCTTGAAGATCCAACACAATTACAATGATAAGAAAAAAGGGAATATTGTTTATACTATATCCCCCATCTTTACTCTCCTCCTGTATGTATCTTTTCATGAAGATCCAATAAGCCCTAGTTCAAGTTCTATCAATTAAAACAAATATTTCACTTTTCTAAACTTTTAACATATTTGTTTGCCATGTTATCCATTTTGGAAGAAGATTGCATACTATTTTTTACTTTGTTAAAAATGTTTTATATAGGTATCATTTATTTATCCAGTATATTTTTCATATCCTTAAAGGAAAGCCTTTATCTTATACTGCTTTTGTGCTTTTGGATTATTTGAAAAAAATTAATTCATTGTCAGAGCTATGACTACATTGTAAAGTCCAAGTGTAACTGAATTGGGAGAACACAGAGTGGGATTTCCCGCATGTCCTTCTCAAACTACAAGTGAAGAGCAAGCATAAAATATATAGACACCTATAAATTAGAAGTTATTCATGTTACAGTCAACTATAAGCCATCAATCATCAACTTGAGCTGCTTTAGAGCACTTGAGTCCCTGATTCATTTGTCAAAAAAAGACAGACAGACAGACAATGAAACCTGGATGTTGATGAATTTCCATGGACTTTCTTTGCTCTTTGGAAGGATGGCGGGATGGACTTTAATTTGCTTCACTTTTGTCTGAAGCTATACATATAGAAAAGAGACAAAATCAGGATGAGATAAGAAATAAAGCATAAATTTCACACCTGAACATACTTTGTGAATATCCTCAGTAAGCAAGTTAAATCAACATTTAGAATTCCAAGATAATATTAACATTCTTTGTGAAAGCTTTTTATTTTACTAGGAAAAATAGACAATTTTACAATTAAAAATATGTTCTATTTTGCATGTGTATGACACATTATACCTTGATTCTTACTTTAGTTCAAATTTTTTGCACATTTAAAAACCTCAAGCCAGATTCTACTCATAGTTACAGATACAGAAATCCTATAAAAAAACAATAAATTGATTCTATCAATATATAAAAAGGATCATATGTAATGTCTAAGTTGGATTTGGAGTTTTGATGATTAGTTAGCATCATCAGTTTAATAATCATATGAATAGATTAGAAGAAATCACATTATGTCTTCTAATAGTTTGAGAAAATCCATATGATAAAATTCAATATCCATTCATTAAAAAATTCTTAGCAAACTAAAAATAGAGGGAAACTCCCTTTATCTGACATAATATATACCAAACCTACAGAAAACCTCACACTTATTGATGAATAACTAAACTATCACTTTAATTTAGAATCATCATCAGAAGAAATATCTCCACTTTTATTCAACATTGTAGAAGTTTTAATCAAAGCAACAGAACAAGAAAATAAATCAATGTATAAGGATTGAAAAAAATGGGGAAAAGTCTTTTTCCCAGACAATAGAATAATATACAAAGGAATGTAAAATAAACATCTAGGACTAATTAAGTTATTTAACAAGGTTGCTGGATATAAATTTGACATACGTTATTAAATTGCTTTCCTATTTATAAACAACATTATGAAAACAAAGTTTCAATAAATTGCGATAGCATCAGTGAATATCAATTTAGATATTCTGGGAATAACTAAATAGATGTGTGAGATATCGCCAAGAAAATTACAAAATATTACTGAGAAGCGTTAAAGGCAGTTAACTAACAAGGCTACATACTATGTTCATTGTTTAAAAGTTGAAACATTACAAAAATATGAATGGAATGTTATCCCACCCAAAACCATAACAAATTTCATATAATTTGACAACATAATTTAAAAATTTATCTGAAAGTACATTCTTGAAGAATAAAGCTCAGCTAGACTTGCAGACTTATAATAAACCTCTAGTAATAACAAACTATGGTAGTAGCACAATGACGACGACAGGCCCATACACAAAAGGAAAAGAATAATATGCTCAAAGATAGACCAATTTATTTATGGACATTTGACAAATGAGATATTAGCACTGCAGAGTAGTGGGGGGAGAAAAGCTTTGCAGAAAATGATGTGGGGCCAAGTGGAAATCAATTTAAATAGAAAATAAACTAAATGGGACTTGCATGGCCCTGTGTTTAAAATTCAATTCTAGGTCTCTTTGTGAAAAGCATGCCCATAAGGCTATGCGAAAATAATTAACAGCATATTTTTATTTCCTGGGGCAAAGACTAAATTTTAAAGCCCCCCCAAAGCACAAATAATAAAGTAAATGATTGATAAATTCCACTATATAAATACTGACAACATTAGTGCATCACAGACACCATGAAAATGGTGCAAATGCAAACCATAATGTAAGAGAATATATTTTTAAAAAATATAACTAAATAGGGACTCTAAAAACAAAAATACCACCACCACCACCAACAACGACAATGACAAACTCTTACCAATAATAAGATAAAGACAGGACTACCTAAATGAAAAATGGGCAAAATATTCAAGCAAATGCTTTATAAAGAGGGAAGGCAAATATCAATAAATTTTAGTAATAAGGGAAATATAAATTAAAATAAGTAAAATATAACGACAAACTCACTGCAAGGTTAAAAAATTTACAGTCTGACAATACTATGTGTTGCTGAGGATGTGGAGATGTCATCTCATATCATGAGCATATAAATTGATACAACCATATCAAATGGCAGTGTGACATTATCTAGTAAATCTGAGAGTATGCAAAACTTATAATCCAGCAGTTTCTCTCCTCAGTGTGCACTGTAGGAAAACATAAGCACGTGCAACAATTATATACAGGCAGCTCTCCATAATATTATTCTGAATAGCCCCAATGTGAAAACACTCAAATATCCATCAGCAATAGAATAGCTCAATAAATTGTTATATTCATAAAATATTCAGCAATTAAAATGAATAAATCACAGCTGTATACAATAATATAGATGGATTTTACAAACAAAATAGATGCCAGACACAAAATAATCCATATAGTATGGTAGCTGTTCAAAACTAGGCAAAACTCTGCTATTTAAGAAAGCATACGGCCGGGCATGGTGGCTCACACCTGTAATCCCAGCACTTTGGGAGGCTGAGGCAGGCGAGTCACAAGGTCAGGAGTTCAAGACCAGCCTGGCCAACATGGTGAAACCTCGTCTCTACTAAAAATACAAAAAATTAGCTGGGTGTGGTGGTGGGTGCCTGTAATCCCAGCTACTCGGAAGGCTGAGGCAGGAGAATCACTTGAACCTGGGAGGCGGAGGTTGCAGTGAGCCAAGATTGTTCCACTGCACTCCAGCCCAGCCTAGCCTACAGTGCGAGACCCCGTCAAAAAAAAAAAAAAGCATATTACTTTTTTTTAATGAAAAGAAATGATTCTCAGTTAAGTCAGGATATTGGTTACATCTGGGAGGAAACAAGAGTTTGCAATCTGGTAATACGCCCATGTTTCTAGATGGCGATGTTTCATTGCACTGTCTTCTAACTTGATGATGTTTACATAATGTTCACTTTATATGCATCCATTAAATGGCGCATATATATTTTACACTATGTGTCATATTTAACCATTGGAAAAAAATGTAAATTGAAAAAATCTTCCGATGACTATCTTCAAGACTTAGTTCCAACACATGAAGATTGACTCAACTCATTCAAGTAAAATTAGTTGTGTCCTCTTTGACTCTAAAACATCCTGTATTTATATATCTTATAATGCTGGCTTTGTCTTATTACGGTTTTACATGTTACTGCCCCCTGCACTGAGTTATTGACCCTCAAGGGCTGGGACTACATCTTTCCCAGTTTTGTTTCTGCAGGGCCTAACACAGAACTTAGTACTTGGTGGTGCTAAAATATCTTTTAATCAATGCTCGATCTCACCATGGCTATCTCCACCAGTCCAATGAGACCCAGCGTTTCATTTTTTGTATATATCATATTTTTCTCCGTTGAACACCAAAAGAAAACTATGCAGCATGGCTTCTCTACACAAAGCTAAATTTAAATAATCTTAGAACTAGAACATTTACATAATTGTAGCTATGATCACGTTTATGTAATATTGGGTCTTTTTAATAATGTCAGCTATGTATAACAATTATTATCATTGTTCATAATAAATAGAGATAAAAACTTGGGTGTTATTTGCTAACAGTGAAGGCTGATGAAATATTTGTCCCAGTCTGATTTGGTGGAAGTGGATATAGCCCAGCAGTTGTGATATACAGGCCCCTGGACATTCTGGTAAACAAAAATAAACAAAGGAATTACAGTTCTTAGGAGGAAAAAATATGGTGCTTGTTTTCAAATCTCTTTGTACCAACGGCAACTTAGAATAAACAACATATACATGTCTTAGATCATATGTGGTAGGTAATGCTGTTCCCCAGATGCCAGTTTCCAGGACAAGAGTGCACTTTTATCCCAATAATTTATTCCAATAATCAGACTATTAAAACACCCTTTTAGGTGAAATTTTTCTTAATGTTTCATAAACTACAAAAATATATACGACAACAAAATATTAGTACCCTGGCCAGGATTAGAAACACAAAAATCCAATTACAGTTGTTGTTTTTTTTTTCAAGAAAAAAAAGGAAAGAAAAAATATGTGAACAGTTTACATAAACCAGGAAAAAGCTAATCATAAAGAAATAAAAAAAATGTATAAAAAGTTCTTTATCACACAAGGTATGTTAAAGGAATGGGGGATATTGCAGAATTTTATTTTGGGGTGGCTTAGGGCTGACATTGACCAGTCCACAGTCCTATTAGTTGTGGTCCTCTATGGTTTAATTAAACGCTTCCAGAAAATAAAAGTGAAGCCTTTCATCTTGACCCTTTTTCAACTTTTCTCCTCTAAGACACTTTAAAAAAAAAAAACCACAATTATTATAGAACCCATCAGTTTGTATTTGATCTCTATTTTTTTCCCAAAAATACATCTCGACTTCCCACGCATTATTTCCTAATTCCAAAAATGGGTATCATGGATTGTTAAGCATGCACTTAACACTAAACAGGTTGACTGTTCTGGGAAAGATCTCGCATACTTAATTACCATTTTATTTCATCCGGTACAAGAATGCCATCTACAGACATGACTGCGCATTTCCATGAGCTTCTCTGAAAGAACTGAAAATAAATGCTATAAGGAAGGATTCCAAAAAATGTAGCTATTATCCTGATTCTTTTGTAACATTTGTTCTTTTTTGGACTAAAATAAGTTTGAAGAACAATTCATTCCCATTATGTACCATGAAAATGTTCTGTGCAATCCATGCATTTATAATCCAAGAGAGTTCTAATCCCTGTCGAAAGACAGAACAATATGTTGAGAGCTGGCATTGCATTTTGGTGTTTTGGAGAAATCACAAAATAAAATGGACTAGGTATATGATATGGGCATTCCTACAAAGTGTTTAAAATGAAGCTAAAATTCAGAATTAACACCGATGAAATAATTTAAATTACTTCCTAAGTTGCAATAATAGACTTCCAGAACAAAAATTGTTTATACTGGAGAGATGGAAAAAGAAAAATACATGTTCTTAGTACAGACACTTGACATCTTTTTTCCTTTAACTCTCACGCCTTCTCACTTGTGAGGCAAGTTTTAACTGAGCCATACGCAGGTTAATTAATTTACCAAGTCCACACTGCTAAGAAGTGATAGGGTGAAGATTCAGACATGTGATCACTAACCTCAAGTCTAATCCACTTTCCATTGTACTAAAGCCATAAATCTCAAGGGAAATCCTTCACAGCTTTAAAAATGGGGAAGGGGATTTGATACTCTCACTGTTCTAGGGAAACTTGCAAAAAGTGTCTTCTATGTAGCTTTAAAATACACATTATTACACACCAACTGCTAAGCCCTGCTGCACCGGATGTTTTTCTTGCAAAGACATACTATAAATAAAAACTGTAATAAAATATGATCCAGGAAACAGCTGGATGCTGGGATAAAAACACATAAATGACTAAGTAGTAAATTACCTTTCACTTGATTTCAATGCTGGGTGAATTCATCCTTTCTTAAACTAGACAAAATAGGAAACAGCAATGAGTGACCCCAACTGAGTGCATCCTTTCCCTCCCTGAAAGCAAATCCATCACATTCTTCCTGTGATGCTTCCCTACGGAAGTACCATCTCCTTGAAAGAAAGAAGCAAAACCTAGAATTCTCCAATTGCCATTCTTTTATGCATTCACTCAACAATACTTTCCAGTGCCCACCTTGAGTATCACAGGTAGACAGTATACAATTTTGGAAAAAACAAACACAATACTTGCACATGAAGAGCTTACAGTAGCAGAACGGTGAGGGGTTGGGAGGCAGGGCAGTCAACATGCAAATAAATTACACACAGTAAATCATCATTAAATATTTATTAAATGAAGCCTGTCCTTGCTAACCTAGGCCTTACTGATCTCTCCCTCTCATCTTTCTGAGGATCAGAACACTTAAAATTTTGTAATATTATCTAGCTAGGTAAGCTTCCCAGGGAATGGAACAATATGTTATACTCCTTTGCTCTCCTAACATAACCAAATACAATATATCAGCAAGCACAGTGTTTCATGATGTTCCAGGGGAAGTAGAGGAAGTGGGAGGGAGGAGTGGCATGAGGGAAGGAAGAAGAAGTAGACAAACAAAGAAGGAAGTGGAGAAAGAGGTGGTTTCATTTGAATTACTTGCTTTTAGGAAAAATAAAATATGTCTAACTCATGAAAAAATGAATTTTATGTACGTGGAAACTAAACTGAAATGGTAGAAAAACACAGATCTAGACAGAAGCACTGTTTTAGTCTTAAGTGAGAAACTGAGTCTCATTTATGGTGTGGAGGCACCGGAGGAGCCGGAGCTGAGCCTGGTGGTGTCATTGACAGCAGCTGGAGGGAGGATACATCACATCATGCTCACTAAGGAATCATAATGTCCAGATTTTCATTTCTTTGAGTCAGATGATTTATGTGCCTGTGGAGCAGCACACTACCACACCATCGATATCATTATTTTGTGGATACAATGCTATAAAAATACAAATGTTAGAAGAATTCAAGGAAAGAGAGGAAAATAGAGGAGTAAACAGTATAAATTGCTTTGCCTCACTTATCCACCAAGAGCAATGCGTGCTCTGGTTGGCTGTGGTCTCTGACTTTACTTTGTCTTCCAGGCTGGAGTGCAGTGGTGCAATCATGGCTCACTACAGTCTCGACCTCCTGGGTTCAGGACTCCTGAGTAGCTGGGACTACAGGTGTGCACCACCAGGACTGGCTAATTTTTCATATTTTTGTTGTAGAGATGGAGTTTCACTGCATTGCCCAGGCTAGTTTCAAATTCCTGGCTTCAAGTGATCCTCCCGCTTTGGCCTCCCAAAATGCTGGGATTAGAGGTGTGAGCCACCACATTCAGCTTCTTTCTTTAATGAAGGTAGTAGCCTTCCTAGTCATTCTATTGCAGGCTTATTGGTCTTGTAAAATTAGCATTGAAAACAATGGTTAATTTCCACATTCAGACTCATACAGTTCTTTAAACAATTGGAATGCAAGTTATGTCTATAATGTTCTTGAAATATTCCAAATGGCCCAGAGAAACTTGACCGCAGGTGTTTGCTACCCTCATATATAACAGCATTCAGTTAAAAAATTAAGTTGTGGCTGGGTGCGGTGGCTCATGCTGGTAATCCCAGCACTTCGGGAGGCTGAGGTGGGCGGATCACCTGAGGTCAGGAGTTCAAGACCAGCCTGGCTAACATGGTGAAACCCCATCTCTATAAAAAATATGAAAATTAGCCGGGCGTGGTGGCGGGTGCCTGTAATCCCAGCTACTCAGGAGGCTGAAACAGGAGAATCACTTGAACCCGGGAGGCGGAGGTATCAGTGAGCTGAGATTGCGCCATTGCACTCCAGCCTGGGTGACAAGAGTGAAACTCCATTTCAAAAAAAAAAAAAAAAGTTGCAGTAGAATACATATAATCAAAAGCTACTGAATTCCACTAAGAACTTGCAAATGAATTTTAATATCCTGCTTGTAAAACTACTGAATATTATGGTCTTAGGTTCCTTTTCCCCTTCTATGCTGTTGGAACTAAATATACAAAACCTGCAAATGGGAGCTAGCTAGCTAGATATGGATATGTATCTACGTATACAGAGAGAAACATCAACAGACATACATATAAATACAAATATATGTGATATAGTTTCAAGAGTACATGAAGTATCCCTGAAAGCTATATTAAAACTTTCAGTTAAGATAATCCAACATCAGTCTAAATATTATCTTATCAAAACCAGTGTACACATGAACAGGGTTTAACTTTTGTGAGAGAAAGTATTTTAAATGCTTAAATAGCTAAGCCTTTAAAAATGCTATGCTTATTTTCTTATTTATTTGGTTTTCTAAACTAATTAGGTTATTTCCAATGCAAAATTTCTTGCTTTTACAAAAACAGTAGATACTGGGAGAAATTTGAATCAGTTCAATGCCTGGCACCTTTTCTAAATATCCCCCATTATATCCAATACTTGGCAAAATTCATCCCTAACCCCAGCTTCTGACCTGAAAACCATGTGTGAGGATGCTTCTGATATTGATCATCCTGGCTTCTGCTCTGTCAAAGACCAACCCGGCCTTGGCACCAACCACCTTGTGAAAGAATACAGTTCTGTTCTGCAGATCCTCTTTAGTGAGGTCTGGAGGTTCTCAAACAAGAGTTTGAGACTTGGCAGCCCAATACATGGCTGCCTCTGTACTGCACCACAGCAGCCGAAATCTTAGCAGCTAGTCAAAAGCTAGTGAAAATGTCAAAGTTACAAAGCTCCTCTCAGGGCTCCAAAGAAGCAAGAGAGCTTTCAGCAGGATCATAACAGGTGCATCAAAGTAATGCCAAGGGGAGAAAAAGACTTCTTGGACCTAGCAACAAATAAAAATTATAAAAGTAAACATGCACACATAAACCCTGTTTTATATTTGTCAAAAAGGCCCCTTTCAATATTCAGCAAGTAACTGCAAGAGGATCAAAAGAGACCTGTATAAACTACAAGAGGTGACAAGTATAAGAATTGTTTCCAGCTTAAAGAAGATTGAAATGTCTCACTTTGGAATTTCAAGTCACAGAAATGTAGTACTTCTGTGACACTTTGGGTTTAAACTGCACAAAATGTATTTTTAACAGGCAAAATGTATGTGAGAGACAATGAATATAGACTTCATTTGGGCTCTGTGTTTCTTGACAGCATTCCAAAGATGTCAAGATATTTTTACCAATATACTCTTGCAAACTGGGTCAGAAGGTAGAAAAAGCGAGAGCTTTCTGAGTTTTCAAATGTTGTCTTCATTTCTGCTATTGAGGTTTATGTTACTACTACAGTCAAGTGATTGGTGATAAAGATTAACAGAAATCGAGAAAGCTACCCTCTTTCTCTGCTGGTGAATAGGATGAAAATGCTGAGAGAGGGAAGTAACTACAGAATAAAAACTCAATGCAGGAAACTGTGGAATACTGAAGAATATACCAAACAAAAATGAATATGTACTAGAAAAATGCTGGACTGGAATTAGAAGAGGACAAATTGGACATTATTGTAGATTCCACTACAAGATTTACATTTGGGAAGTTATTTAAGCTTTCTGAGTCCTTGTTTCCCCATTTGGAAACCATGAGCAATCATCTATCTTCTAACCACTTTACTAAAGCAGTTAGTATGCTAAACTGCTTCATAAATATTTTTCTAAAAAACCATATTTTAAGTTTTCCTGCTTTTTCATTTTCCTAGCAGTGTTCCTTTATTCCACACTTTCAAAGCAAAAAAAAAAAAAAAAGTATGTGTTTTAAAAAACAGGCAGGTAAATATAGAGAGGCACAACTTAATAGTTCTAAGGAATAGAACAAGAAGATTTAATCAACTTAAAAACAGAGACATTTTTATATTTACAATCTGGGCTTCTGCAAGTGTTAGTCTGAATCTGTGCTAGTTAATTTCATCTTAGGTAACGCATTCATAAATATTTTCTTCAATGAAAGTTTAGATCTTTCCAATTCAGCCTAAGGCAAAGCTTTCAGGTACTACCCACCACTTTATTCACAGTCCGTCTGGTATATTTTGTTTCACTAGACTCAGCAACTTGTTTCAGCGCATGGGTCTGACTCATTTACACTGCAGCTCCACGTTGTGGGCATGCTGAGAAAATGTTCTGAGTGTTGAAGTGTCGCTATGTGTATTTAGACCTTTGCTGTGATGTAGTAACATAATTCAGGAAAGAAGATGTTACCAATGTGTGACTGCTTTTAAGTTACAGATTCATACCAGAGACCAACATTTTGGAGCTTCTTCTTTGGATTATGATTATTTAACACAGTCCACAGTGTAGTGGATAGTTATAATGACTTTGTTTTGCCCATGGCAGCATTTTGTTCAAGGTCATTTGTACCAGAGAAATCAATGACCTATTGATGTAATTTCCACAAGAAGTGATCTCTCAAAAATACTCTAAAGTTGCTTTATGTTCATGCTATTAGGATAGTAGTGGTTATAAAATTAAATAAAGTGGATAGCAACTGAATGTTGTAATAACACACTTTACACCTGTTAAAAAACTACACCACCAATAGAGCTTCTAGCTTCTTCCATTGTCTCTAAAGAATTATTTCTGTTAAGGTGCTGTTAATAGATTGTTTATCATTACATAACATAATTGAGAAAAAATTCAAATGAATACAAACCTAAAACATCCGTTTAAGAATATATGATATGAAATTATCAAAATTAGAGAAACACCTCACAGATAAGCAACACTTAATCTGTCTTCTCTGTTAGAAAACTAGAATTAGTGTGCTTACTATTACTTTCATGGAAATTATAAAAATTAAAAAGCCTTCATATATCAGATGTCTTTAGGTCAAATTCTAATTGGTATTCAGAAACAAAATTATTTTAAGGGCCAAGACACTCAAAGATTCAAGTTTTAATTCTAGATTCAATTAGTACCCAGACTATTTTTTAATTGTAAAATAGGTCATTTTACCTTTAAGGAAGTTGTGATAGTTTTAAAGATTTTGAAATTTAATAAGGCAGACACAAGTTAGTGTTATGTCAATGTTTTCCATTCATTTTCTAAATAATGTTGAGAATGTGAGAACTTTTAGAACATGTAAAATATTTACTGGGTTCATTTTTTTTTCAGTTATACAAAATCTCTGGGATTCTAAATTAAAAGGAACAAAGAAATAAGAAAGGTGTTCCTCAAAACCCTATTAAGTGATAAAGTATTAGATATTAGGTTAAGATTTCCCTTCATTGGTATTATTTTCCCTTAATGTTTTACTGTAACATCTGGTGACATATGGAAAAGTTTATGTTGTACAACTAAAGTAATGATTTAAAATATGTATAACCTGTTATATGGACATAGCATAATTTGTTTAATCATCCAACTACTATTGGACCTTGAAGTCATCCTCCTTTTTTTATTATCCTGAGAGACACATCATAGTTATTTCAAGAGATTTTTACTCTATTTTAATTTATTATGTTCCTGTATTAAGCCAAGGTCTTTGAGAAATTAAATTATACCAGCTTTACTCTAGTAACTAAATTGATTAATTCAGCAAAAAGAGTTCTCTTATACAGACTATATAATTGAAGAGTTTGTAGAAAGAACACTGTCTTTGCATTCAGATTGGACTTTAAGTTTAACCATTCCCTGACACTATAACATTAGGTATCATGACTTAATATTCAAATATTGTGCCCTAATCTGCAAAATAAGAGATATAATAATATATCTTTGACTTGTAAGAAGCATTAAATAATATAACTTACATAATTATCTAATAAGAATTCTAGAACGTAATAAACAAGCCATCATAGTCATTTTCTATCCTACCAAAGGTAAGAAAAATGACATCGTAAGGCCTGGTCATCATATACAACACACTTGAAACTCCAGGTTTAGTGTTCTGGTATTACAGCAATTAATTCTCTGAAACCAAATTGTTTTCCTGTTTTCTGAATTCTCTCCAAATTTCTCTTAGTTTCAATGTTAGAAAAATATGATTTCCTCCCCTTGGAATAGAATCACTTAAGACAATTTTATACCACACCTATTAAATCTTGTTTTTTAATTGCACATAATTCCCTGAGAAAAATCTGAATCCCTGAATCTTAGATTTCACACCATAACCTTCCCTAAAGGCTCATTACCATATGTATCAAAAAAAGAATGAACTATTTCCTAATGTCCACTTCTTAACAGTATATTACAAAACGTCAATTTTCATTTTACCTTTTATGTCACATATTCATGAGAATTTTTCACATGTATATTTAAAATTTTGTAGAGTATATTCAGTATATGTTTCAACATGTCTTTGGGCCATATGCATTCTGTGCTAAAGTTTCTCTTTATAAAAAAAAAAACAAAGCAGGATGTGGGAGTTTTATGGGTTGGAAATGAAAATTCAATTAGTATATTCTACGAGAGATTAGAGAGGAAAATAAATTTTCCAGTTAATTCTGTAACACACAAAAGTAAGCCATATAGCTGAGAAATTCATCTGAGCTGACAGTTGATTATATATATAATTTTTCTCTAACAGAGCCACAACTAACGAGACAATTATAGTTTCACCAAGTCAAATGTCAGCCAGAGGACTTACAGTTTTGACACTTGGCAAGGCAAAGCAAAGAAAATGTGAAGGATCCTCACTTACTTGTTAGCCAAACTTAGTGTCAGAAAAAAACTATTCATCATTGGTTGTCAGTCACAGAGTAGTTCTCTGTCACTGGAAACTTCCGCAGACAGGATAATTACTATGATTAAATGGCAGTGAATTTAAAATATTTCAGTAGTGGTTAAAATAACTGTTGAATACTGATGGTATAATATCAAATCAAAGGTGCAAAACTGTCCACTAATTATCCGGAGTATAAAATATCTGATGCTGTGTAAGTATAATGCCAAAGCACATTCACAGGTGCAGAAATTGATGAGGGCTTAATCATGCTCTTTGGAAATATAGTAAAGAAGACAATCCTTTTTCTACCTTAAAAAAATAGATTTTAGACCATGTCCTTCAAGGTATACAGTTTGTATTGTTGACAATTAGCTCTAGCCGTCGCTTTCAATTTATTTATCTATATTTTCTGATTATTCCTCTAACACAAAGATACTGAGGGCTTTCTCTGTGTTAGGCAAGAGCTGCAAAGCTAAGTCCTGAAATACAGAGATGTGAAACAATGCTAGCACTGGCTCAGAAACAGTTTATTGCTTCATGAAATTTTTAGCTTAGCCCTATTCCCATAAACGTTTCTATGTGAGTGGTAGGGATTGGGGAGTACCTCACTCTCCTCCAGGGACAGACCATGTTCTAAGCAGTAGTTTGAAGATATCACTTTGGAGAATTTAGGTCTGGAGACTGTAGAAATCAGCAAGGTTTCAAAGAATCATTATTACATTGCAAATTCTCACGGGCAGGAGTAGATAAGAAGTAATATGTTGTATTTCCTCTTTTGTAGTATGAGTTAGTTGATCTAAATGTTCACTGTGTTTTCTGTATCTTTGAATTATGTGTAACAACCTAGATAGTAAAGAGCCATCAAGAGGCCATGAGATTTCAAATAAACAAGTAAGAACATACTCCAGGAAATTGTAAAAGAACTAATTAGAGTCCACGTGTTCAGTGTCAGTTTAAAGATGCAGAGAAATAGGTGCTCAGCAGATGGAATATGTTAGAACCCATAAAAATGACCAAGATGGGATGGTACAAAATCAGCAGAGCTATAATCAATAACCAATGAATTAGTACTCTCTTCTGTCTTTCCCATTGTATTTGGGTCTTTGTAGGTTATTCAATCATGTTTGAAGTGAGGAAAAACCATTATTCATTCTCAAGGCAAAAGAGTTACATATGCTTTTGGGAAGAAGGGGGATAAGGGAAGGTTTTTAAACTTTTACGATGGGCCATACTGCCTGTAGTATACAAATCATCTAAAATTCATTTTTTTTCCTAGAAAGACAGATCTTAAACAGGCTAGAAGTAATAGATAATGTGGTTCATCAGCGCTGTATACTCTTAAATTCAGATTTTCTGAATCCATCCGACATTAACCTAGTCCCACAAGATAACTGCAAAAATGTCTTGTTGCCAAATACATTCAACAGTGAACTATACAGTTGCCTCCAAGAAATTCACTGCACATTGGTCTGTTCATTGCTTTAAGAAATCTTGCAGTTAAAAACAAACAAAAAAATGTTCTTAGTATGTTTTAAAATATAGCATCTCCAAGATTATTTAAAACTTATTTTCCTTGTTGTTTCTCCGAATAGCTCTCAAAAGAACTGTTGGAAAATATTGCTTAACATGATTGATCTTCCATTTGACTGACCTGCATTTACACCCATGCCTATTTTGTGTAGGTGATCAATTCATTTGTCAAGAGTGCTTTTATAATTATGCATGAAAATGCACAACAGATTGTCATTCCTCAAAAATGCTACTATTATCACCTGTAATTAAGTCTACCAAATTTACACTAGAAAAAAAAAACACAGAGAGAACAATGGGTAGTTGTTAGATCATTTAGCAACCAGAGGTAAAAATTAGTAGCAGAAACAAAATTGTTGTTATTTCTCAAATTATTTTTCAAAGGACGTTGTTGCCTTATTAACTAATATTTGATTGGGGTCATTTACAACCATTAATCTAGAAAAGAAATTCTTTTACTGCAATGTGCCTCCTCTATGTACGTGTGTGAATGAGTGTCTGTCCATTTTCTTTATTTAAAGTTCCAAGTTACTTATTCATTCATTAGGTAATCTTTTCACATGGAACAAAATTTTTGTGGTAATTTATGATAATTGAAAAAAAAAGATTTGGCGTGATTATAAACCTATTTAGATATTTCTGCCTGCATCTATATCATATCAAAAAAAGTAAAATCTGTTGATTCTCACAACTTACTAGCCAAGTCTTAGATGCTGGTTGAAAATGAAGATACCTGGGTTAGTTCCCAAAAACTGTGATTAATTTGGTTGGGAGTAGGAGCTAGAAGTCTATTCTTAAGAAACTGTAGTGAATCTGATATTAGTTGGTGTGGGAAACAGGCTTAGAGAAATATCGATCTATTGCAAAAGGCGCACTTCTCTTTGGACACCTGAAAAAAACAGCATGCATTAAATGCATTAAAACTCTATTAAGGATACTTCCATAAAATGGTTCCAAAAATATATTGATATAGCATATAAGATTTTGATAATTTTCAGGGTAATGCTGATAATGTTTTTAAATAAATCAGTTCATTTGTTTTGGCTTTTCCTTCTCCCTGTTTCTTGCTAAATATTGTAGATCTGCCACCTTTTAAAAAATAGATGACACTTCCACTTCCCACTCCCACTAATATACTTACAGCTCGTCTTCAGTGAAAATTCTATTGAATGTTCTTGTGCTCCAACAGAAAGGAAAAACACAGTAGCACTTTATTACTTAATGTTGGAGAAGTTACTCACCTTGTCTGAAATTTATTTCCTGTCCTGTAAAATTGTGCTAATACAGTACAGTGTTATTTTAAGGATCAAATTTAAAAATGCATGTGAAAGGTCTTTCGAAAATAAAGAGGTGTTGTAAGAATGTGAGGCATCACCCCCCCGCCATGCATTCATTTGAATCATGCCATTTAAGAATTTTTTTATTGTGTTAAAGTAAAAAAGCTTTTAAAAATGAATTAAACCAAAGTAAAGTTGAATTAAATTAAAAATTAACACTATCAAAACCCTATTCTGCTATTCTATGAAAAAATAAATTCACTAAACAAAAAATATACTGCATTTGGCCAGGTGTGGTGGCTCATGACTGTAATCCTACCACTTTGGGAGGCCGAAGCGGGTGGATTGTCTGAGCTCAGGAGTTCGAGACCAGCCTGGGCAACATGGTGAAACCCAGTCTCTACTAAAACACAAAAAATTAGCCGGGCGTGGTGGCGGGCGCCTGTAGTCCCAGCCACTCGGGAAGCTGAGGCACAAGAATTGCTTGAATCCAGGAGGTGGAGGTTGCAGTGAGCTGAGATCACACCACTGCACTCCAGTCTGGGTGACAGAGACAAGACTTGGTCTCCAAAAAATTTAAAAAAAAAAAGTATTGCATTGTTGAAGGTTCACACAGAACAAAACATGCTGTTTAAATTTTTCCACTTATTTGTAAAAAGGAGAATCTTAGTCCACTGCTGAAGAAGAACATTTTCATGAATGTTTTGCTTGAGCTTGCAAAGCTAAACAAACCTCTGGTACTTTATATAAGAGAGATATTCTTAGAAGCCTCTGCCACCTAGTGTACAAAGGCCATCCTAGAAATCTGAATGACTTGGTTTAATTGCCTTATCTGCTACATCTTGTCTTCAGAGAATTATCTTTAAGTATATCTAGGTCAGATTTGAAGTTATAATTTGAGGTGGGAATAACACACACTGCATTTTCTAAAGAGCATCTGGCATGAGAATCAATACATTTCATTTTCATTTTAGCAGCACTTTAAAGTCCCATTTATAAATGTTTTAATAAGGCAGTAAGAGACTCCTGGGTGTGTTTTAGTCTTTCATTAATATATACCTCTTGTGTGTTGCAAGATACATGCTTACTGAATAAGCCTTTGACCATTCAAAGTCAAATTAATGATCCAATAAAGCAAAGCCCATGGTATCTTAATGGCAGCAAAATACACTCTTTAATTTAGAAGATAAAATATTATATTATATTTTCCTCTCCAACAACTCGTAAGTATATGCATAAAAGAAGTATCAAGGGATTCAAAGAAATAGCGAAGCTTCTTTAGCCATATTTTTACACACAACATGTCTCCCCACCTCTCATTTTTAGCTTTAGATTTAATTATTTCCAGCTCAGTTTTACAGAGGAGTGGAAGGTGGAACTTGAGGGTTGGCAGTGGAGGGGTTTGTAAAGCTATACTCTTTAAAAATGTGTTTAAAAGTAAAACGTCAACCACACCGCTTCCTCTTTCCGTCCTGTCATTGTTTTCAAGGCACCCACTCCCCTGCCCAGTTTGCTAAAGGCAGAGGGAGATGTGTGAAGGTTATGTTCTGCCGTGTGGTTCAGAGAAGCAAAATTTTCCCGCAGCTCTAAATCAGTTCACAATGAACTAGATCTCAGCAATGAGCTTTCGCTGTCTGCTCATTCTGCTACCTGACATTCGTGAGAGGAACCAGATGGCCCTCATGTCAATCTGGCCTGCCAGGTTTGGTACTGAGATTTCATCTCCTTCCCTTCAGCTGCCTGAGCCTGAGTGAAGTTCACATGCACACATCTCCAGTAAAATCTCACTGTAATGTGCAGGTCTTTCTTGCACTTTTGCCCTGCCAAACCTGCCTCTCTTAGGGACTCAAGACGGCATAATGCCTTGTTATTTTAATGTGCTCTGCAATGATTGAACTGTTCTCAGGAGATCATTTTTGCACATCAAAACCCATTAAAATTAGCAAGAATTGTCGGGAAATGAGCAAATAAAAAAGAATAATTCATCTCTCTCTCTCTCTGTTTTAAATTCGCCAAGCCTCCTTTTGATGGCTAAAAGCAACTGGTAGCAGAAAGCATGCATCAGTTTAAAAAAAAATTAGCTTTAAGCAAAAGATGTCAAGAAATTCTTCCAAATTATGTGTTATGATAGCAAGCTGGTGAGCACTGGGATAAAAACCCATGTCATAATTGTAGAGGATGTGCTAAGACGTCGGGGGAGCAAAATCCATGAGTGAGTACAGATGATACCTATAGCAGTACTACTGCATCTTTCTGGGGAAAACATGCAGCAAACATCCTGATCAGAGACTAACAGGCCCTCACAAGAGTGACCTTTTTTTAAAATTGAGAATAATTTTTATTGTTAAGAAAGCATAACCAGCAATAAAAGTACTATTTTTGGTTCTAAATGATAGAAAACCAAATATATTTTGTTCATGGTACAAGGAAGCCTAAGGTCAAGTTGATTACAGAAGCAACTAGTTCCAGATATTCAATAAGATCTTCATCTCTCTTCTGTTTCTGTTGTATTTCTATCTGGGCATCTGTCTCCTTTTCTCCGTGTATCTTTGCCCCTGTATAGTTCTTTCTGCATATCTCTCTGCATTTTCTGTCTCTGTCCCCCTGTTGTGTCTCTTTCACTGCAGTGCCTTTCTATTTTTCTAATTTATTGTCACTATTTATCTGCATTTTTCTATCTCTGTGTTTCTTTATGCATATCTCTATTTTTCTGCATTTCTCTTCCTTATCACCTCATATCTTTTCTCATCTCTCTCCCTCTGTGTGTGTGTGTGTATGTGTTTGTGTGTGTGTGTCTGTCTCTGTTACATATGTTTCTAGAATGTCTACCAGAGACAATTTAACAATTTTAGGAAATTTAATTTAACAATTAATTTAAAACTTAATTTAACAATCTAACAATTATTAAACTTAATTTAACAATCTTAGGAAAGATTCTGATTGGCCAAGCCTGGGTAACATGCACACCTTTTAAACACACCATCCTGTGTATGGAACACTGACAGCCAGCATTGTGGAGAGTAACTTTTTCTAAATAGTGAAATTTATGGTAAGAAATAACATTTATATCACAAACCAATACATACACACATACATACATATGACCAGGTACAGACATGTGTATGTCTGTATGTGTATAAAATCAAATGGAAAATTTCACAAAAATAATACTTAACTATGAGTGATATATTCCTCTTTTTGTATTAAAATATAAACATTCTCTCTAAAATGAGATGTAAATTGATTTCATCACCCTCTAATGGGCTACAACTTCACAGTCTGAAAATCACTTTTTAAACTATCTTCATTTTAGAAATTTTATGAACAGTGTGAATCATTTAATTAACATCTCAATGCTTATAGTACTAAAATGATTTCTCACCAATAATATAAAATGATGTAATCATTTAGTTAATGACAAGTTTTGGTTTCCATCATAATTACTAAAAGTTAAGCAACCCATCATCAAATAGTTTGAGTTCTGGGTACTTGCAAGATATTATTTTGACTATTTTTAAAACATCTGCTTGGTAAGAAGGAAGCAAAAGCACCATCATCTATTGCTTTTCTACTATATTCTTTACTCTTACTTTTGTGTTAATTAGTCCCTTTAATCTTTGTAAAAATCCAGTCAGAGAAAAGTATTAGTATAAATATTATTATCTTCTTTTTATGAATGAGGATTCTGAGAACCAATGACGCTCAGGTAACTTATTTAAAACATTCATTTCTCAAGTAGAAGAGACAGAATGAGTCCATGCCTTTTGATTGCAACTCCAAGGTTCTTTCTTTAATATTATGCTAATACTCAGTACTACATGCTATGTCTTTTGATAACTTAAATATTGCTCTATAAGATCTGACATGTAAATACACGAATAAATATTTCCATGATTGAATGCTTACATGTTTAGTACATAGGGACATCTGCTTTAACCATGCCTATGTAAAATGCAACAAAGAAGATAATCTTGTTTAGAAATGTGGTATGATGAGGGGCCCAGCCACAGAGAGCTGTCACCTCCCTGTGGCACTGTGGTATGCTGGGACTTGGAATGTGGACATTGGGGTGAAACTACTTGAATTCAAATCCTGGTGCAACTAACTATTTGGTATGTGACTTTGCCCACATCCACTTAGCGATAGCGAACAGTGATAACAATAATAGTCCCTGCCACAAAATGTTACCACAATGCCGACTATATAGGAAGCATTCAATAAATGTTGGTTACTAGAAATATTTCCACCATCAAGATGTAGCTATGTAGCTTTTAAAAATTGTGACATGAAGATATATAGCAATTAACCACTTATGTTTCTATTGTTGGTGAACCATCAATTTGATTTTGTCATCAGCTACATGGTCTAATCCATAATTTCAAAGATATATTTCTTTGACACAGCCAGAAAATTTTTTCAGAAGGGAACAACATGTATAAGAAACACAAGGAAGAATTGTGCCAAGAAAAATTATGAATGCTGTAGAAAATTTGATCTTATTCAGGCCAAAAAACAATTGTAAATTCTGAAATATGTTCACCACATCAGATGGCTGAGGTTTCAAAAAACAAAATTAAACAGACCAAACATTCTAATTTCTGAAGGAAATAGACACACACACACAAAGTATGGATGTCACAGGGAGCTACTCCTGCTCAACATCTGGTTTGGATTTAGATAAAACAAACCATAAAGACAGTGGTGATGAGATTAAACAAATGCTTTCTTACTGTTAATGGCCTTGATATTTGATATGTGATGACTAGACTATGAAAATCTTCCCACATTATCTCTATTTAAGAGAATTTCAAAGCTAATAGAAAAGGGCAGAAAAATTGACATCTAGACTGAAACTTAACAAGTATGTAGATTGTCTAAGCCTTGAAAAATAAATATATAAAAATATAAAAAGTTAATGTGATTTTAAAATATTAAAAGAAACAAAATTTAGCATTATAGTTAGGAGCTCAAGACACACCAGCCATTTATCTTATAAAGACACTGGAGACAGATGAGAGAACAACTTTGAAATGTGTAAAGTATATTTACTACATATAAAGTTGAAAAAGTTGGCTCTAGACTTACATGTCTAAATATTTGCCAACTGTATCCAAACCTTTAGAAATAAACATTATTAAAACCTTTTTAAATACATGAAGGAGAAAAATTGCACAATCTGCTTTTAAAATGAATCCCACATCTAAAAGTTCTTTTAAAAAATCTCTATTAACAAAAGAGATTAAGCATATTATGTACTCTGCACAAAAATAGCCACTCTAATGATTAAAGGATCGAAAACATAAACAGTGAAGATATTATAAGAGGAAATTGGATTGCTGTGTGTTAATAAAGAAGGGTAATAGGAGATGATTTATAGGATTCCTACAGATTCCTTTCTCTGGGTCTTAGTAGAGTGTATCATGAATTTGAGTGGCATGTGTTTACTATTTTAGACTTCTGACCTTTCAGAAGTTGTCAACCTTTATGGTAGCAATAGTGGTGCATGTTTCTTTATGTGGAAATACACAATAGGAAAACTAGATGAGAGAGACATTTAAACAGCTATTTAAATGAACTAATCTCATATCTCATTAATCCAAAGCAAATATGTTTCACTTTCTGGTACATAAATTTACAAATATTGTATCTTTATTTTTCTACATATAATGTCAAGGTACAAGTGTCTGAGTAAATTTCTCATTGAACTATTTTTCATCAGTGTAAAAATAATCAGATTACTAATGCTGTCTGCAAGAAAATCATAAATCAGAGCTTAAAATGTCAATTTCCTTGAATTTCAAAGCTATGACTTTGTTATTTAATAAATTATGTTTAGAAAATTGTGAAAGGTTCTTAATTATTTAGATGTAAAAGAAATAAAAAACTAGGGTTGATGCTTTCATTTTAATACTAATGAAAAACATGAGTGAGGAAGTTGTGTTTTCAATATTAACATTCCCATCGTTCCTTGAACCATTAAAAACAAATTATTAAATATTAATAAAAGTTGTCAACCTTTATGGTAGCAATAGTGTTCATTTTTGTGTTTGGTATTCAGTAGAACACTGTCTGAAATAGAAAAGAATTGAGTTTGTTCTCAAACTGCAATCATGTTATCTAGAACCTACTGCAAACAACCTATTATCTTTAATAAATGTATTCAACAAATACTGTTGGAGGAGCTATAATGTTCAAAACACTTAACTACATCTTATGCTGTACATAGGTTGAATATAGAAGGTATCACAATTAGTATAGATTCTATGAAATGTCCAGGTCTTAATTATTACAGATCCTGCTATAAAACATTTTATAGTCTAGGGGTAAAGAGACATGAACAAAAAAATCACATGCATTGAGAGGTAAATAAATTTTGAAATTTTCTATTTAAAAAAGAACTCAAATTGTATTTTAGAATCAGGGAATACGTGTACAAGTTTGTTACATGGGTATATTGTGTAATGCTGAGGTTTGAGGTATGATTGGATCCCATTGCCCAAGTAGTGAGCATAGTACCCAACAGTTAGTTTTCAACCCTTGCCCCCCTTCCTCCCTTCTCCTTCTAGTAATCCCTAGTATCTATTGTTTCCATCTTTACGTCCATGTGTATCCAATGTTTAGCTCCCACTTATAAGTGAGAATATGCAATATTTGGTTTTCTGTTCTTGCCTTAATTTGTTTAGGATAATGTCTTCCAGCTGCAACCATGTTGCTGCAAAGGACATGATGTCATTCTTCCTTATGGCTGTATAGTATTCCATGGTGCATATATGCCATATTTTCTTTATCCAGTCCACTGTTGATGAACACCCAGGTTGTTTCCATGTCTTTGCTATTGTGAATAGTATGGTGATGAACATATGAGTGTATGTGACACTGCTTAGAAGACATTCGTTTGGCCAATAAACATATGAAAAAAAGTTCATCACTGATAGTTAGAGAAATGCAAAACAAAACCACAATGAGATACCATCTAATGCCAGTCAGAATGGCGATTACTAAAAAATCCAGAAACAACAGATGCTGGAGAGGTTGCAGAGAAAAAGGAACATTTTCACACTGTTGGTGGGAGTGTAAATTAGTTCAACCATTATGGAAGACAGTGTGGCAATTTCTAAAAGATCTAGAGGCAGAAATACCATTTGACCCAGCAATTTGGGTCAAATGGTACCTCTTTGGGTATATAATCATTGCTGGGTATATACCTAAAGGAATATAAATCATTCTATTATAAAAATACATGCACATGTATGTTCACTGTAGCACTATTCATAATTGCAAAGACATGGAATCAACATAAATGGCCATCAATGATAGACTAGATAAAGACAATGTGGTACATATACACCATGGAATACTATGCAGCCATAAAAAGAAACTAGATCATGTCCTTTGCAGGGACATGGATGGAGCCAGAAGCTGTTATCCTCAGCAAACTAAATGGGGAACACAAAACCAAGCACCAAATGTTCTCACTTACAAGAAGGAGCTGAATGATGAGAACACATAGACACATGGTGGGGAACAACATACATTGGGGCCTGTTGGAGAGAGGCAGCGGAAGGGAGAGCATCAAGAAGAAGAGCTAATGGATGTTGGGCTTAATACCTAGATGATGGGTTGGTCTGTGCTGCAAACCACCACGGCACACCTATGTAACAAACCTGCACTTCCTGCACGTGTACCCCAGAACTTAAATTAAAAGTTGAAGAAAAATAATGTGGAAATTTTTAAATGAAATGCATGTGTAAAGTAAAATGTTAAGATGCTAAAACAACATCTTCTTTCCTGTCCTGAGCAAATTTGTTCATCATACTCTTCAGATTATCCTACACTTTTGGAACCACTCCTTCCACACAAATCCTACATCGGTTACTTAGAAAAGCAAGATAATCTCCCTAAACTGCACCTTCCTATTTACTCGGCACCCAACAATGTGCACTTATTTATCCTTTTCCTTGAGCCCTAATATAAATATTTATAAAAGCTGTAGCTGTGTGTCAACCACGCTGTCAATCTGATGAATCTCACGGGTGCTCTTTTGATGTCAACATAACCAAATAACAAGACCACAGGGCCAGCGAACGTATCACAAGCATCTCAGCTGTCAGCATGACGCCTGCTCTGCCTCACCATCACAGTTTTCCTTGTGTTTCGGGATGCTCACCTAGCAGAAAAAGCACTCCGTCTACGTCAACTGTGGCTGAAACTCATTCAAACTGCTGACTCTGATCATAGAGGCAGATGTAGAGCTCTTAATTTCATCTTTCAAGAATCTGCTTGCTAATATCTAAATTAGATGTTAAATATGTTAAGTATCTTTTTACTAAATATCCTGGCCAAATCAATGTTATCTGCCTTAGTTAAGAAATTCCTAAAGATCAGGAATTTGTCAAAATAACCTTAGATGATTCATTTGGAAAATAAAAATTTAGAATTTTAATTTCATTTGTTTATTAATATAGACTATGAGGGAGGGAGGTATGTTCTCTATATTAATTTTTTTATTTTTTTCTTTGAACTGCTAAAAATAAGTTTTTCAACATCAACAAAAATGCCAATACTTTTTGTAACAACAATGTCTGTAAACTTTAACACAGCATTTGCCACAACACTATAATTAAACTAGTACTCTCTAAATGATATAATATTAAAATGGAAGTACACAGGAAGGGGAGGTAATCTAAAAATGAGGATTCTGGAGGTCAGTAATATTTCTATACCTAAGCTGACTTTGGGGAGGGAAAGATTAGTATGAAGTTTTTCTTTAGGCAAATATCAAAATGACTTTTTTAAAAGTGAGATAATTTATGTGACTCTGTGGCATAAAATATTTTATAAAGGTAAGAAATTATGGTTATTGTTAAATAGTACAGCTCAACATATTAGATAAAGTTGAGTAATACTATAATATATGAGATGAAATTGAAACTTTCCAAGCGCAGGTAACAAATACAAAGGAAAAATACTAATTTTAAAACTAGATACACCCTTGCCAAAGAAATTAAGCCTTCTTATCCTTGGAAGAAGACAAAATATCAAGTCAAACTCTACCATTCAAATAAAGCAGAAAAAAGGATAAAACTTAAAGCAAACCAATAAATATTGAATAAAAGCCAAAAGAAACAAAAGAAGCTCTGGTTTAATTTAGTCAAAGGAAGACATTTACTTCCTCTTCCTCTCATACTTTATTATTATGGAAGTAAAGAAATAATTATGTTTTAAACTCACAAACACAGAAATAAGGAATGCACTAACAGCAAAGAGAAAATTGTAACAGGTTTCATAAAGACAGCATGCGGAACAGTGGTGCCCAGTCAAGCAGGTAGAGAAAGCCCAGAATGCTCATGGAATGGGTTGCAGCCAAGGAGGGGTGAGTGTTCAACACGCAGGATGCAGGGGCAGGGGAGGGAAGGGCAGGGTTAGCACCTCATTCACCAAGTATACTTGCAAGCTATGACCCATAGTAGGCAAGCCAGAAAATAAAGGTGTAAGTAAGCATTTTATTGAAAGCAACTGAAACAAATCAGATACCCTAGAAGAAGTCAACATATTATAATCAAACATGCAAAGGTAAGAAGGGGATCTAAGAAGGCAAGTGTTTTTCTTTGCATCCATCCAAAAGCAATCAACAAATCATGGCTAAAATAGATATACCAAGAAATAGCAATAAAAACATCTATTTAATAATATGAAGATTTAACAAAATGATCCCGAAACAGAAAGCTACAGTTTGTTGCCTATTGGGTTAGGATAAGGTAAGTCAAGGGAATTGTTGCTTTCCATGACAAGCCCTTTCATGCTATTTCATTTTTTGAAGTGCATGGCTTATATGAAATTAATAAAAATACAAAATAAAAATTATGGACCCATATACACTTTTTTAAAGAAATAAAATTTGTTCCCTAAATTTCAAGATGTATCAACAGTTAATGCCTGAGCCAAACTTCCATTCAATAAGTATTCATTGTTTTGTGATAATAAAAACACTATATATAGAATAAGCATCCATACAGTGGCAGAACTATTATAAATTTATTCTTATTTTAATTTAATCTTAGCAGACATCTGTGGTTCATCCATAAAGACAGTGACTTTTGATCTTGTCAAGTTTCTTCAGTAAATAAAATTAACTCTCCTTCTTTCCTTCCCTGCTAGGCTGAGATGTGATCATAGAGAAGAGAAATATACTTTGAATAAGCCATCAATAAATGATACTATTTCACTCATAGCCAAAATACATGGGTCTAGGAATAAAAGGGTGAGAGTCAGAGTGGTCACTCTATTATAATTAATGCCCCATCAGCAGAATTGTGCATTGTAATCCCATAATCAGGGGCTCTGCTGGTTTAGTTGTTAATCCCTATGGGAGAAATGCTACCACCAGAAGACACAGAGCTTTTAATTAATTGCAAGTTGAGACTATCATTTTGCTATTTTGTCTTCCTCCTATGTTACTAAACCAATAGTCATAGTTAACATGTGTTACTATACTAGATGGGTTGGTTGATCCTGTTTATCAAGAAATAACTGAGTTGCTGCTACACAGTGAAGTCAGGAAAGACTATTTCTGTAACCAGGAGTTTCACAGGAATACCTCTGATTACATCCATGTTCAAAAGTAAAAGGTAACGAAAGACTAAAACAATTCAATAAAGCCAGGAACCCTGAAAAATCTTCAAGAATAAAAGTTGAGTTATCCAACCAAGCAAAAATTCTTACTCTCTGAGACACTGAAAGCGTGAAATTGGTTATGAAAGAAGAAAGTGATAGTTATCAACATGACCTTTAACCAATTATAAAAACCAAGGCACTATTAAAAACAAGCCTCGTATTAGAGTTATGAATATACATACATATTTTAACCAATTATTTGTTTTTCCCTTTGACATTCTTCTATTTTATATCACTCTATTTTAAGATTTAGTTTATAAGTCACTAGTCCTGAGTAACCACATTCAGATCTGCTAAACCATCTAGAGAGAGAGACGCTGAACTTTGAGATGCATGTGGTGACTGATAGGGTGCTGGACCTCTCCTGTTTTGTAGTGGAAGAAAGAGAGTATTTTCAATTGTACAATTGACAGTTGCCTCATACAATTGTTGATGTAATCAAACATCAACATGCAATTGTTGATGTAATCAAACATCAACATGCAATTGTTGATGTAATCAAACATCAACATGCAATTGTTGATGTAATCAAACATCAACATGCAATTGTTGATGTAATCAAACATCAACATGCAATTGTTGATGTAATCAAACATCAACATGCAATTATTGATGTAAAGCAATTAAATATGAACAGAAATATGAGAATGGAAGCTTAGTTACAATATGGTTGGGTCACACTAGTCCTTTACTGCCCTGATCTCAGATCTAATACTTGCATTTCCACTCTGCAAGTAACATTTCCTAGGCTTCCTTACAAGCTGGCTTCTAGGTAGGTGTAGCCAGTGAGAGACTCTGAGAGGATTTTGGAGTGCTACAGCATGTGAGAAGCTATCATGTATATAAAGGTATATAGTTCTATTTTTCTCATTTTCTAGGGGGCATCTAGGTAGTGGCTGCTTTCTCCATGGTTCCAGTTCCTATAGCATTGGCTCTATCTTGGCATTCCTTCCTGATTTCCACCTGGCAGCACACAATATGAGCCCAGGTTCCTCAGAAGGGCCCTTGGCTCTGCTATTGCTATCTCTTCTCTTTGTTCTGCCAGTTCTAGTGTTAGAGAGAAATGAAAGTATTAGGAATATAGAGATCCTCGTCTCTGCGAACCACTTTTGTTCTGGGTCTCACGGCTTTTAATTTTAAAATCAGCCAACAAGTGAGTACCTTGTGTTTGACACTGTGAGGATAGAAAACAATAATCCAGTCTCTGTAAAGTCTGGCTAAAAGAATGTCACTTCTTTCTAAAATTTATCAAAGACACTTTCATTTACATAAAGTTTTCTGAGGTCATGTAAGCACCAAAAAATGAGGAGAAACACGGGTATGGAGGATATCAGCATTTCAGACAAAGTTAGCTCAGATTATGTTGTTAGCACAGCCATTCATCACAGGAAATGTGTAAAAAAGAAATGAATAGCTACTTAGAATACATTAACATATATTTGTATTTCAAGAATCCAAAAACTAGCTTGCTACCACAAAGAGGCTATTCTACTACATTTACAATATACATTAAATATTTAGGTTGAGGAGAAGTAATTACAAGTTCTCAGTTTATCAGACTGTATTAGATGCTTTTCATTTGATTATGAAAGAAATAATAAATGTTCTGAACATATCTTAGAAAATTTAAAGTCCTGATTTACACCATAGAAATCATTACTAACATTATACCACTAACATAAGCTAGAATATAGCTCATGAGGGTAGGAGCATTGTTTGTTTTGTTCAAAGCCGTATCTTCAGCAACTAGAAGAAGGTGTAGCATGTAGTAGAAACATAAACATGCCTGCATGAATAAATGTCTGAATGCAAGAGCTAATGATAAGTAAATGAATGAAAAATGTGAATATGCAAGAAAAGCATCACTAACTTATATCTAAAACACTATTCTGAGACAAAGTTTTAAGAGTTTATGCTTTGGGCAAATGACCTGAATAGCCATTTCTCAAGAGAAGACATTCAAATAGCCAACAGGCATATAAAGAAATCTTCAACATAACTAATAATCTGAGAAATCAAAGTTAAACCACAATGAAATATCACCCCACACCTGTTAAAATGGCTGCTATAAAAAAATATAAAAGATGAATGTTGGCTGTCATAAAGGATGTGGAGAAAGGAAAGCATTGTGGATTGCTAGTGGGAATGTAAATTAGTATGGTCATTATGTAAAACTGTATGGAAGTTCCTCAAAAAATCAAATATAGAACTACCATATGACCCAGCAATCTCACTCCCGGTATATATCCCAAAAATATGAAATTGGTATGTCAAGGAGATATCTACACTCTTATGTTCTTTGCAGCACTGTTTATAATAGCCAAGATATGGAATCAACACAAATATCCAGTAATGGATACATGAATAAAGGCAAATGTTATATATATACACAATGGAATACTACTTAGCCTTTAAAAAGAAGGAAATCCTGTCATTTGCAACAACATGAATGAACCCAGAGGACATTATGTTAAGTGAAATAAGCCAGGCACAATAACACAAACACTGCATAATCCATGTGGAGTGTGAAAAAGACAGCCTCATAGAAACAAGGAGTAAATTGGTAGTTACCAGAAGCTAGAGGTTGAGGATTGAAGAAATATTTGGTCAGAGGACACAAAATTTCAGTTAGATAAGAAGAATAAGTTCAAGATATCTATTGTAATCATGATGACTATAGTTAATAACAATATCTGGCCAGGCGCAGAGGTGGCTCATGGCTGTAATCCCAGCACTTTGGGAGGCCAAGACGGATGGATTACTTGATGTCAGGAGTTCAAGACCAGCCTGGCCAACATGGTGAAACCCCGTCTCTACTAAAAATACAAAAATTAGCCAGGTGTGGTGGCATGCACCTGTAGTACCAGCTACTCGGGAAGCTGAGGCAGGAGAATCGCTTAACCTGGAAAGTGGAGGTTGCAATGAGCCCAGATCGCACCACCACACTCCATCATTGGGGACTGAGTGAAACTCCGTCATAAAAAATAAAATAAAATAAAATCACAATATCTTGTATGCTTGACAATTGCTAACAGAGTAAACTTTAAGTGTTCTTACTATGAAAAAAATAAGTATTTTAGGTAATGTATATTTTAAATATCTTTAAATATCAAAACATCATGATGTGCATCATAAATTTATACAATATTTACTTCTCAGTTAAAAAAGATGAGTAAATAAATCATTTTAAATGTCCATCACAGGAAACACCTTTAGAGTAACTCTGTGGTTTTGCTTTATTCACAGAGCTTTTTGTTAGAACTGTGGAAAGGAATTACAACATAGAGTGCTAGAAGCACAAGTGGCCTAATAATAATTTTTATTTTTACTGTAAGTACTGGCATATCTGACACATCTGTCCTATTGTTGAGTATGACACCTTAGGAATAAATGTGACTGGAAGTCATTCATTTTGAGGTGACTCTTAAGAGTCTTAGGGTCCTGAAATCAAGAACCAGGCAGATCTATCTACTCTGACACTAAAAAACAGATCCTAAAATAAATTTCAAGAAAAAAAATTAGATACCAAAGATTTCTAGTTGGGGAACTTTTGAGGTTGTCATCAATATGTCCATATTCAAATGGAGATCAATGAAGACCAAATAAAAGAATTGTGGGCTACCTTGAAGATAAATCATGACTCAAGCTTTTGAGGAACTAAGGTGACCTTCACAGTCAGTGGAAAGAATCACAATATGTAAAGTTCTTTCGATAAAAGTATACTGACTTTGGGCTGGGCACAGTGGCTGACGCCTGTAATCCCAACACTTTGGGAGGCTGAGGTGGGCGGATCACCTGAGTTCGAGACCAGCCTGGCCAACATGGCGAAACCCCATCTCTGCTAAAAAAAATAAAAATAAAAATTAGCCGGGCGTGGTGGTGCCTGGCTGAGGCACGAGAATCGCTTGAACCTGGGAGGTGGGGATTGCAGTGACCCGAGATTGCGCCACTGTATTCCAGCCTGGGCAACAAGGTAAGACTCTGTCTCAAAACAAACAAACAAACAAACAACAACAACAACAATATATACATATATATGTGTATACATATACGTATATATATGTGTGTATATATATACGTATATATGTGTGTATATATATACGTATATATGTGTGTATATATGTGTATATGTGTATATGTGTATATATATGTGTTTGTGTATACACACATGTATACACATATACACATATATACATATACATATATGTATATGTGTGTGTGTGTATGTATGTGTGTGTGTATATATATATATATATATATATGCTGATTGAATAACCTTGTCTAATATTACTGCTATGGTTTGAATATGGTTTGTCCTCACCACAACTCACATTGAGGCTTGGCCCCCAATGTGGCAAATGTTGGGAGGTGGTGCCTTTAAGAAGTGATTAAGTCTTTAAGAGGAATTAATACCTTTTTCTGGAGACTGGTTTAATTTAGCAGGAATAGATTAGTTCCCCAAAAATAGGTTGTTATAAAGTGAGTTTGCGTCTTGTGTGTTTTGCCCTTTTGTGAAAGCGCCTAGCTCCCCTTCTATTACTCCGCTGTGTTTCCTTTGACTCAGCATGAGGCCCTTACTAGAAGCTACCAGATGCAGCTGCCCAAGCTTAAACTTCCCAGCCTATGGTAGGAACTCACTATCCTATCTCACTATAGGATAGTGAGCCAAATACACCTCTTTTGTTTATAAATTACCCAGTCTCAAGTATTCTGTTATAGCAACACAAATGAACTAAAACAGGTACACATAATTTTTATTAAAAATTGAAAGCCCTTTACATTGTTTGTATAGTGGAAAGTCAGCATGTATTTTTACCTCAATGTTTTGCTAGTGTTTTCTGTATTTCTTAGGGAATAAAGCTAAGTTTAGCAGGGGGGAAAAAAAGATTTTATTCCTTTCCAAAATTCTCACAATAGAAAAAATTAATGCTAAATAACTGTGTGTTTTTAGTTCCAATTATCTGGAAAAATTGTTTTCATTTTCTGCCTCACCTTGATACATTATAAATACTATTTAAGATCAGACCTATTGAGCAGCCAGACCAATATTATTTTTTATGATGTTATCAAAGGGCTTTTTGAGTAAATGTACAGTTCTAATTTGATAAATTGGAAAGCATTAAATTGCTCTTAAACATATTAACTTTTCTTATTAACCTTTATAAATTAATTATCCATAAATTTCCTTAAAAGTAAGATTTCTCTTTTTTTTTAATTTCTTTTTTCTTTTTGAGACAGACTCTAGCTCTGTCACCCAGGTTGGAGTGCAGTGGCGCGATCTCGGCTCACTGCAACCTCCACCTCCCAGGTTTAAGCAATTCTCCTGCCTCAGCCTCTGGAGTAGCTGGGACTACAGGCCCTACCACCATGCCCGGCTAATTTTTGTACTTTTAGTAGATACAGGGTTTTGCCATGTTGGCCGGGCTGGTCACCAACTCCTGACCTCAGGTGAGCCAGCTGCCTCGGCCTCCCAAAGTGCTGGAATTACAGACCTGAGCCACCATGCCTGGCCTAAAAGTAAGATTTCAATATGTGCTGTATCATAGAATAAAAGCTATTAATATTTAAAAGTTAACAACACACTGTGTAACACAAAGTTTCCTTTTATTGCCCCCAAATGCATTGTTTTGAATATTTAAGTGTTACCACTGGTGCAATATTCTGAAACCTAATAAACAAGGCCCAGCCACTTCTACCTACACACTTCACAATTTCTTGATCTTCAATAACATTTTCTCAGAAATTTTCCTCTCTTAGTTATGACAAATTTTAAAAATCCAGAAAGACCTCAAAAATGATATCTTTTGAATAATAGTGTATGTATATCACTGTTTTTAGCAAGTAGCAAAATAATGTAAAGTAAAGTTATAGGATAATTCTGGATTCCCCATCAAGGATTATGCAGCAAAACAGTTACCAAAATGGGAGATGAATTGATCCAAATTAGCTACATTGAAAAACTATTTTTTTCTGTTTATTTTTTTCCCAATGCAAAAAAAAATGCATTGCTACAGTTTGAATGTTTATGTCTCCCCAATATTCATTTGTTGAAGCCCTAATCCCCAAACTGATGGACTTAAAGGAGGACTTAGGGAAGTAATTAGGGTTAGATTAGGTCATGAGAGTGTGTCCCTCGTGATGGGATTAATGTCCTTATAAAAAGAGGAAGAAATTAGACATCAATCTGTCGTGCCCATGTTAGGATACGGCAAGAAGGCAGCCTTCTGCAAACCAGGAAGAAGGCCCTCACTACAGACTAAACATGTCAGCACCCTGTTCTTGGACTGCCCTGCTTCCAAAACTGTGAGAAATAAACATTTGTTGTTTTAAGTCACCCAGTCAATGATACTTTGTTATAGCAGGCCAAGTAGTCTAAGGCATGCATTTTTATTGGAAAGAATTGAAACGTACAAATACAGATTAGAAATTATAGCTTTAAAAAAAAGCTCTCACCCTCAGGAGATAAAAATGGTTAAAATTAGCTGGTAAATTCTTCAGTGTTCCTTTTATGCATAAATATATGCATGCTTATTATATAAAGAGGATCATATTATACATGTGATTTTAAATGTAAGTACTGTCATTTAATTTACATTTAATTTATCATTACAAAATGATAGAATGTTAATAACATTTCTCTGTCACTTATTTAAGCCCTCTTCTGTTATTGAAAAATTACATCTCTGTTTTCCAAAATTCTACATAAATATACATGTTTATAAATATTTATTCACAGTTGATTTTTCCCCTTACAATTTCTTGAAACAGAATTGCTGGATGAGATGATGCCAATATGTGTAAGCCATTTGATACATAGGCAAAACTGTCTTACAAAAATGTCTTGCCTCTTTACATCCCAATCAGCAGTGTTGGAGAACTTATTTCTCCCCCTACTTTCTTTAGCGCTGAGTATATTATTTAAATGTTGACATCAAAATCAAGTGGCATTTATCCTAGGAATGCAAAGTTGGTTCATTCATAAACCAATCAATGTAATTCATCATATTAACAAATTTTAAAAACATATGATCACCTCAGATACAGAGAAAGCATTTGAAAAAATCCCAAATCTATTCATAATAAAAACTCTAAGCAGACTAAGAATCTCATAAAAGGCTCATATGAGACCACATATATGACATTGCAGCTAGAGATTAAAAACTAAATGATTTCCCCTTAAAATCAAAAGTCAGACAAAAATGTCAACTCTAAACACTTCTATTCAACATTTAGTTGATGTTCTAAATAGTTCAAAATAACAAGAAAAATTAATAAATGCTATTCAGAGTAGACAGCAAATGCAAAACTGTATTTACAGACAATATGATTGTCTACATAGAAAATCCTATAGAATCTAAAAAGGAGACATTAAAACTAATTAGAAACTTTAGCAATTTTGTAGGATCAACATAAACACATTAGTCATATTTCTATACACTACTAATGAACATTGGAAATTGAAATAAAAGTAATTGTACCATTTGCAATAGCCTCAAAAAAAAAAAAAGAGAAACACTTATGGATAAATGTAACAAAAGATGTGCCAGACCTGAGGACTGAAAACTTCAAAACATTGCTAAGAAAGAATGATGAAAACCCTAGTAAATGGAGAAGCATTTATAGATTGAAAGACCCAATATTGGCCGGGCACGGTGGCTCACGCCTGTAATCCCAGCACTTTGGGAGGCCGAGGTGGGCAGATCGCGAGGTCAGGAGATCGAGACCATCCTGCCTAACACGGCAAAACCCTGTCTCTACTAAAAATACGAAAAATTAGCCGGGCGTGGCGGCGGGTGCCTGTAGTCCCAGCTACTCGGGAGGCTGAGGCAGGAGAATGGCGCGAACCCGGGAGGCAGAGTTTGCAGTGAGCCGAGATCGCGCCACTGCACTCCAGCCTGGGTGACAGAGCGAGACTCCGTCTCAAAAAAAAGAAAAAATAAAACAAAAGACCCAACATTATTAAGAGATCAATTCTCCCCCAAGCAATGAAATAATCAAATGTAAAAGCAAATGAACTTCAATCCTTAATTCGCATTGTATATAACACATAATTTGAAAGGGATTTTTGACATAAATATTATAGTTTAAAGAAGAAAAATTTCCAGAATAAGATATAGGAGAAATAACCAACATGGAGAAACTCTGTCTCTACTAAAAATATAAAATTAGCTGGGCGTGGTGGCACATGCCTGTAATCCCAGCTACTCAGGAAGGCTGAGGCAGAAGAATCGCTTGAACCCGGGAGGCAGAGATTGCGGTGAGCCGAGATCGCGCCACTGCACTTCAGCCTGGGCAACAAGAGCGAAACTCGGTCTCAAAAAAAAGATTTAAAAAAAAAAAGGTATAGGAGAAATATTTATGATCATTGGTATGGTAAAAATTCTTAATCACGATATGAAAAACACAACACATACACAAAGTGAAAAGACAAGCCACAAACCTAGAGAAATGGTTTTTTAAACACATATTTAATGTATATAAAAACCTTTCAATAATCAATAAAAACCTCATTAAAAAATCAAATAGGCACTCTCAAAAAGATGTACAGGTAGCAAAAAAGCAAAGCGAGTAAGGAAGGGAGAGCAGGAGGGAAGCTCAGAGAGGTCACTGGGAACTAAGTACTGCAGGACTTATTAGGCCATCCTAAGGCTTTCAAGTTCATTCTGAGAAATACAAAAACTTTGGGGCCAGGATTGGGGTGGTTCATGCCTGTAATCCCAGCACTCTGGGAGGCCAAGGCAGGTGCATCACAAGGTCAGGAGTTCGAGACCAGCCTGACCAACATGGTGAAACCCTGTCTCTACTAAAAATACAAAAACTAGCCAGGCATGGTGGCGGGCGCCTGTAATCCCAGCTACTCAGGAGGCTGAGGCAGAAGAATCGCTTGAACCCAGGAGGCAGAGGTTGTGGTGGGCCGAGATCATACCACTGCACTCCAGCCTGGATGACAAAGCGAGACTCTGTCAAGAAAAAAGAAAGAAAAGAAAGAAAAGAAGGAAGGAAGGAAGGAACTGACTTTGAATTATTGTAGTAGAGGGTGATGGACCTGACACAGATTTCCGGTCAGGAAAGGAAGAAAGGAAGGCAGGCAGGCAGGCAGGCAGGCAGGCAGGAAGAAAATGACTTTGAATCATTGTAGCAGAGGGTGATGGACCTGAAACAGATTTCCGCTTTGTTAGGAACAGATTATGCAGGGCAGGGGGAGGAGCAGAGAAGCAAGGGTGGAAGTAGGGAGAGCGGTTGGAATTAACGATGGAATCTCAGCAAAAGATTCAGAAATCCCAGAGGGAGATGATAGTGTACCACACCCGGGTGAAAGATGGCTGCATTTTGAATGTATTTAGAAGATCTGTGCAGATGGGCTGAATGCAGATTAATGTGGAATGTGGATAAGGTGAAAAGTCAAGATTGAAGACAAGATTTTGAGTCTGGGGAACAGAAAGCTGGAATTAGCATAAAAATGTGTTAATGACTGAGATCAAGGGTTTAGGAGAGAAGATCAGTTTTGTTTTGAACATCTGAAGTTTCAGATATTTATAGACATTGAGCTGAATATGCCAAGTAAGCAGTTGGATATACAAGCCTGAAATTTGTGAAAGACTGGGTTCATAAAATAAATATGTTAATCAATATCATATTGATGTATTTAAAGGCATAAGTCTGAATGATATCCTCAAGATTGCAAAGAGTACGTCAGTGGTTTTCAGCTGAAGGCAATTATTTCTCCCCAGGGTACAGCTGGCAATGTCTGAAGACATTTTTGGTTGTCACAGTTGGGGAATGAATTACTAGTGGCATCTAATAGGTAGAGGCTATTAGAGACCAGGGATGCTGCTGAACATCCTACAATGCACAGGATAGCCCCACATATAAAGAATTGTCTGACCCAAAATGTCAGCAGAGCCATGGTTTAGAAAGCCTGCTTCAAAGGGTTTCTAAGAGAAGAGAACGGAACCAGAGCCTGGGCTCTCAGGTGTACCAATATTAAAGATGGCGGAGAGAAGGGGAGAAATTAACAATGGAGGTTAGGAAAGATGACCAGTGAGAAAGAATCACAACCAAGAGAATGTGGAATCCGTGCAGCCACGAGAAGAAATGTACCAAACAACAGGGAGAAATAAAAAGTGTCAAATGCTGCTGCTAGGCCAAATAAAAAGATACTCAAGTAACCACCACTGGGCTTAGCAATGCAGAGGTCACTGGTGACATTAAACAAAGAAGTTTCGGTAGAGCAGTGTGAGGTGAAAGCAACTTCCGAATGTTCGGCAACATACGATACATTTTCTGATCTGGTTATTGCCAACCTTTGAATTCAAAAATTAAACTAAAAATCATATATGGCTATAACCATAGCATAGTGAATCAGCTACTCTCTGACATCCTAATCAAATAGGTAATTTTAAGTGGGATGACTTTTTCCTGCTTTATTCCTCCCACTCCCCAGTTTACAACTTGTTAAATCGACTGGAATAAAATTAATATCTACCCAGAGACACAGGACTTTTTACTCAGATGAAGAATATTTTTCAAATAATTCTTTTGATACCAATTTTTTTAATCTTCAAACTTAAAAAAGACAATCTCAAATAAAATTATACTATATTTTGAATAGATGAACACTAAACTATTTTTTATATATACTTTAAGTTCTAGGGTACATGTGCACAACGTGCAGATTTGTTACATATGTATACATGTGCCATGTTGGTTAGCTGCACCTATTAACTCGTCATTTACATTAGGTATTTCTCCTAATGCTATCCCTCCCCCATCCCCTCACCCCACGACAGGCCCCGGTGGATGAACACTAAACTTTTTAACTATCAGGATTGTCCATTTTATATCCTTACTTTTAGTGGCTTAAATAAACCTCATTTTCTTTTATGGCAGTACATGTTTCTCACCTCTGTTCACAGAGTTTCTAATCTGTCTCTGATTTAATATGTCTCATAGTTTCTAATATGCCTCTGCTTTAAAGTACTTCCTAAAAATTTTATCCACACTACAGACTACAACTTGTCCATCTGGGAAGACATTATCTAAATACATTTATGATTGTAAATTCTCTTTTAGGACCTTTATATTAACCCCACACCCCGCCATTGGTAAGAAATCATATTTGAGAAAAATGTGGGAAAGCTAGCATTTGATTTGATGGCATTAATCACTGATATACAGATGTGCTAATTATTGACTTCAGCAGAACTTTTAACACAACTACTTTAATGAGTTTTTGAAGGGGAAAATGTTGGTTATATACTTTCTGACAAAAAATAGTCAAGCACGGTAGCTCACACCTATAATCCCAGCACTTTGTGAGGCCGTGGCAGGTGGATCACTTGAGGTCAGGAGTTCGAGACCAATCTCACCAATATGGTGAAACCCCATCTCTACTAAAGGAAAAAAAATACAAAAATTAGCCGGGTGTGGTGGCATGTGCCTATGACTCAGGAGGCTGAGGCATGAGAATCACTTGAACCCAGGAGAAGGAAGGTGCAGTGAGCCAAGATCGCACCACTGCACTTCGGCCTGAGCCACAGAGTGAGACTCCATCTCAAAATGAATAAATAAAGAAATAAAATAAAAATAAAAACTGTTTTTTTAAATGTAGGCAGAACTGTCTTTTGTCAGTATATAGATACGTGTGTATCTTCATTGGACTCAGTGGGGACAAAAGTTTTACTTCAAGTGCATATAATTTCATATTATCTTTAAATTTTGTCTTCAAATTGTATTATGTTTATAATTCAAGTTTTTTTTTCAAAATCAATGTCACAAACAATAAATGTTAGAAAAAAACTTTCATTTTTCTTGAAAGAAACATAAGACATATTACCTTTTATTTATTTTATCTGTGTGATGCTTTCCTTAAGAAAGGCATCTGTTTTGGAAATAAACAGAATTAATTTTAACCCATAACCCTGAAACTTAATAATTATAGAAACTAGAGTAGATTCTTTTACTTATCTGTGCTGCAGTTTTCTCACATAAAATGAGGAAAACACACTTACTTCATAGGGTTGGCAAAAGGGAAAATACTGAACTAATTTTGGGCTAAAAGTTTCATAAATTAGGTACACAAAATTAATACCTACTGATTTGGTTTGGCTCTGTGTCCCTGTCCAAATCTCATCTCCAATTGTAATCCCCACGTGTCAGAGGAGGGACCTGATGGGAGGTGATTGGATCATGGGGGTTCTCCTGATAGTGTTCCCTCAGGCTGTTCTCGCGATAGTGGGTGAGTTCTCATGGGATCTGATGGTTTTATAAGTAGCGGTCTCCCCCGCTCTTCCCTCTCATTCCTGACGCCATGCGAAGAAGGTCCTTGCTTCCCTTTTGCCTTCTGCCATGATTGTAAGTTTCTTAAAGCCTCCCCAGACATGCAGAACTGTGAGTCAATTAAACCTCTTTCCTTTATAAATGGCCCAGTCTCGGGTATTTCTTTATAGCAGTGTGAAAATGGACTAATACACGTATTGTTCACTTTTGAATGAAAAAACACAGTCATCTTGGAAAGTAGAGGGTTTCTCTTTTCTGTTACTCAACTGCAGTATATGGCTGCTGCCACTGGATGGCAACCAAAGACACAGAAAGACCAGGAATGCCTGAGCAACAGCCTACAGAGCTTCAGCATTTCAAAAGAAATTCTAACACATCAGACGAAAAACAAAATGCATTCAGTAGGTAAAAAAAATATGTAGTCTGTGAATTAAGTGGCAATTGTTTAACTAAAATATATTATCCTTCAACAAGTCATATTTTAATATGTTTTGAGAAAAAATATCTAAAGTAGTGATGGTCTCGTTCTTTTTCATCAGGACTAGCTCAGAGTATAATAAAGTTTTAAATGTTCAGCTTCCAAGGTATTTCTTTGATGGAACCTTCACTTAAAGAAGAGGTGAAGAACAGTGGAAGCTTATTCTTTATAGTAGATTATTGAGGTGAGGTTGCCGAGATTAAAAGTCACAAGTTTTGGAAATAGGTAGAATTAATTTTAACCTACAGATTTTAAACTTAAGAATGCACTCACGCCGGATGCGGTGGCTCATGCCTGTAATCCCAGCACTTTGGGAGGCCGAGGCAGGTGGATCACGCGGTCAGGAGATGGAGACCATCCTGGCTAACACAGTGAAACCCTGTCTCTATTAAAAATACAAAAAATTAGCCAGGCGTGGTGGCGGACGCCTGTAGTCCCAGCTACTCAAGAGGCAGGAGAATGGCGTGAACCCAGGAGGCGGAGCTTGCAGTGAGCCGAGATCACACCACTGCACTCCAGCCTGGGTGACAGAGCGAGACTCCATCTCAAAAAAAAAAATTAAAATTAAAAAAAAAAAGAATGCACTCAGGTAGATTCTTCTACTTGTCAGTGCTGCAGTTTTCTCATACGTAAAATGATGAAGATATGTCTATTTCACGCGGTTGGTAAAAGGGAGAAAATAAACTAATTTAGGCAAAGGTGCCCATTGTTAGGCTTGGCATATAGAAGACACAAAGCAAATGGTAGCTATTACTGATTCTGTGATAAAAATGGTTAAGTTTTGTTTATATTTGACTGGATCAAAAGTGAAATGATCCATATATGATCTTTTACTTATTACATGTGTTGATGCTGTCCTGAAGAATATCTTATAAATAAAAGGTTAGATTTGTTAGTCAGTATTGAACTAAATCAGTACATCTTTTCTGTAAAATGCGACAGCACCTAACCATTCTCAGTACAGCATAGGCACTGTCATAAGTATAGCATTTGTTTTGTTAACTTTTTAGGTACACTTCTTTTAAACTGAAAGCCAGTGTTGGACAAGCAAATGCAGCTTCAAAATGGCAACAGGATAAGGATACATTTTTTTTTTTATGCTTTAAGTTCTAGGGTACATGTGCACAACATGCAGGTTTGTTACATATGTACACATGTGCCATGTTGGTATGCTGTACCCATTACCTTGCAGGGTTGTTACATATGTATACATGTGCCACGTTGGTGTGCTGCACCTATTAACTCGTCATTTACATTAGGTATATCTCCTAATGTTATCCCTCCCCCTCCCCCCACCCCATGACAGGCCCCGGTGTGTGATGTTCCCCACCCTGTGTCCAAGTGTTCTCATTGTTCAATTCCCATCTATGAGTGAGAACATGTGGTGTTTGGTTTTCTGTCCTTGAGATAGTTTGCTCAGAATGATGGTTTCCAGCTTCATCCATGTCCCTACAAAGGACATGAACTTATCCTTTTTTATTGCTGCCTTTTTTATAGTATTCCATGGTATATATGTGCCACATTTTCTTAATCCAGTCTATCATTGTTGGACATTTGGGTTGGTTCCAAGTCTTTGCTATTGTGAATAGTGTCGCAATAAACATATGTGTGCATGTGTCTTTATAGCAGCATGATTTATAATGCTTTGGGTATATACTCAGTAATGAGATCGCTGGGTCAAATGGTATTTCTAGTTCTAGATCCTTGAGGAATCACCACACTGTCTTCCACAATGGTTGAACTAGTTTACAGTCCCACCAACAGTGTACAAGCGTTCCTATTTCTCCACATCCTCTCCAGCACCTGTTGTTTCCTGACTTTTTAATGATGGCCATTCTAACTGGTGTGAGATGGTGTGTCATTGTGGTTTTGATTTGCATTTCTCTGATGGCCAGTGATGATGAGCATTTTTTCATGTGTCTGTTGGCTGCATAAATGTCTTCTTTTGAGAAGTGTCTGTTCATATCCTTCGCCCGCTTTTTGATGGGGTTGTTTGATTTTTTTTCTTGTAAATTTATTTATTTGTAGATTCTGGAATATTAGCCCTTTGTCAGATGGGTAGATTGCAAAAATTTTCTCCCATTCTGTAGGTTACCTGTTCACTCTGACGGTAGTTTCTTTTGCTGTGCAGAAGCTCTTTAGTTTAATTAGATCCCATTTGCCTATTTTGGCTTTTGTTGCCATTGCTTTTGGTGTTTTAGTCATGAAGTCCTTGCCCATGCCTATGTCCTGAATGGTATTGCCTAGGTTTTCTTCTAGGCTTTTTATGGTTTTAGGTCTAACATTTAAGTCTTTAATCCATCTTGAATTAATTTTTGTACAAGGTATAAGGAAGGGATCCAGTTTCAGCTTTGTACATATGGCTAGCCAGTTTTCCCAGAACCGTTTATTAAATAGGCGTTCTCTCCTTTCGTATCTAAAGGAGTTTTATGGACAGGCTGATGGTGGTTATGTGCATGTGGGGAGAGCTTAGAGTGGGAGCTAGTCATTACACTGGTGGACCTTTAAATGCCACGGTAGGGAGGCTTCCTCCAGAGGACCGACAACTACACTAGCAGCACCCACTCTCACCAGGCAGTGTACACAACTCTCTTTGGAGAGAATCTCTGATTTTTTTCTTTGGGGTAAGTGACTGGCTGCATCCATGATTTGGGGGGAGGGGCATTAATTGTCCATGCTGGATCTTCATTTATTCTACCTGTTCCAGTCCCATTTCCACTCTGCCCTCTGTGATACCTGCACTGCACTGGAGCCTGGAGGCTCCCTGAGGTTCTCACAGACGGACGGGTCAGCCACCCCCGCCCCCGGGCTCCAGACCCTCTTCGTATGTTCTGGCCTTGTGCCCTCGAATCTATCCCATAGATCTCTAAATCCTCTTCATCTTCCAGATGAAATCATTCATCTGCTAACGACTTCCTTCTGCCCTCTTTGTTATGTGGCTTAGACTTTTAAAAACACTGATCCATTAGTTGAATGGAAGAAGAGGATATAAATGTGATTTATCAGACCCCATCTTGAATCCCATTCATTTCACAGCTGCTGTCCTAACTCAGGCTCAGGGTGTGCAGAGGCCAAGTCCACACTGTATCTAACCCTAGTGCAGCTCAGGATTTGGTTTTCCCCAGCCCGTTCTCCTCAGGGTCTCAGGTCAGGCCCTCAGGGCAGCAGGAAGATGGGCTCTCCTCAACCCCCAGGCCCCCTGTCCTTCTGTGCTCCCCCTCCCCCCCGCCCCCCCCCCCGTCTTCAGAACTTCCCATGCCACAGCTTCGCCTAGTCCAGCCACAAGGAGAAAAGAAAACGAGGGCAAATCACCAGGATTTGGGGGAGCGAGGCAGCTGAGGTCCCACTCTGCACAGACTAGGCACCTTGTGCCTCTCCCACGGCTTACCACATCTGCCTGGGACTCAATGAAAGGGCCAGAGGGCCGAAGGTGACACCGGAGTCTCCAGCACGACCTTCGCCCAGGGCCTCCAGGGGATTTCGATTTCTCGCGCTGTGGGGGCGGAAGACCGGCTCTCCTGGGGATGTGTGTGAGTGTCTGGGAGTGTGTGCTCCCCAGGGCCCCGCGGAGGTCAGGGTCCTCTCCATTCAGGACAGCAAGGAGAGAAAGGCCTGGAGTGAGGCCCTGGGGCTGGGGGCTAAAGCAGCAGAGTATCAGAAATGGGGTGCTAGGGTGGTTACTGGGGACCAGCAGGGAAGACTTGGAGTCCAGCATGCGCCTAGGGGTGCTGCGGTGGGGAGGCAGCAGGGGGCCTCCCCTGCCCGATGGGGCTTTCGGAGGCCGCGATCCCCGAGGGTTCCTAGCTCTAAGGTCCCCGCTTACAGCTGCACCGGGCAGAGCGAGCAGGGCGCAGCGCCGCGGCCGGGGCAGGATGCGGAGCCTCGCGTTCACCGGCTTTACCCGCGAGACCAGACCCCTGCAACTCCCCAGCCAGCAAGGCCGGGACGTGCTTCGGGCATCTGTGTGCTCCCCAGGGCCCGGGACGTTCGGGGCGCTGAGCCGTCCAACGTCTGGGTTCCAGCCCCGGTCCCGTAGATCCTCCCGGCTGGACCCGGGTCCTGGGTGCACCCGCCCGCCCTGCCGATGTCCCAGTGCCGGGGCCAGGGGCCGCAGGGCCTCGTGAACGCCCGGCACGGACGCATCTTTTTCTTCCCTCTCTTCCCCGCGCGCGGTGTCGCCGGGAAGCGTTTCCCGGCCCCAGTGATCCAAGAGCGGGTGAGGTAAAGCGGCAGGGACCGGGGCGCGGGCTCGGCAGCCGCAGCTCAGTGCGCGTGCGCCAGGTAGCGGCAGCCCTGCGTGCTTTCCGTACTCCGCTTGCGGTATGTACCCGCCGCTATTCAGCTTCCGGGCTAATTAGCAGTCGCGGTGTGCCGCTACGTGCGGGCTCTCAAGGAGCTCAGCCTCCCGGACGGAGCCGGCGGCTGCGGGGCGAGGACGGCGGCGGACCGGGGCAGCCCCGCGCCCTGGCCAGGTAAGCTGGGGAACCTTGGCTGCCTGACTCCCTGGCGGCGGCAACCTGGGGCCGCCCGCGGCGCCGCGGGGACCCCGACGCGTGGGGGGCGGCGCGGAAGCTGCAGGCCAAGAGCTCCCGAGCGCTGCCCCCCGGACTCGGCGGGGCTGCGGGGAGGCCGCCGCTGGGATCTAGGGGTGCAGCCCGGCTGGCCTACGCCTCTCGGACCGGCCCATCCTCCTCCCACGACAGGCGGGCGGGTGCGGCGGGGACCAGGCAATACTCTCGCATCCCGGGAGGGGCTCACCGCGGTGAGGGGCCACTCTCGGCGCGGGCAAGTGGCGCTGTCTGGCGGGGCCGCCCGCTCGGATCTCGCTGGGCTGGCCGGGCCGCTGGTGCGTTCCGCTGCCCCGCTTGACGCCGGCATCAAGTCCCCGAGCTGGGCGGCAACTACTGAGTTTGGGGTCGCCTCTGGGTTCGCTTCCCCGGGAGAACCCGAGCCCGGATCTTCGCCCCTTCCCTTTTCCTGTATAATAAGGCCCAGAGAGAAAAACTTCTCAATTAAAAACCCCACACCTTGTTGCCCCGGGGCTGCAGGCGCCGGGTTGGAGGCACGCCGCGGACCTGCCCCTCCCGGAGACCTGCCCCGGAAGGGGCAGGGCCCCTTCTCCAGGCCAGGCACTGCCTGGCAAGGCTGCTGGAGGGAGATCTGGCCGCAGATGGTGAAGGAGAACATCGAGGCCCCCAGTCCCCAAGCAGGGCTCCATGGGTCGGGCGGCGGGCATTGGTAAGCCCAGGCGAGGGGTGAACTTCCTTTCCCCGGGGCCGACGCGGAGGGAGGGTGCGGGGAACGCCCGCCGAGGGGCCTGTCCTGCGGTACCCCAGTGGAGAGCAGAGCCTTAGAGGGGCCTGCTAGTCTTAGTATTTATTGGCAGAAGAAAGGCTTATTTTTTCAGATCTCTTGAGATACGACCTGGCAGGCACCAGACGTAAATCTGTGGTTGAGTGCAGTCAGCTCTTAAACGGGCATGCGGTGGATGAAGCGCCCCAAACTTCGCATCTTGCGTCTGGCACTTTGTTTTTGGGCTAAACTGCCTCTGGCCTCTTCAACCTCCTGTGCCTCTTTCTGCTTTTGTTTGTTTGTTTCTATTTTCTTCCTCGTTGAGAAAGGACAGTGGTTTTAGAAATAATGATCTGAGAGCTTTGCAGGTTGAAGTGGGACAAGTTTTCCTAAGGTTCAGGTTGGCAGTTGCCAGGAGCCTGCAGGTGGCTTTTTCTCAGGCCTCTGGGTCAGGGTCCCTCCAGTGAGGTGAGGCAGGGGTTTCTCCCCTCCCAGAGGTGTGGCCACTACGCAGGGGGACAGGAACTGGGTTTCCCAGTCCGGGGAGTCCAGGATGCCCTGCACTCTGCGCTGATTCCTGGGTGACCGTGGGGGCTGCCTCCCCCTTCAGCCTGGGCTGGAGAGGGTCTCCTGAGCTTAGGAACTGCGGGGCAGGAGGGCTGGGGTGTTAAGGACACGTGGAACTTGCTGGGGCTCCGGGCAGTGTCCAGGGCGTGAGCAGATAAAGCTGGACCTTGCAGCTGTGTGCCGGCAGCCCTCGGTGGGCTCTAGCAGTACTGTTGGGGGGCCCTTGGAGTGGGCTCCCTGGCTGGGCTGGGACTGGGTGATGGCAGTAGCAATGGGGCACCAAGTCTTCCCTCTCATTTGTTAGGAAGTGCGGTCTGTGCCCGTCCCCACTGTCTGGCTCTTGGGCTGGGAGAAGCTGCAGGCTGAGTCCCACGGAGTGTGAGTGTGTGTGAGCAGGAGTGGGTGCTGGAAGGAGGTAAAGCTGGTGACCGTCAGCTCCTCATTCTCTTCCACCTTGCATGTTTTCTCTGACACCCCAGACCCAAGTTGTGGCCTGCTGGTTAACTTGTTTACATAACCTTCTTAAGTAGCTCTAACCTTTAAAAAAAAAAAAATCAAAATGTTAGTTTCACAGGAATAATTGGTGGGGATGGATTGTGAAATGGAGCTGCATAAATATCCAGTTTGCCAACTGAGCTAAGAAATGCTGGATAAAAGTAAAAGGTAATTGTAAAAGACACTGATCACACCCCTGGAAGCTTAGAGATGGGATAAGACACCTTGATTTTTCCCAGACAAAACTGAGGAAGTCAGAGGAAAAACAGTTGATAGTGAGGTTGGCATAAGGCTGGGCTTTGTTTGGATTGGGCCGCGGTGGCTGCAGTGAGGGCTGTTGGAGTGGGGAGAGTGGGGGTTGAACCTGGCTGAAGAGGCCCCCTCCAGGCCTCAGCTCCTCTCCGGCACTCCTCGCTGTCCTCTGCCACGCATACCTGCCCCAGTGACTTAACAGGTGTGGGCCTCAGGTGACACCATGGTCTGAAGTCTTGGAGAAACCTTTACTGTCCAGGGGAGGACAGGACTGGCGGTCGGTGGGGATCGAGGCCCTGCACACATCACTGGGTGGCTTCAATGTCTTCGGCAGAGATCACATGCCCTGCGTTTCAGCCTGGTCCTTAGAGAAACGGAGAGAGCTCTGGGCCTGGGTGGCGGCCCTGGCTGTACCACTCACAGGCTGTGTGTCCTCAACCCAGTCTCAGTTCCTCACCCTTGCCAGGTGGCCGTGAGGACTAGGAACATGGAGACACAGGTAGGGTGTAAGGTAGCCACTGATGACCAGGCAGGCCTCTGCAGTGTAGGTCAAGTTTGAGATGGTTGCTCACCAGGAGGCAGCCTGTGTGCCTGGCAGGGGCTGGGGGTGCTCAATGTTCCCTTGGATGGTGGTTGGCCTGAGCGCCCACAGAGAGGCTTCTCCGGCTCTTTCCTTTCCCAGAGTTCCTCCCCACCCCTCTGCTGCCCACCGCCTGGGTTGGGTCCAGCTCATGTCTCAGAGCAGCCTGCTGGCACAGGCTGAGTCAGCTGTCATGGGCACTGTCGCTTCTCGCCTCTCCTGAAGCCAATCCTCCCCTCTCTCCCTGTCCAGACACACAAGGGAGGCCCGGGAGTTAGGTGACCTCAAGGTCGTGCAGCCAGGCTCTCTCTGGAACCCTGCGTACTGGTGGGGTGCCATTGCTGTGTGCTTTATGATTTCTGTGCCGGCTGTGAGGTTTCCCAGGTTGGGCTGTGCAAGTTGGCCCAGGCCCAATGGTGACACACCATTGCCCAGGCCTTCAGTGGCTTTCCAGTGCTCCCTCCACATCCATGTGTCTCGGCCTGATTTTTCTCAAATTCTCCCACTCGCTCCCAAGAATGGTCCCTCCAGGCTCTCCTGGCTCCAGGCAGACAGGCTCATTGCCCAGATCTGCCCTGGGTTGTCCCCACCCCATCCCCACCTGTCATCTTGGCCCATGTCCATCCCGGAGATCCTAACTGAATGTAGGCTCTTTCGTCTTATCCCTTGGTCCTCGGATTTGCCAGGCCACTCTTGCCTCCAGGCCTTTGCACCTGCTGTTCCCACCCCCTTGGCATCAGCCACCCCCAGATGCCCACCTGGCCAGCCCCTCACCTATTGCCGGCTCCCTGATGGCCCTGCATAAATTAGCGTTACTTCCCCTTCTCTTGTTAACCTTGCTTTGTGTTTCTCCTTAGTACTCAACATTCAGTGTGTTATTTATGTACTTGTTTGTTTATTGTCAGTCTCTTATCACTCAAATGTAAAAGACTTTGTTCACCTCTGGATCCCCAGTAGCTAGAAAAGTGCCTGGCACACAGCAGAGCCTTAGTGCTGTTGTTGGATGAGTGAGTGAATGAAACACGGGAGCAGTAGTCTCCTTGCAGCACATGTCCTGCTCCCTGTGCCTCCTTTTCCCGAGTCCCAGAGCTGGAACCCAGCTGTGTTCACCTTTGGATCCTCCTAGAATGTAGCACAGACCCTTACTCAGTGGGCAGTCAGGAAAGAGCTGCAGAGTTGTACTGTGCAACGTCAGTTTCACATAGGCCAGAGGAGAACGTGTTTGGGAAGGTAACCAGCCCAAAGAATGAGCTTTCTTATTGTGCACTGAGATTCCTTTTTGGATTTTCAGTTGTTTGGGTTCTCTGCACCCAGGTGGTCCCTGCTGCCAAAGTCAGCGCTGCGTCTCCCTGCAGTCACCTCGGATGTGGATGCACTTTGGAAGGAGGCACCCCCACGCCCAGATTCCCTTCCCACTCCATCTGGATCTTTCCAAACTTGTCTTGTACCTAATGTCAGACTCTGTTCCAGGGCTCTCAGCCACTCTGCTTTCCCTTCCAGAAGCCTCCTCCTGCTTGACTCTCTCCTGCGTGTGTCCTGGCCTGGTTGGAGAAGATGCTTTGGTTTTATGAGAAAGGGACTGGGAGGTCAGAAAAGAGGATGGGATTTGGAGTAACAGGAGCTCAGTTCCAGCCTGGCCCTGCCACTAAACCCTGGGGTCCAGGGCCAGTCTTCTGGCTTGAGAGTCTTTCTCAGCATCTGCAATGTGCGCATGAGGCCTCTTGCCTGTGGTTGTTTTGAGGCACAGACGAGATGCGATATTGAACTGATGCGAGATATTTTATGATAGCAAGGACTCCATGGTGTGGCTTCTCTTATTGTCCTGGGAGTTTTAAGGGTCAGGTTTGTGAGTTACAGCTACGGCCTAGTGAGAGAATGCAGAGGAGGCCTGTCATAAACTCTAAAGGGCTGTTTTAATGTAAGGTGGTGCATCTGTTGTTTTGTGTTTCAAGGATCAAAATTAAGAGAAAAAAATATGTGGTTGAGATACCTGCGTTGAGTGACTGTGGAAATATTTTCATCTCTAGTTGTCTGGAAACGGAAACACTCCAACATTTAAAGATGGTTTTCATGGCGAAACCACTGGAATGAAACACGCATCATCGGGCAATTCTGTGTGTTGAGTTCCATCCCTCTTTGTTTGTCATTTTAAATAATTTCCCTACAAATCCAGAAGGCAGGTCTTGTCTTAACTTCGCGACGAGGAGGCTGGGGACAGGTAGCTGAGCTATGGGTTGCCTAAGAGCACTCTGCTGTGACGGGGCAGTGCTGGCCTTTGAGCCTGAGCTGGAGAGAGTGTGAGGCCCATGTTTTCTCTCTGTCTCCTGCTGGGGCCCATTTTGTATCAGATTTGTTTTTAACGGGGTGGGCATGACTAGGACTTATGACCATTGGTGGGCAAGTACAGGGGCTAATTTTCAACACGTGCTGAGAGACTGATGGCTGGCATCGGAGAGTTATGGAAATGCCACAGATGACGTGAGCTCTTCACAGCGATGGGGAAAGGGCGTGGGAGCTTGCCCTCCAGGAAGGTGGCTAACATGGTTGGTGGGACACTAAGGTGTTTTCCATTTTGCACTTGAAGCCAACATGGATTCTTAGCACTTCTTGTCCCTAGAATCAACTGTGCAGAGAGACGCTTGGTTGTGAAACTCTCAGGCAAAGACAGTTCTGAGGAAACTTACTAGTAAATAGTGAGTCAGAGAACACTACTGACATTTAGGATTTTCAGTTGAGATACATATGTACTGTCATGCATCACATGACATTGTTTTTGTGAGTGATAGCGTATATGACAGAGGTCCCATAAGAATATCATGGGGCTCAAAAATTCCTATTGCCTAGTGACATTGTCGTAAAGTTGTAGTGCAGTTACTTTATTTTTTAAAAAAATGTAGCCTAACTGTACAATGTTTATAAAGTCTGCACTAGTGTACAGACTGACTCACCGGAGCAACTTCCATTCATGGAAGGTCCATTCATAGAAAGTGCCCTAGACAGGGGCACCATGTTTTATCTTTTATAGCATATTTTAACTTTGTGCCTTTTCTATGTTTAGATACACACCTTCAGCACAGTAACATGCTGCCTAGGTTTGCAGCCTAGGAGCAGTAGGCTGTACCCTATAACCTAGTGTGTTGTAGTAGGTTTGTATAATGTATGCTCTATGATGTTCTCATAATGATGAAATTGCCTAATGATAAATTTCTCAGAATACATCCCTGTCATTAAGTGACGCATCTGTGTGTGTGTGTGTGTGTGTGTGTGTGTGTGTGTGTGTGTGTGTGTGTGTGTATGATATATAATTTTTTTCATTTGGTTGGTTTGGCATTCCTGGAATTGATTCTCCAGCAAGGCAGCTCTAAATATGGATTCCTCTGAACTGTTGTATGTGTTCTTAATTTAATAAACAAGTATCGTTTATGGTTTCCCGCAGTTGGTTTGATTATCAGCTGTCTTGGAAAAATCTATTGTTTCAAAAATAGTAAAGCCACTAGTTGAGTAACCGCATGCATTTAGGGATGATGGATTTCTCAGGTCTCTCTGGAAGCAAGTGTGTGCATTGTGCAATTAAAACACAGTTTCTGTTTCTCAGTCTTTTGGTGTAATAAGTGAGCCATGTGCTCTAGCATCTGTCTGAATTATCCGGAGCTGGTGGCAGCTGTCACGGGTGTGGTGCAGTGGGGCCAGGCATGTGTTAGGAACTGGAAGCTCTGGGAAGCCAGGCTCTGCCTGCACGTGTGAGCCAGCTGTAGAGCGTCACTGCTCAGAGTTTGTCTTGACTCATCCCAAGAAGGGCACGTGGAGGTCTGTGTCCCATTCCTCACCAGCCACTGAGTTATTATGGATGGAGGAGATGAGATGTGTGCAACTGTTCTGCTACAGGAAAGCAGTCAGTCAGTGCAGTCACCAGGGTTAGGATGTGTGAGTGTTTTACCAACCTGCCTGCTGGGTTTCAGACACTTGGCACTACCTCCAGCCTCTAACTGATTCTGGCTGGTACGCGTGAAAGCTGTCAGCTGAGTGATGAATGGACCGATTTTGGCCACAGGTCCCTGCACTTCCCACCTGGCCTGACTGCTAGATTCTGAGCCCCTGAGGCAGGACTGAATGGGTCACATTGATGGTTGATTCTCTCGGGAATGGCATTGGGTGAAATCGAGGTTTTCCTGACCCACAGCTCCTACTAGAAGTGCCTTTCTTTTGTGCATGTATTGTGAAGATTCTGCCTGTGAACTTTCTCTACCCTTTGAGTCCTAAGGTTCAGGTACCTGGAGAGGAGCATGTCATCGTTTTGCAGGTGGGATGTGTGGTTGTTGGGGAAGACGTCTTTGTGCTGTGTTGGGTTGGAAGCTTTGAGAGCAGAAGCCCCTCCAGACCAAGAACTCCTGATTGTGTCTTTCCCTTGGGCTTTCGCAGTTTTCAGCTTCTAAATTAATTGCATTTTATTAAGTAATGGTTTTCTTCTTGATCACAGGCGTGCCTGTGCTTAATCAGCACTGAGGACTGGTGCTACTTCAGTTGATTTGATACACCTAGAGGCAGCCTCATCTCCAACTTGTCTTGACTTCATTTGGGGAGCTGCCGTGGGGGACCCCTGGACTGGCAGCATTCCCACCCCTCACTTTGGCAACCCTGGCCTAACTCCTTGTATGTGTTGCTCCTTTTATCCATCACATAGGGTGGCTTAATCTAATAGTGGAAACAAAGGGGTGCGGGACGCTAACCTGGTAGGTCTCACCTTGCCCGTCCCGTCATTCACCTCTCAGTCCTTTGACACTCAGGGACTCTGCAGTGGTACAACCGGGAGCAGGTACCCTTCACTTTTCTTACCCCCGAGTCCCTTTGCCTGGAGCACTGTCCATCTATCCACCCATGCACTCAGTAGGTATTTTCCAAGCAGCTACTATATTCCAGCTTTCTTGTTCCCAGTTTAGAGCTGGGTGGGATCAGGAGGGAGGGCATGGAAGGGGTTGCTGGAGAATGTGCAATGGCATCAGAGCCCCATTCTGGCTCTGGGTCCAAGGCCCTCCTAGAGAGGCACAATCTGGAAGATGTGAGAGCCCCACGGTAGGTTGGGGTGGATCATGGACCCCATCCTAGAAGAGTGGGTGGGTTTGCCCCTTCAGAGCCCAGGCCAGAAGAGCCCTCTCGGCAGAAGGGCCAGCCTGGAGTGTGGCACCCTGGGCATAGGGAGGGCCAAGTTTTTGGCAGCAGGATTATGTAGTTTGTGTAGGTCAGAGCTGGAGATGGGGGTTGGGGGGCAGTTCCTGACCATTAGGGGCTTGGTAGCCCTGGAGAGCCCTTGCTGTGGGTTGGGAGCAAAGTAGGTGGGCCAATAACAACACATATTTTACCAAGTGAATTCTAGGAGAGTGATTTCTGCAGCTGGCTTCCCTAGTGGACAGTTCAGAGCATGGGAGGAAGACGCGGTCAGGGGTGTGTTGAGGGGTGCATCCAGAGGCGAGAGGAGGGTGTGGGGAGGTATGAGCAGAAGATGTGACATGGGGTGGGGAGGGGTGCAGTGAGGACGCAGGAGGGTGGCGGGGGCAGGTGTCTGGCCGAGGCACCGCCAGCGTCATGTGGAGGCTCTGGAGCCCACTCCCCACTGGGTTCTATAGGAGGTGGCAGCTGATGCCAAGTCCCAGCCTTGCTAGTGCGGACGTTTTATTTTACCCTTCTTTTTTTTTTTTTTACAAGGATTTATAGGATTTCTAGATTAAATTGCCCCTGTTCTCCAAGAAGGAGCGGGAACAGCAGCGCTGCAGGGTGATGGGCTGCAGATGCCTCTGCAGCAGGGTGGGGTCTGGGGAGACATTCAGGTGCCTCCTGTCCACGGCCTCGATAGGCCAGGGCGCCTGCAGCTTGGGCCCTCTTCCCCTTTCAGGTGGAGGGAGCTGTTCATCCTCTGGGGGCTGCTGGGCAAGAAACATTTCTTACCTGATAATGTGAAGCGTCAGAGGTCCCTGTTTTATGGGTAAGTTGCTGTATGTTTTGGAGCTGCAGGCAGTCTGTTTTTCTCACTAGCATGGTGTGGAGGTGGGGGACAGTATTCCCTCCCGTGAGGCCCATGCCCGCTTCATTATCCCTGTCTGCTGGGGCTGCGCTGGTTGCTGGCTGAGGCTACCTTTGTTACTTCCATGTGCTGTAGCTGGAAAGGCCTGCTACTTGTTAGGCTCCTTAGAAATCTGATTTGAAGGCTGGGCACGGTGGTTCATGCTGTAATCCCAGCACTTTGTGAGGCTGAGGAGGGAGGATCGCTTAAGCCCAGGAGTTTGAGATCAGCCTGGGCAACACAGGGAGACCTCACCTCTACAAAAAAATAGAAAAATTAGCCAGATGTGGTGGCTCATGGGTGTGGTCCTAGCTACTTGGGAGGCTGAGGTGGGAGGATCGCTTAAGCCCAGGAGGTTGAGGCTGCAGTGAGTTGTGAGGGTGCCACTGCCCTCCCCTGGGTGACAGAGCGAGAACTTCTCTCTCTCAAAAAAAAAAAAAAAAGTCTGATTTGAAGGAGAGAAAGCTCTACTTGATGTGGGGGTTGGGAGTGGAGAGCACCTCTGCGATTAGACCTTTGTATCATCTTGATGATTTTAATCAGACATCTAATATTATGTTGTGGTTCATGTCAACTGATTTCCCAAACCTGAATTTCAGAGACTTCCCATGACACACCGGGCAGTGGGAGTGGGGATGGTGAGAGACTGTTAGTTATTCCAGGAAGAGAGGCCTTTTCTGATTGTCCTGCTCACCAGCACACTGAGGGGCTGGGCCGGTGACCTGATGGGCTGGGGAGTAGAGCCCTGGCTTATTTATGTGCACTTGTTTCTTTTGAACATGTCTTGTTTTGCTGGTGATTTGGCAAATAGGTTGAAACCAAGCCCTCCCCCAGTTCCTCAACCACCTAGGACTCCACAGGTACCTGGGAGTCCGATGGCTGGCAGGCTGCCTTTTGAAGCTTGGCCTAGTGTCCCACAGCTGTTGGTTGTCCTAGGAATCCAAGGAAAAGCTGCTGAATTCTGTGGCCCCAGGAGGATCTTTGTCCTCCTTTTGCAGAGCAGTAGGTGGATTTGCTCTGTTGAGCTGGAAGGAAGAATTTTTAGATTTCCTCTGGCTGAAGAAGTTAAAATGGAACCATCTACATCAATTCCCCACAATTGGACTTTAAAGCATGTTTTCAGAAAAACGGACTCGATTATTTTCTATGTGTGGAAGCAAATTCCTTGGGAACTTCTGGTGAATTTTTTTTTTTTTTTTTTTTTTTTTTTGAGACGGAGTCTCACTCTATCACCCAGGCTGGAGTGCAGTGGCACAATCTCGGCTTACTGTAAGCTCCACCTCCTGGGTTCACGCCATTCTCCTTCCTCAGCCTCCCGAGTAGCTGGGACTACAGGCGCCCGCCACCCCTCCCGGCTAACTTTTGTATTTTTAGTACAGACGAGATTTCACCGTGTTAGCCAGGATGGTCTTGATCTCCTGATCTCATGATCTGCCTGCTTCAGCCTCCCAAAGTGCTGCGATTACAGGCGTGAGCCACCATGCCCGGCCTAACTTCTGGTGAATTTTAAAGTGCTTGTCTATTTTGTTTTATTCTCCAATACTGAGAAGTCTTTAACAACTAGAGGCTGCTTGGGTAGGTCAAGGTCTGAGGGGCAGCGCTCCCCACCAGAGCTAATCATTAAATAGATCTGCCATCTGTAGTTTTTGTTTTGCATTTTGAGATGGAGGTGTTGCTATGTTGTCTCTAGGCTGGACTTGAACTCCTGGGCTCAGGCAATCCTCCTGCCTCGGTCTCCTGAGTAGCTGGGACTACAGGTACATGCCACTGTACCTGGCTTGATGTCTCTGTTTTAAAAAATTTTGCCTTCTCGCAATTATCTTGTATCTCTGGAGAAGAAAGCTGCCATTTTTCTGGCAGTGGAATTTGGAGTTGAGAAGGACCCTGGCTCCATCAACGGGGGTGGCGCCTAACATATGATAGATCTATATAACACAGATCTTGAGATCCTTTAAATATCTGTTTCTGATTATGAAATTCAGATGTACTAATTATAAAGATTAGAACTTTACAGAAATGCATCATGTAGAATAGAAAATGAAAGCTTCCCCCTAACTTCACCACTGCCCCATTCAGTGCCCACAAAGATAATCATTGTTCACAGTTTGGTGGCGATTCCTCCCATTTTCTTTTCTGTCTGTGAACATATTTTACTTGTCTTTTAAATACATACATATTTTAAAAGTATTTTTCAACAAAGTGGGATCCTACTGTAAATAAGATTTGCACTTCGATCCGCTCACCAGCTGTGTGTCTTAGAGATGCTCCCTTGTCCTTTGCGCAAGCAGCATTATTCTGACGCTTGCATAATATGTGACTGTTTACTTATTGAACTTTTGGGTTCCGTTTTTCACACTCACGGAGAATGCTGACAGGTGGAGTCTCGTACATTAAACCCTTGCATCTGCGTGGGGTTGTTTTCGTAGCATAGATTCCTAGAAGTGGACTTGCGGGGCTGAATGGTTTGGGCATTCAGAGTGTCAACAGATATTGCCAAATTGCTCTCTTGACAGGTGGTGACCATTCTAAATGATGCTAGTGTGTGGGGCAGCGGTGTCCCCACTGACACTCTCTGGACATCGACACTCTCTGGACATGATCAGTCTTTGTGTTTCATTCAGTCATGTGGGTGTGAAGTGATAGCTTATTTCATTTTGTGTTTGTAAAAATTGTGAATGATAACAAGCTGTTTCTTCTGTGCTTAATACTAATTTGAATTTCTCTTTCTAATTCTCTTTTTCATCCTTGCCTGTTTTTCTCTTGATTTGTGTAGCTTTTCCTTGTTGATTTCTAGGTGTTCTTGGTACACAGGGTTATTCCTCATTTTCTATATATATTGCGGATATTTTCTCTCAGATGCCACTTGTCCTTTGAATTTGTTTAAAGACATCTCTGGCAATGTAAAAATTTGGAAATTTTACATTGTTAAAACTATCAAGCTTGCTTTAATTACTCCTGAATTTTGTATCTTACTTAGAGAATGGGTTTCTGTACCCTAATGTGTATAACCACCCTCCTGCATATTCTGCTAATACTTGATAGTCTCGATTTTTTTACATTTACATCTCTTCTTTGATCTAAAATGTATTTTAGATACGGTGTGATTTGTGGATGTAGTTTTTTTTTTTTTTATACGATTCCAACCTAATTTCCTAGTCAGCCACTTTGACCTCTCTGTTTTGGCAGGTTTGTCATGGGTTAAGTAGCTGCTGTGTTCTGAGTGTTTCTTCTGTGTTTCTGGGTTCTCCATTCTAATTTACTGCTTTATTGTTGTGCCACTATCTACCGTGTAAGTTACGGTGGCTTTTGGTAAGACTTAGTTATCTTAAAGGGCCATTACCTCTTCATTCCTCTTCTTTTTTCATTTTCCGCCAACCTTTCTCCTATATTCCTTTGAATAGATAAGCTTTATTTTTTTTTAATTAATTTATTTTTTGAGACTGTCTTACTTTGTCACCCAGGCTGGATTGCAGCGGTGCAAACACGGCTCATTGCAGCCTTGACTTCCTGGTCTCAAGTGATCCTCCCACCTCAGCCTCCCAAGTAGTAGGGTCCACCACGCCTGGCTAATTTTTGTGTTTTTTGTAGAGGTGGGGTTTTTCCAAGTTTCCCAGGCTGGTCTTGAACTGCTGAGCTTAAGTGATCCTCTTGCCTTGGCCTCCCAAAGTTCTGGGATTACAGGCATGAGCCACCCTACCCGGCCGCTAGATAAACTTTAGAATAAACTAAATTCATCCCATATTCTGATTGGGATTTTGATTAAGGTTGCTCTGTGGGTTTTATGGTGGGGGTTGGGGGTGGGGAGAGGAGAGAGCTTTTGTATTTTCTTCTCATCCAGATTTTGATTTATGTAAAAAGTCCTTTGCCTCCATCACTGGAGCTTCATTGCTTTATTCATGCATGTTTGTGCGTCTCTCACTTCTGCTGCTGTTGTCACTGGGATCATCCCCTCCTCTTGCCTTGTTTTCTAGCTGATCATGGCTGGTCTGTAGAAAAGTTGTTGCCTTTTAAATTTGTGGGCTGCCTGCCCACCTTGCTTCAGTCTCTCTGTTGATGTAAATGGTTTGTCATTCTTCCTCTCGTATTTTTTTATTGGAGAATCATTTGCCATCGTCGACCTTTCTTTTTTGTTATTTATGCCTTTTGTTATGGGGTCCATCGTGGAGGGGTGTTTGATACTAGTCCACTCTGCGATCCCTGGGGCCCTCCTCAGGAGGGCCTTTCTGCTTCATGGTCAGTGGGTTGGCTCTTTGACTGGGGGTCCCTGTAGCTCAGCAGTCCCCAGGGCAGCCGCTGTGTCACAGAGTGGAAGCAGGCCGGTGGACAGTTTAAGTGAGTTTTTTTCCCTGTGTGGCTGGGCAAGCTGGAGGAGAGGGGTCTTAGGGAGTGGTTTCTCCAGGCAAGGGCAGTGGTCTGGCAGGGGCTGTCACATGGGTGCTCACCCATGGGGGCCTTAGAGGATGTGGCTTTCTCTGCTGCTTGGCCTCAGGCAGGGGGCTCAGAGGGTCTCCTCAGGTGCTGTCAGTGGCTGTGGTGGTGGCAATGTCTGGGACCCATGCCAGCAAGCTGGCAGCCACTGGTAGCCTCAGCTGCTTCCTCCAAACGTGAGGACCCCCAGGCAGTGGTGGTGGCCCCCTGGTTGCACAGGCAGATGAGGGGTAGGGAGAAGAGGGTAGGGTACAGCTCTGGTTCTCAAAGCAGGTGGTGGGGCCAGCATGTGTGACTCAGTGGCCAAAGGGTCCATGGAGGTGGACCAAACTGGTTGAGGGGAGCCCCCACCCTGACTGTACCAGGAGATGCTGCCCGTGCCACCAAATTTCCACTGGGACCCATGGCCCCAGGGGAGGCCCTGGAATCTGTGAAGCTCAGGGTCATCCTCAGTTGTTCCCTGTCATTTATGTTCTAGCCTTGACCTTGGAGTGTCCGCCCTGCAGGAGCTGCCAGTTGCTGTGAGTTCCTCGTGCTTCCTTGTGACAAGTGGTAGGGAGTGGCTACTGCTAGGTTAGATTTTGTTATTTTGCACATCATAGACTTTTTACACTAGTTTCCATCATTTTCATTTAGTCTTTGTTCAGGGTGTTAACAGCTATCAATACCAGCTAACAATGTGTTTATGGTGATGGGCATCATTTTCTCATCTTATGAGATAAAGCAGCCAACCTAGTGCCTTTTGCATGAAGGTACTGATGCTCGGGGACTTGGGACTGATGGGTGGGTGTTGCCAGGATTTCAGCCTCTTCCAACAGGAGCTGCAGGGTGGCGTGATGTGGCCCCATGTTGCCCTGTGGTGGTAGGGCAGGGGAGTGGCGCCCAGAGGCATGGGGGTGGTCAGCTTTCCAGGAAGGTGATCCAGGCCCAGGAAGGTCCGAAGTGTGATGGAGGGGAGAGGGAGAGGAGAGGGAGCCTACCGGGAGGCGTGGGTCCAAGGCCTGGGTGTTTGTTAGTTTGTCGTCTTCCCATCTGCTAGGCATCCATTCTCTGTTGCGGTCCCCAAATGCCCCATTTCTGGCTTCATTCAGACGCAGTTCCTCTGCTCAGTGGAAGTGGAAGAGGTGGAACAGTTGTCTGTGCTGTCTTCAGAGCCGGTGGAGGCGGAGCTCGGCCAGCGTGTCACAGCCTAGTGGAAGAGCAACTAGCAAGAGAACCCGCTCTTCCCTGTGGCTCCTAGACACCTTGGTTGGAGGGTTGGCCAGGAGCAGGAGCAGGAAGAGCACTGTGGACAGAGCTGGCTCCTGGGACATGGGAGGCCTGTAGAATGCCTGCAGAATCAGCATGAGAGAGAGAGCGAGAGCGAGAGAGAGCGCACAAGCGCACGAGCGCGAGCGTACACAAGGCCAAGTAGCAGGCATGGCAGAGGGGAGATTCCAACCCCCTTCTGACTCTGGGGCCTATGAACTTAACCATCCAGTGGCAGGGCCTCTCAGCTGGAAATCAGTCACATGCTTCCCAGAAGGTATTTTTATGAGTCAATATACTTGACTTTGGGAATTGGCTATAAAGAGAAAATTTACTACGGGATTAAAGAAGTGTGTACTGGATTAATCTGGCAACCTCTTTTCTTTTTGAGACGGGATCTCACTATGTTGCTCAGACTGGAGTGCAGTGGTGTGATCTTGGCTCACTGCAGCCTTGACCACTTGAGCTCAAGTGATCCTCTCACCTCAGCCTCCAGAGTAGCTGGGATCACAGGCACGTGCCTCCATATCCAGCTGACTTATAAATGTTTCCTAGAGATGGGGTTTCACCATGTTGCCCAGGCTGATCTCGAACTCCTCTGCCTCCCAAAGTTGGCAACTTCTGAATGTGCTGCTCAGAGCTGCCTGTTTGCCAATGAACCAGGAATATGTTTTATACGTGAGGTTAATTTCATGTAGATAGAACACTGCTACAGGAGGCGGGGTGGGGTGATGTCAGAGAGCACTGGACAGATAATGAAGACGTCCCCTCGTCGCAGTCAAGCTGACCTCTTTTGGGGCTGTCGCCAGCTCAGTGGTGTCCACCTGCTGTCTGCAGTCTGAGAATCGGGGTGTCCTAAGCTCTCTCCAGCTCTGAAATCTTTAACTGTCTACTGGGTGTATTTGTCTGGAACCTTGCCTCCTGTCCCTGTGGTTCTGCATGTTGCCGGGTGTTTCTCAGGGACACCTGACTTTCCTGAGGGTCCCCAGCCCTGGTGGGAGAAGAGGTTGTGTGACGTCTGACACCCGGGAATTGGTGGGTCTCCATTATCTGAGGAGGGTGTACTTCCCAGGTTAGCTGGGCATGAGTTGAGTTTCAGTCGTATCCTTCCTTCCAGTTTGGGATGGGTTCTGAAATTTGTATTGCAAGTGATGAAAAAGGGGTAAGTGGCTTTTCATCTCAGTGGGGTTAGCTTTGTCATGGACCCCTGAGCTGAGAGATGGCATGATGAGAAGTCCAGTGCCTCAACCCATGCAGCCTTCTTGAGGACTTACTTGTATCATTGTGTGTTGCTTGAAAACCAGTAATCTGTATGGTAACTTTTAGGATTCTTGGTGTGGGTGGGTTTAATATCTGCCCGTGTGCGTCATTTCCTGGGTATCACTGAGGAATGGCTCTTTGATTTTCAATTTTAAACCCTTATCTTGCCACAGTCAGTCTTTTATACAGAGCAGAGTGCTGGAGATGGGCTGCAATGACAGTGTTCCTAATGGGATGGGTTTTATTTCGAGTGAGTGGACTGTGACAACTTTTAGGTACCTTCATGTGACTCTTCTCACAATAGCCGATTTTCTTCTCGTTTAATGGAAAATTAGTAGCTGCAGCCTGCTTCACGTCTCTGCCCCCGTGGTGGCCTGGGCAGACCCTGGCTCATCTCCCAGGGCAAATGTCAGACAGGCCAGCCACAGCCCAAGGAAGTGGGGGCAAAGGGGGCGCCCCAGTGTGATCTCGAGGGCCCATGTGGTTTTGTATGGAGGGCAGAGTTGTTGTGCTGTTGGCTTTTCAGCAGGAGCCAGGCAGAGCAGCTGTCCGTGGGCTGCCCTGTTGGCCAGGGATGTTGACCAGGATGTGGAAGGAATCAGGCGGTTGCCCCCGGCGGGATGGTCATTGCGGTGTCTCTGCACCTAAGTGATTTGTTTTCACAGACATCAATGCTCAGTATTGATCAACCTCAGGATCATCAATGCTTGGAAAGGGTAGAGCTTGTGTCCCATCAGAGATGTGACTCCGAATCTGTGGGTACTCTCCCCAGGCTGACTCATAAAATGAATGGGCACCTGAGCCACTCCATGTGATGCTGAAAACCGGGAGCACTTGGGTGACGCTTTCAGCCATGAAGTCTGCCTTTCCTCAGGGGAGTGGCCGCCGATGGTGTGTTTTCTATTTGAAGCAACTCTAAAGGGTCCCACCCAAGTTTCAGAAAGAAACTCAGGTTCTTGACATATGCAGGGGGAACCCTTTCATTTCTAAAATCTGTTAAAAATTTTACTATTGCTGAAAATATCCTCTTACGCATTTGCAGTGACACCTCCATCCTCACTGCAGTGACCCGTGAGTGCAGGCCTGTGCCCGTGACCTGGCTGGACCCTGGGGTTTTCCTGCGCCGCTGGCCCTGAGCTGCTTGTGCTGTCAACAGGGCAGCCCCCGTCTGGATAAGAGGTTCTGCGTGCTCCTTACAGTTCAAAGCAGGCTTGGGCCATCTTCCCTGCCTGCTGCCTTGTCCTCCAGTAGTAAATCACGCCCCTGTCACTCCCTGATGAAGCCACTCCACTGAGATTGTTGATTTTACACTGAGGCTTCTCTTTGTGATACCCCAGGCTCGTGGTTACCCGATGGAGGAAAACTTCTGGGAGAATCGGCTGGTGAGATGCCTGACACCGCTCTCCTGGCGTCTGACATCAAGGATATCTTAATTTTCTTAGTTTTTAAAAATTATGGTAAATACACAAAAGATGAAATTTACCATCTGAAATACTTCTACGTGTATGATTCTGTGGCATTAAATACACTCAGAGTGTTGTGCAACCATCACCACCATCCATCTCCAGAACTTTCTTCATCTTGCAATCTGAAACTCTGTGTCCACTAACTCCCCTTTCCGCCTCCCCCAGCCCCTGGCAGCCACCATTCTACTTTCTGTCTCTGAATTTGACGACTCCAGGTGCCACATGTGAGTGAAATCATACAATCATTTGTCTTTTTCCAACTGGCTTCTTTGACTTAGCGTGACGTTCTCAAGGCCCACCTGTGTTGTAGCGTGCGTCAGAACTTCCTTCCTTCTTAGGGCTAACTACTGTCCCCATTGTATGGGTAGGCCACACTTTGTTTGCCGTTCATCCCTCAGACATCAAGAATATCTCACATAGTAGAAAGAGTCAAAGAATCCAATGAGGGCTTCATCTTGGCCACTCATGCTCTCTGTAGCTCCACCCTCTGCAAGGGCTGGGTGGACAGCCCGAAGCTACCTGCTTATCCTGCATTGAGCAGACGGGCCTGGTGCCGGGCGCAGAGGATGCAAACTGGAGCAGGAGCCAGTTCCTGCCCTCAAAGTGCACAGCAACATGCACTCCAGCCTGGGCAACAAGAGAGAAACTCCGTCTCAGAAAAAAAAGAAAGAAAGAAAGAAAGAAAGAAACGGGAGCTGGGGAGAGGGGGCCTGGAGACGGGAGTCCCACATGGCCCTGCCCTCCGTACCTGGCTGAGCAACGCTTTCCAGTTCTTTTCCAGGGTTGTGGATGAGGCCCCACTGCCTGCGAAGAGAGGCCCTGATAAACCATCTGTTGCTTTGTTAAAGAGGGGACACCTTATCAATGATTCACGTTTCCTTCATTTTAAGCATGAAGAAATTAATCCAAGGGCCGGGCGCGGTGGCTCAAGCCTGTATTCCCAGCACTTTGGGAGGCCGAGGCGGGTGGATCACCTGAGGTCAGGAGTTCGAGACCAGCCTGGCCAACATGGGGAAACCCTGTCTCTACAAAAATACAAAAATTAGCCAGGCGTGGTGGCGGACGCCTGTAATCCCAGCTACTAGGGAGGCTGAGGCCACAGAATTGCTTGAACCTGGGAGGCGGAGGTTGCAGTGAGCCAAGATCACACCATTGCACTCCAGCCTGGGCGACAAGAGTGAGACTCCGTCTCAAAAAAAAAAAAAAAAAGAGAACTGGATCTAAGAGGCTGACCTGGCAGCTGGAAATTCTTCCTCCCCACAGCACCTTTTGGGGACTGGAGCTAAACTCAACCACCTTCTCCGTAGCCCCTGCCACCCACCCGGCTCTCAGCTGAAACATGGGCACAGGCCGTCCTGCTGCCAGTTTTCCAGCCCCTTAATTCATCCCTCAAGGCCACAAGGAAGCAAGGAAGACGTTTCTTAACCACAAATGTGCCATGTGTTTGTGCCAAGCCCTGTCTTGGCTCCTGTCACCTACAGGGTGGAGTCCAGACTCCATGGCATGACACAGGAAGTCCTCCCACATCTGGTCTCTGCCCACCTCTCTGCCTTCTTCCTATAATTTAGCCTTGCCAGCTCAAAGCTGGCCCCAAAGACCTCACACCCTTTTCGTTGGAACTTCTCATCTCTCCCTACACGCTTGCAAAAGTACCTGCAGAAAAAATCTTGTAAAACAATCAAGACCATAACATTCACATACCTTCTATTTGGTCAGTGCAGAGACACAGATCTTTGTTCCGAAATTTGCATTTAAATGCAAAGCTTCAGAGCCTGAAAACATCTAAAATTATACCCAGGACTGACAACTGGCCTAGACTCAATGTCTTTGGAATTTGCTCTACTAAATTTGCTACCGTTTGAATGTGTTCCCTCCAAAACTCAGCTGTTTCTAATGTGAATATGATGCAAAAAGTGAAAACCTTATACATCTTTACAGCAGCCTAGAAGTAAAGATGAAGCAATCCTTTTTTTTTTTTTTTTTTTTTTTAAGAATCTACAGTTACTACAACTAACTGAAAAAGTGGGAAATCTGGAGACCAACACATAGAAGAAGAAAAATGGCAGTCAAAGACTCACTCTCCAAATTGGACATTTATTTAAACCAGGGTTTCTCAGCCTCAGCGATGTGTATATACTGGGCCAGACAATTTGTGGAGGGTTCTCCTGTGTGTTGTAGGACGTTTAGTAACACCCCCTCTACCCAAGAGATGCCAATAGCACCTCCCATCATGACCAGTTGTGACAACCGAAAATGTCTCCAGATTATTTCCAGACATCCCATGGGGGGCAAAAATCTCCTTCAGTTGAAAATTACTGTGTTAACTAGAGCTACATCCTAGATCTTAGAAAAACATGTAAGCTTCCCAAGTCAGCCCTGCATACCATTGGTACGGAAATGAAATAAGAGCCTAGAAGGAAGGAAACAAAACTATAATCTTATTTAATATAAAAGTAAAAATGCAAAAATAAAACACTACCATATGCATTCTAACAGTGTTTATTATAGGAATACAAGGATGATTCAAAATTAGGAAAATTTCATCAGGTAATTCACAGATTATATTTCTACATAGAATTGAAGGCACAATCATGAAAAACAAAGTAGCTCTTTATGCTTTAAGTCCATGGTCTATTCTGTGAAAAACACAGGTTGCAGGTGTCTTACAGAAGGAAAACTGAACACTGAACACATATTTCTCCCATCTGCTCTTTTTCCTGAGGCTCCATGGGAATTACAGTGAAGAATAAAGATTGTATAAACACACACAATTACCAAAAAAAAGGGATGGGGTTACCAAGAGAAGAGAATTCACCTCCAATAGACAATGACAGTAAATGGGAAATGGTTAATTAATGAAGCAAAGCAAACAAAGGTGGAGGTTAGGGGGATACCGATAACAAGGAGGCTAATTTGTCCCACAGTACCCTGCAGAGGCACTAGACTCCGACACCAGGTACCCCGGAGAGTGGGACTGATAGGCAAGACTGAAAACAGATTAACCAAAAGCCTACATACAGAACACATTTTCCAGGCCCTGAAACACATGGTTCTCCCACATTTCCTTAAGCAGAACCCCAGCAAACATGTATCTACCTCAGGCAAGAGAACGTAGATTTCACCTCCAGAGGAATGGAGTAGTTCCTGCCATCATTTATGATTGCGCAAAGAGATAAGATAGAGGGGTGGGGATAACAATTGGGAATCAGCATAAATTCCCCCTAAAAACCCTTTCCCCTAAAAGCTATCAGTTGACAAGTCTTGGCCAGAAAGAACTCCCAAACTTCTTTTTTATTTATTTATTTATTTATTTATTTTTTGAGACAATGTCTCACTCTTTCGCCCAGGCTGGAATGCAGTGGCATGATCATAGCTCACTGCAGCCTCAATCTCCTGGGCTTAAGCAGTCCTCCCACCTCAGCCTCCTGAGTAGCTGGGACTACAGGCGGGCACCACCACATCCGGCTAATTTTTATTTTTTCTAGAGATGGGGGTCTCACTGTGTTGCCCAGGCTAGTCTTGAGCTCCTGGGCTCAAGTGATCCTCCCACCTCAGCCTCCCAAAGCACTGAGATTATAGATGTGAGCTACCACACCCAGCCTCCCAGTCAGTCTTTTAGTCCTTCTCTCAAATATGAATGAACAAAAGGGGGCATTTTAAAAAAGATGACAAATGATGAGCAACATAGAATAGATATTTTGGGAAAGGCTTTTGAAAGAAAAATAAGACCAAAATAAACTAAGAAAAAAATTATTAAAGAAAAAAGACATGCTAGGGAGAGGACAAAAGAGTATCAAAATAGCTCCTTAAAGACACTTGTGAATATATTACATCTATAAAACAAAACATAAAATATGAATAAGGAGTAATCAGAGAAGAAAAAGTTCTCAGAACTCAGGCTTCATCTTTGGAGTTGGTCCCCAATGAGCCACAACTCCTGTCATTCAGATCCTCGGAAGGGCCCATTCCACAGTGAATCAAGGTTGGCTCCGAGACTTCCTTTAACCTATAGAATGTGGTAGAAATGAAACTGGACCTGTTCTAGGTCTAAGCCTTAAGAACATCTGACAGCTTGCACTTTTGTGCTTCTGGAAGCCAAAAAGAAGAACTGACTATCCTCTTGGAGAAAGAGAAGCTACATGAAGAGGGCCAAGAGTATGAGATGCTATGTAGAAAGGCCACATGAAGAAACACCAAGGCAGCAGACCTGTGGGTGAAGAAGCCGTCTCAGACGTTCCACTGCAGCTGAGCATCCAGACGACCAGTCCCTGACACTGTCTAACTGCACAGTGAGAGCTGCCAAATGAGACCAGCAGAAAAACTGTCCAGCTAGCCCATTAACCCATACAATAGTGAGAGAGAGACAAATTTGCCGTTTTATGCCATTAAGTTTTGGGATAATTGGTTAAGCAACAATAAATAGCCAAAACAAAACTTAAAGTTACGACTAGCCAAATAAAATTTCCCAAAAGCTTGTATACACATGGTCACAGCAGCAGAATTCACATTAATCAAAAGGTAGAAACAACTCAAATGTCCCTCAGTGGATGAATGGATAAATGAAACTTAATATAGCCCTTCAGCTGCAGTGAGCCGAGATCACACCACTGCACTCCAGCCTGGGCGACGAGTGAAACTCCATCTCAAAAAGTAAAAATGAAAATAAAAACATAGCCATTCAGTGGAATATCATTCAGCCACAGAAATGAACGAAGTACTGACACGTGCTACAACAGGGATGAACCCTGAAAACATTATGTTGGTGAAATAAGCCAGACACTAAAGGGCACATATTGTCTGATCCCGTCTTTATGGAATATCCGGAATAGGCAAATCCAAAGTGAGAAAACAGATTTTTCATTGTGGGGGCTGCGGGGAGAGGGAAGAATGAGGAGTGACTGCTTAATAAGTACAGGGTCTCCTCTGGGGGCAGTGAAAATGTTCTGGAACTAAATATCAGAGGTGGTTGCACAACATTGTACTAAATGCCACTGAATTGTACACTTTAAAATGGTAAACTTTATGTTACAAGTGTATTACTACAATTTAAAAATAATGGGAGAAGCAAGAGTAAGGAGAGCCCTCTAAGGGTCTCAAACATACTGCCCTGTGAGAGCCCCTTCACCTAAGCTCTACGGAGGTCACCCGCCAGCTTGTACTGCGCTAACCCTCCAGTGACTGACACCCAGGCAAAGTGGGAGATGACCCAGGAAGGGGCTGGGTCAACCAGGCAGCAGAGGCAGCTGCCCATCAACCACTGACACCCCCTTCTCCTGGTCACCTGCCTCACATACCAGGTGCCACTCTGGGTCCGTTTGTGGGGAAGGTGGAAGCTCCGCCGCTTACAGCCCCCAGAGCTGCAGAACTAGGGAGAATTCCATTTGGTTTTGTTCAGTTCTCAAATGAGAAAATCTTCACCAACCCTTTCTAATACCATTGCTTAGGGGCCAGCATGGCTGGTTCTTCATGTTTGCTGCAAACACCTGCAATTTTTCCATCCTGCTAACTTAAAAGCAAGAAGCCCTGTGTGCATAGTTTAATGACAGCAACCTAGTGGGGCTAAAAATCATTCACGTGGCTCTATCGAAGGCTCAAGCCTGCAGTTCTCGCAGGAGGCTTGACCTGTGACCTCTCCTGTATTCACCCAGTGGCCTCCACACTCGGCCTCGAGCCCTGCACACATTCTGAGAAAACTAGCTTGACATCTGAAAAATGAATGTAACGATGGTGCCCAAGCCAGAAGGAAATTAAATGACCAATAGTAAGTCAGCATTAGATTTCAGTTTCCAGAGGGCATTTTCTACAGTATTTAACTTCCACTCATTTACACAGGCCAGATCTCTGTTCTCCTAATACGGGGAGTCCACAGTTCCGGTCAATAAGATTAGTCCTAATAAGAAAAAAACTGAGTTAGTCTCAATGGAACTGCCTAAGGCTACAGACATTAAAACAAAGGCCTACAACTCATAATTTGCAAAACAAGTTTCACCAGATGATCTATAAAGAAGATACCAATGATCCAGTTAACTTCACTAAATCTACCTGTCTACTTTTAGGAATATACACAGTAGAATATCTGGGATATTTAAACTTGTGGAAAAGGTGAAAGGATAGCAGAAATCGCTGTTATTTGATAGTGGATTTAACGATATCTGTTTATTTTAATGACACTCACAAGGCATGACCACAGTCACTTTACTATAAGCCACAGCCTGTAGGATCTGTGTTCCTTCCACTCCTGCCAAGGTGGGATCATGACCCATACAAGACCTAGGAGAGAAGGGGAGGCTCCCCCACTCCCACTCAGGATGTGGTTGTATTATTTACTCATGGCTCATTTTGGTCTTGAATGTCCTCCTGAAACCTCCCAGGGATGTGCCCACGCACCGCCCCACGACCACACACGCCAGGTCCGCAGGTCCACAGGCCTGAATGGGTGTAATCACAGCTCATCCCTACTGTGGCTACATCAAAATAGTTTTGATTTGGCCCAAAATGTTTTTGCTTCTTTGTGGGTGATACAGTTTGGATATTTGTCCCCACCTCAATCTCATATTGAAATGCAATCCCCAATGCTGGTGGTGGGGCCTGGTGGGAGGTAAGTGTCTGGATCATGGGGCAAATCTCTCATGAATGACTTGGGCCATCCTCTTGGTGATAGGTGAACTCTTGCTCTGAGTTCACAAGAGATCTGGCTGTTTACAAGTGTGTAGCACGCCCCCTGCACAGCCCCCTGATCAATCAATCTCTCTCTCTCTCCCCCATTCTCACCACGTGAAGTGCTAGAACAGCCTAATCCAGTATGATTCTGGCTACATGGGTTCAGCCTGGCTCAACTTAGCTTTAGAGGGTCCAAATTGGCTCGAGCCCGTTCATCATCCAAAAACCTTTTATTTCTTATTTCTTTTATTGTGGTAAATATACATAATGTAAAATTTATCATCTTAACCATTTTTAGGTGTAGAGTTCAGTGGCATTAAGTACATTCACACTGTTGTGCCGTCTTCACCACCATGCATCTCCAGAACTTTTCCATCTTCACAACAGAACCTCTGCACCCATTAAACACCAGCTCCCCACTCCCTGCTCTCTCCAGCCCCTGGCCACCCGCATTCTACTTCCTGTCTCTGTGACTCTACTGTGGGTGCCTCAGAGAAGTGGAATGACACAGTACTTGTCCTTTTGTGACTGGCTCTAGCAGGATGTCCTCAAGGTTTATCCATATTGTAGCCTGTGTCAGAATTTCCTTCCCTTTTCAGGGTGAATGAAATTCTATTGCATGTGAAATCCTTTTATTTTGTACCGTGTTCGCTATGCCAGCGGCTCAGAAGAGCAAGAGGAGCCCTGACCCGCCACTGCTTTGTCTGTGGAGTGGGTTTTGAGGGCTGGGGAATGGCTGGATGACCCCCCTCTCTTGAAGATGAACACAAATATTTCTAAAAGTGGCTAGCATGCTATTGTTCACATATTTGGGACCCAATGAATGAATCAAGAGGGGGCAGACAGGCTCCAGAGGCAGAATCAGAGGCCACCTGCAAGCAGATGAGCCGAAGGACAGAGGCTGATGAGACGAGGGTAAATGAGTGATGCCGCCACACACAGCAACAGCCTCCACCCTGATGTCGCACCCGAGCAGCTCTTGGGGAGTGATGTCTCCCCACCTTAAGTCCAGCTCAGGCTCCCTGACGTGCACAGCCTGGCTGCACCCAGAGCAGACCCGGTGGGCCACCCATGGGGCAGACCCAGAAGTGAGTCAGCACCCAGTGTCTCTTAAAAGGCCCAGTGTCTCTTCAAGGCTGAGTGCGGTGGCTAACACCTGTAACCCCAGCATTTTGGGAGGCTGAGGTGGGTGGATCACCTGAGGTCAGGAGTTCTAGACCAGCCTGGCCAACATGGTGAGACCCTGTCTCTACAAAAATATGAAAATTAGCCGAGCATGATTGCGGGTGCCTGTAATCCCAGCTACTCGGGAGGTTGAGACAGAAGAACTGCTTGAGCCCGGGAGGCAGAGATTGCAGTGAGCTGAGATCACGCCATTGCACTCCAGCCTGGGCAACACAGCAAGACTCCATCTCAAAAAAAAAAAAAAAAAAACCCAGGACCAGACAGAAGCCTGGACCACAGGCAGCTGTTGACACTGCAGGAGTGGAACAGCTTCTATGAGCCTAGCCCAAACATCCTTCAGCTACAACAGTTTGGGCCTTGGCTTGGTCTCAGCTGGAGAGAGATCACCTTCTCTTCTCTGAAGGTTGACTGGGGAGTTGGGGGCAGACGTGGGTGTGGCAGGTCTTGGAGGCCTCTATCAGGCCAGGGGGCTCCATTTCATTCCACATCTCCTTTCTGCACATGTCTGAGTTGTGCGTAGTTTTCCTGAGCTGCTCATGGTATTATGTGACATAGGATTAGGAGTTATTCTTGGTCAGCCCCCTATTACCATAGTCCCTTGGGGTAAAATTCCCATGCCTGCCATCACCATAGGACTTCCTATGCATCCCACAGCCCCCTGTAAACACAGAATTGCTGTGAATGACAGGAACAGCCCCAAAGTGAAGTCAACTGACACAATGTGTTCTAGAGAGAAGACAAGACATTAAGATACAAGTGCTGAAAATCCAGGAGTCAATATGATTTCCATTCCAAACCCAAGCTCTCAGTACACAGACACACACACACACACACACACACACACACACACACACATTCATGAATTCTTCTCAGAAAAAAATAGTAGTTAAAGCTTTAAAAAATATGAAAGCAGTCCACATAATTGGCCAAATAGAAGTTCCTTCACCCGAGTCCAATAATCACATCTTCTATAATATATACTCACAGTGAGGCTTTTTTTTGGAAGGCGGCTTTTCAAATGTGTTTATTAGAATGCACGCTGACTTTGCTATAATTAAAATACAGTTATGCTGACATCCACTGCCCTCATTAGCATGCGTTTCTTCCCCGAGGTTTTGTCACACCGTCAAAAAATCCTTTTCCAAATAGGTATTCACAGCTGATTGCCCGTCAGGCCAAGGCCCCCCAGCTTTCAGACACCCGTCCATTGTGAAATGCACTCTGGCCCCGACCCCAGCCACCAGGCCACCCAACACTGGCCGCAGCAGTGGGTGAGCACCAGCACCCCCACGTCTTTGCCACTGCCCTGCTGGTCTGAGTACACCCCTGAGGATTGAGGGGCTCTCCCACACATACTGCCCCACCATGAGCAGACCCAGGGCAGTGGGCAAGAAATTGAACCTGTCTTCTAGGGTGGGAGGAGGGGTGTCTTCTGCGACACACGAGTTGCCCCTCAGCCCTCAACCGGCTTTAGTCCTGAGTCTGAGCGGTGAGCTTAAGAGTGGCCGGAGCATCCACGCAACATGTCTCCCAACTGGACCAATGAAGAGCTCAGCCACCATTAGAACTGTAAGGCACCCAGTACTGCCCACCTCCTCGCTTCAGCATCTGCGAGGCCTGTACCCTGAGGTCCCTTGCTCTAGGGCCCCTCTGCTCCCTTCCCCGGGACAGCTAGAGTCCTACCTGCTCGTGAGGCCACTTCAGCCTCTCTTCTGGGGTCTGGTCTTGGACTTGAAGCCTCTCTGGGGGTCTCCGGGGTGCTTGGCCTCGGGAAGGAGGTTCAGCGACTTGGGCCTCGCCTCTTGCCTGCTGGGGCTGCAGCTGGCCTTGATGGGTGGGCAGCCCTCTGCAGAGTCCGCAGGCCCTGGCTCAGGTCCATGCTCGGGGATGGCCTCACTGGTGCTGGTGATGCTGGTCATACTCAGGCTTATCTTGATCTCTGCCACGATCTGGTCGATGTCCTCCTCCTGGTCCTCCAGGTCCCCGTCCCCGCACCTCAGGGGGTAGGCAGAAGCGCTGGTGTTCCCGTTAGCCTCCACAGGGTAGTAGTCCTGGTAGCCCTCTTTGCTGGGACAGTAGTGACCGTCTTCTTCCTGGTCGTGGGCCTCCAGGACGGAGGACACATCCTCCGTGATGGGCAGTTGGCCATCAGGGTAGTCCTGGCTACCTTTAGCCCCGTGACCATGGGGGTGCAGGCCCGCCCAGGCCGTCCAGTCCACTGCATCCTGGCACCCGTCAGTGTCCATAGGATGCGCGCCGTGGGCCAGGTACACCTGCCCATTGCAGTCCATGCCCTCCAGGTAGCTTTGGTCCTCAGGGCAGTAGCGGATGTAGTAGGGGATGCCCTCCTCCTCCTCAGGGAGGCCCTCATCATAGTCGTCCTCCTCAGAGGTGTCGTTCACGTAGTCGGAACTGGAGTCCCCATCGGGGCTGTGGTTGTGGCACTCCTGCTTCTTGGGCGTGGGGCTCTCTGGCCGCAGGGTGACCAGCTCCAGGCCCTCGGGCACATAGTCCTCCAAGGGCAGCTCCACGTCCTCGCTCTCGGGCTCCTGGTGGTGGGGGACAGGACCCGGCCTTGCCCCGTGGTCCAACATGCTGCTCCCCGCGCTCTGACGCTTCTGGTGGGCCATGGTAGACGCTTCCGGTGGGCCATGGTAGACTCTTCTGGTGGGGCATGGCGGGCGCTCACACAGCCATCATTCCCCAGAGGCAGCCACTGTGTGGAGGAACATTGGCAAGGACAGAGTCAGAACCCCACAAAGCCTGGCCACGTGTGGGGCCACTCCACCGCCACAGCACCTCCAACCACGTTCTCCCACAGCACTGTGAAAAATGATAGCTGAAGATTTTCATTGCCGCAATCTCTTAAAAAACTGGAAACAACCTAAGTACCCATAAATAAGAGAATGTTTAAAAAAATGACGGCAGAGTTCACGTGCTGGAAGAGTTGGTGGCATTTTTAAAGAGGCAGGGCAACACGTACTACAGTGAGGGATTTTACAGGCCTATTTTTGAGGGAAAATGGCAAGTGAGCTACAGCAAGCGCACGTGTGTAGATCCCAGTTACAGGTCCGTCAAGATGTCTAGAGAATACACACACCGCCCAGCCCATACATACACGCAAAGGCACACAGAAAGGGGAAACCCCTCAAAGGCTTGTCAGCCACATCCTCTGGGGAGGGGAGGGGGGAGAGAGGTGGGAGGGGGGAGAGAGGTGGGAGGGGAGAGAGAGGTGGGAGCAGAGGGGGCCTGGACATTTTACTTTATTAAAGATGTATGTAGTGGTTGAGTGTTTCACCAAAACGCATTTAATATTCACCTGCATTATAATCAAATCCACCTGTGCACCTTTGAGGGTCTCCTCTTCTAGCTGGGGAGATATCAGCACTGAGACAAAACAACCTGTGGGGAAGGGCAGACAGCGAAGGGAGGAAGCAGGACTTCCCCCGTGGGCTGCTGCTCTGGGCATCAGGAGAGGTGACAAACAAGCTGGTCTCCTCTAGGAAGGCAGCCACTGGAGCAGAGGAGCCAGCCTCCCACAAGATCAGGACATGAGCACGCCACAGGGCACAGCCAGAGACACCTGAGACACAGGAGGCGGTGCTGACCCAAGGGAGGGCAGGACCGGGGGATGTGCCGGCCAGGACAGCCAGGGGTGCGCAGGCAGGCAGTATTAATTTGGGGAAAACTAAATCATTCGGTTTCATTCAATGAGTAGTTTGCATGCAAATGTGTGTGGCGGGGGTGTGTGGTGTGTTCATGAGATACAGTGTGTGTGGTGTGTATGTGGTAAATGTGTAGTATGGTGTGGGTGTGTGGTGTTTGTGTGTGTATGGTGGTGGGACGTCCTGGAGGGTGTGGTGTGTGGAGTGTACTGTGTATGGTGTGTGGTATGTGGTGTGGTGTGATGTGAATGTGATATGTGCGTGTGGTGTGTGTGGAGTGTGATGTGTGGTGTGTGTGGAGTGTAATGTAGTGTGGAAGGCTTGAGCGTGTATGTATGTTTTGTGTGCGTGGTGTAGTGTTTGTGGTGTGTGATATGTATGCAGTGTGTGTAATGTGTGTGGTTGGTGTGTGGTGTGTATGGGGTATGTGTGTGGTGTGTATGAGGTGGGCATGGTATGTGTGTGGTGCATGTACGTATGCACACACATGCACACATGTGCACTGCAGGTGACAGGCAGACCGGCAGCCTGGGACATGCAGCGGTGATCAGCTCAGCCAGGGCAGGGCTCAGGGTGAGAGTGGCCAGGCCCCTGGCAGCTCAGGACCCTGGATGAGAGTCCAGGAGGAAAGAACAAGCTGTGTCCCCATCTCCACCCAAGTTCATCACTAACATGAACCTATAGTCTGCACTGAAACTGTTCCACTTCTGATTAGAATCAGAAACACTTCCAGACAGGCTCAGCACAGCCAAGTGGGGACTGTCCTACAACGACACGGTGTAGCGGTGGGCAAAGGAATCATGGCAGCAGCTACCTTTTGTTTTTTAAAATGTGAAACCTTTCTGAATGGCTTAAGCAACATCTATTTAATTTAACAGCTCTACTGAGATGAAGAAAGAAAAAGAATACCTGCTCAGCTCCAGAGACACGTAAAGGGACAGAGATTGGGGGACAGAAGGAAGTGCATTAATTCCTTCCACGACCCCTGAAGAGCAGCGGTGGGTCTGAGCATCCTATCTCCAGGAAGCAGGCCAGCAGGCAAGCCAGCTGCCACCTCGTCCTGTGCAAAGCACAGGCACCGTCCCCAAAAGTAGGCAAATGACTATCTTATTTGTTCAGGGGAAGCAAAATGGTCCAGGGTTGGTAGCCGCGTTTTTTTCCCAACAAGACCTAACTGCTGTCATCTTTCTCTGGGACCCAGACTCCGTGAATAGAGGGAAAGGCGGCCAGCAGAACCCAAACTGTTCTGCCACAGGCTCCTCCCCACAGAGCACAGCTCAGTGCAACAGAGTCCCCAAATCCAAGATGCAGAATCCACAAAGAGAAAACCTTCTGCTCCAGAAGGTACTTACAGGAAGTCAAAATTAAAAACACATCTTCTTATGGTTCTTTTTTTCTAACATAATCCATTATTTCTTACTGCAAAACCTAGATGTTTACCATTTGTAACCAGAAATAGTTTCTCATAAAACAATCATAAAATGTAAGTTATTCAGTGACCCATCTCTCTGGAAAAGAATAACACAGTATGAAATTGAGGTATTGCCCCAAAAATCAAGACGATGGGCCCTGAAACTCTAAATACTTGAATTTTTAAGTAACTTCATATCAAGCCCATTTAATAGAAACTATGTCAAGCAGACACACTATTAGAACTGATACGAAAGTAAAATTTCAAACTGACACAGCTGTATCAAAAAAATATATAAATGAAAAGAGAAAAATTGCTTCATTGCCTTTTAGGATTTCCAAAGATGATGTTAAACCCAGCCACGGTTCTGATCTCCAGGAAAGCAATTGCTGTGGTACAAAAGGACAAGGGTTAAAAGAGAACAGTGGGAGCTCTCTTTCCCAACTAACTCACGCAGTGTGACGCAGAGGCTTTCAGCACAGCCCAGGGTGCCCGGGACTGAAAACTCCTTCACCAGCCCCCTCCACAGGTGGGAAATACTCGGATCTTCATTCTTGTGACACAAGACCTTGAAAGTTGCTGAAAAATGCTAGTCCCGTCTGACTGGGGCAGCATTTTCATTTATTGCACACCATTGGGTTTTTTTGTTTGTTTGTTTTTGTGGCTTTATTTGTTTATTTTTTTTGAGATGGAGTTTTACTCTGTTGGCCAGCCTGGAGTGCAGTGGCACAATCTTTGCTCACTGCAACCTCTGCCTCCCAGGTTCAAGCAATTCTCCTGCCTCAGCCTCCCGAGTAGCTGGGATTACAGGTGCGTGCCACCACGCCCGGCTAATTTTTGTATTTTTTTAGTAGAGACAGAGTGTCACCATGTTGGCCAGGCTAGTCTTGAACTCCTGACCTCAAGTGACCCACCCACCTCGGCCTCCCAAAGTGCTGGGATTACAAGCTTGAGCCACTATGCCCAACCACCATTAAGATTTTGGCAGGAATCATTGTGCTAGACACCACTATCCCACCAATCACTGAGCACTTTTCATTTCCTGCCGCTGGTGCTGTTGGATACCTTACGGCAAGCTGCCGTCCCTGCCCACCCACCTGAGGACAGGAACCTCCAACTCTGCCTTGCCAGAACTGACCAGTGTGTCTGACAGATGGTGAGTCCTTTGCTGTACATGGCCCTCAAAAAAATGAGACAATTCTTTCACTCAGACCAAAGTAAGCAAATGCTGAAAGACCTTATAATGAAACATCACATTCCCCAATCTGGACTTCCCCACTCCGCTGGCCAACTTTGTCGTTTCTGATTTTAATTCTACTGGTGATTATTTTCCACCTCTCTAAATAATTTTTGAACTCTCTTTCTGGGTATATCAACTTCGGATACTATTGATTGGCGTCCCATTATGAGAGGTGAGCTTTGCAGACCACAACCTCCCAGGCTCTGATGCAAGTGAACAGAGGATGGCACCAGCTGCTGCAGTTATGCAGAGGGGCTTTCCATTCTTAGCAAGAGCACTGGGATAAAAGAGATCCTTCCAAGAGCTCCCACCTAACTGTGGGAACACAGAAGCATCCTTTAAAAGCCCTGTGGTCACACAGCCTTCAGCATGCATACAGGCTCTTTTCTTAACTTTATAAAGCCCCAGATAGGCTGGTACTAACATGGTGCAACCCTGTCTCTACTAAAAATATACACAAATTAGCTGGGCGTGGTGATGGGTGTCTGAAATCCCAGCTACTCAGGAGACTGAGGCATGAGAATCACTTGAACCTGGGAGGCAGAGTTTGTAGTGAGCAGAGATCACCCCTGTATACGCCCACCTGGGTGACAGAGTGAGACTCTGTTTTAAAAAAGGAAATAAAAATTAAAGAAGTAAATAAATAAATGATGGCTTATTTCTTAATAGTTATGACTTTGTAAAGCTTTGAAATCTGCTTTACCCAGAGTGTAGCTTTTAAATAAAATGTAGGATATAGAAGGTGGGAGCCTCTTGAATGGAATGTGGGGGCTTTTCCTCTCTCCCCGTAGGATAGATATATTCTGTTTCTTGTCCCCCATTGAGTCAAGAATAATTTAACTTTTGGCATAAGAAACTGCTGAAGAAAAATAGGTTGAATAAGCTAACATTTTTCTTCTTTTTGCAGGATATAGAAGACTTAGATCACTACGAGATGAAAGCAGAGCCCATTAGTGGGAAAAAGTTGGAGGATGAAGGAATTGAAAAAGAAAATTTGGCAATATTAGAGAAATTAGGAAGACTGAAAGACAAGAGCATTTAACTGCGTAAGTGTGTATAAATAGCTAGAGCCTGGATTTTTGTTTAAGTAATTATAGTTAATCCCAGGCAATTCATGAACATGCCAATCTCAGCTGCTCTCCTCCATTCCTGCCTTAGTGGTAGATTCAGTCACATGTTTATTGGTTTTGAGACAGGGTCTTGCTCTGTCGCCTGGGCTAGAGTGCGGTGGCACAATCATAGTTCACTGAAGCCTTGATCTCCTGGGCTCCAGTGATCCTCCTGCCTCACCCTCCCAAGTGTCTTGGACTATGGGCATGAGCCACCACACCAGGCTAATTTTTTAGATTTTTAGTAGAGATGGGGTCTCACTATGTTGATCATGCTGGTCTTGAACACCTGAGTTCACGCGATCCTCCTACCTCAGCCTGCCAAAGTGCTGGGATTACAGGCATGAGCCACTGTCCCTAGCCACGGTCATATGTTCTCTTGCCCAAGGTTATCTTTCTCATCTATGAACAGCCACTTTTTACCCTGTTCATCTGCTGTTCACATCCTGGAACCACCTGCTGATCCCTGTATATGCCCCTTTCCAGCCTGTTTATGCTGTTTTCTCTGCTTACTTTCCTTCTGTGGCATCTGTATATTCACATTCATTCTCTCCTACAAAACACAACTCAAATTATTTCTCCTTCGTGAAGGTGACTTTGGTCCATCCTGCTCTGACCAAATCAAAACTAATTCTTCTCTTTTGACTTAACATCTCTTTTATGTGAAGTGGCAGGATGTGAAAGGAACACTGAGTGTGGTGACAAACACACCTTTTTTGGTTTCACTTTGCTCAACTCTAAAGTATGGATAGATAGTACATACCTTTTGGATGACTGCTGTGAAAAATCAATGAGAATGATGTGTGTGTATACATGAAATGCTCAGACAGAGTAGGGAAACGTCAGATGATTGTCTGAACACTTACTACTTCCTGCCTTGTATTAGAGCTATTTACCAACTCCATGAAAGCCGAGGACCAGTTACTTTGTCTTGGGCACAGGTTCTCCAAAACAGGGAATGAATTGTTAGGCAAGTAGATGCCAAGTGTTGAAACCAGATAGATTACTCTCCCTCCTTCAGTCTTAGTTATATATTAATTTAATTAGTAATTTTTCCCAGAGGAAAGAAATTTAGTCCATTTCTCATATCTTATTTAAAAAACTGAGTTTGTAGCATTTGAAATAATGTTACTGTACTTTCCGTGTCTTGTGATCGATTCCAGTTTGAGTTATCTTCAAAACAAGTATAAATTATTGAACACTTTTGCATGACCGATACTATGTTAAGTACTTTATACTTTATAGATGCGCTCATTTAGTCTTCATAGCCGCTGTGTGAAATAGGTGCTCTTCATAGTTTAGAGATAGGAGAAACTTCTCATATTTTATAGATAGGAAATGAGGTCATGGTTACATATCTAGGAAGTGAGATCTTCGTAAACTTGATTTTTTTTCTTTTTCAAAGTATAGTGCAGTCTTTAAAACCTTTAGTTTCACATGACTAAAAAGTAGTTCCATTTCTACTTAGTCTTAGGATAAGATATCGATGTGTTTTCATCTTTAGAGAAGTCCCCACACTGAAAAACTGAAACCAGTTGCATGTAGGTACACGTGTTTCTCAGTGTGTCAATGTGTGAACTAGACCATCTGTGTAATATTCTTGCTTGTAGTCTTATGAATGGAAGTCTCTCTTAGTCAGTAATGTGTCACCTTGAGTGTCTTCTAGCATTTTCAAAAATTGCTGGGGTTTGGAATAGACTCATACTAAATTCTGTGCTATCATGGAGTCCATGGTGGTCTGAACATGTTGGCTAGAGTTTTTCAGATGATAAGAAATAGGAAACGAACCAGACTTGTGTCTAGTTTTATATTCTCTTGAAACTTCATAATGCTTCATTTAATTGGACTTTTTTTTTTTTTTTTTACTTCTTGAAATGTTGAGTGTTGGAAATGTTTTTATAGGTCCATCGAAATTTTTTTGTCATTTTCTTGATAGAGTGAACTCTTGCTTGATTTTTATCTTCTAGGAAAAAGCTCAAGCTTGAATAATATTGGTTGGAAAGTAAACAAGAGTAATATATTTCATTATACAGAGAATGATTGCCAAGTTGATTTTTATGACTTTTCCCCCAGTTTTGAAAGCAATATAATTAACTCTTATTGTAGATGTAGTTATGTTATTACTTTTAAAATACGTCGGTGTAGTACACCTGTAGTACAAGCTACTATGGATGGTGGGAGGCTGAGGCAGGAAGATCTTTTGAGCTTGGAGACGTTAAGGCTGCACATGAGCTGTGATTGCACCATTATATTCCACCCTGGGTGAGAGAGCGAGACACCTTGTCTCTTAAAACAAACAAACAAACAAACAAACGAAAAGGGAGTGGGGGATGGGAGTCATATTAGAAATCTATATATAGGACAGTTGTGGAAAAATACCGATTTTTTAGTGATTTAACTTTTCATAGTTCCGTCCATGGCAAATTGTTCTCCTTGAACTGCTTGACTAATAATACAAGTTTAGGAAAGCATATTAAACTTCTTTTGAATTCTTGAGAAAATTATATACATGTGACTGTTTTCCTTTAGAATGACTGCAAACTCTGAACCCCCTTATTAGATTAGATTTAGGCTATTATGATCTCTTTTGGACATTCATTCTAAAGGAGCTGGAAGCTATAGTGACCTCTGTTTTTCCTGAGGATATAGAGCAGCTTAAGATCTTCTCTTTCTTGAACTTAGCCTAGGTGCTCTATTTTAGCTTTCAGATTGGTTCATTTTTGAGTTAGTTGAAAAAAAAATATCTTTTTGTTTGAACTGTTTTTTGTTTTGTGATTCTTCGGGTTGACCCTGCTAGTCCTTTGCACAGTGATCTTCAGATCTTAAAAGAAAAAGAAGGCATAGGAGATACTTTGCTTAACTTATCTTTTAAGGTAATAAAATTGTTACGGGACTCTGTTTTTCTAATGGGAGTGTATATTTGTACAAGTGTTTTGGAAAACAATTTGGTAAAGTGGAAGATACTCATACACTATGGTTCAGGAATCTTGTGGATATATACTCCACAAGAAATGAGTACATAGGCACCAGGAGACACCGGAATGTTCAGAGTAGCATCATTTATCATAACCCCAAACAGAAAGTAACCCAGGTGTTCATTCCAAGAAAATGAAGAATTGTGGTATTCATAAAATGGCTTACAGCTATGTGGGAAAGATGGACGAACCTTGAACACTATGTTAAGCGAAAGAGACCAGAGCCCCAAAACCTATTTTGTACAATTTCCTCTATATAGAGTTCAACAATAGGGAAAACTAATGTTGGTTAGGGCATACATTCTTAGTGGAGGCAATATCGCCTGCAGTGGAGTGAAAATTGGTCCTTAGAGTGAAAGAAAATCTTACCTATTATAATGGTCTGCTGCCCTCCAAAGGGCCGTATAACATAAACCGACATACAGTATATCTGTGGTGTTAAAATTCCATGGGGAGTGGGGATAGAATTAGGAAGAAAACTTCTAAAAAGGCTTCTTAGGGGGACAAAAGTGAAAAGAAAACAGAGAAACACTTATTTCTGGATTCATACTTGGGCAGTAAAACTATTAAGAACAAAGAGGTGATCACATAGAGGTTAGGGGAAGGAGTCCATCCAGGTGGGAGGTAGGGATGTGTGACCTGAAAGGGACATCTGTGGGCTTCTTGGATACTGGCTGGAATATATTTCAGGACCAGGTTGGTGGTTACATGGGCAAATAATTTACAATAACTTGTTAAGGTATACCTTCAGGTATATTTTATGTAACTTTCTGAATGTATGTGTTATATTTAATAAAGTATTTTTAAGATACTGAAAATAAAGGTTACAAAGGAATAACGATGGAATCTAGAAGAAATGTTAGTGATCTAGAAGAAATGTTAATGGAATCTAGATAAGATGTAATGGTTTAAAATCTATGGCTATATGCGGTATTTTGATGAAAAAAACAGACATAAAAGAATACTTTCTTGTACTTACTCTAAGGATGGTAGTAGTTTTCTAAAAGCTTCGTACTTAGCTTTTTGTGTGTATATTTTTGCTTGTGGATATATCTTATGATTGAACTTTCTTGATATGACCCTAATGTCAGTATTTTCTCTCACTTTTGTTATATAGAAACTGTTGTCGTTGTCAACTGGGTTGTCTTCCTGAAGTATGAATCCGGTATGTATTGCCTGAATTTGCTAATGGCTACTTCTTTATGGATTCATACGGGGTAACGAATAAAGCACGCAGGCCTAAAACAAAAAAAACAAAACACAAAAAAACTAGGAAGGTATCTTCCTTTTTTAAAACATTAAATCATACATCCATATGCCCAACACCAAACTTAAGAAATAGAACCTTTGGCTGGGCGTGGTGGCTCATGCCTATAATCCTAGCACTTTGGGAGGCCAAGGCAGGCAGATCACCTGAGGTCAGGAGTTGAAGAGCAGGCTGGCCAACATGGTGAAACCCCTTCTCTACTAAAAATACAAAAATATTAGCCAGGCATGGTGGCGGGCGCCTGTAATGTAACCCCCGCTTCGTGGGAGGCTGAGCTGGGAGAATCACTTGAACCCAGGAGGCAGGGGTTGCAGTGGGCCGAGATTGTGCCATTGCACTCCAGCCTTGGTGACGAGAGAAACTCCGTCTCAAAAAATACATATATATAAAAGAAATAAAACCTTATCAGTACCTGTAGCACCCTGTGTGCCCCTCCCTCGTCATGTCCTCTTTGGGAGGTATCTTGAAGGAAATACGAAATCTTGGCCAGGAAACTGGAGGATTCGTGACTGCAGGTGGTGTTTTCATTATTTTTTCCTGCTTTAGCTAGAACTTCAGGGAAGGGACGATGTGGGAGGTAAATGGCTGAAACTCTATTGGATTTGTGTTTGTGGCCAATGGCTCCTGATACCAGAAAGAAGGGCCTTTTTCTGTGGTTGGAGTATTTCTTAAGAGTCCTGAGAAAAATGTGATGCCTTGAGCTAACTGACCTTCTGAAGAGGACCTTAAACTGAATTTCCAAGTTATTAGTGTCGGGATTCACAGACTTTGGAGAATAGCAGGTATGACTTGGAAAGATGTACAGGAAGGAGCCAGAACAATATATATTTATAGGCTCTGATGTCCACAGTGACAACTTGAGCACCATGAATACTAAGCAAAATGGTACTGGAGATAAAGTATAACACAAAGATGGGATTGAGGGCAGGAGGGAATGCGACCTGGTCAGCAACTTGGTAAATCCAACTTGCTATGTTTTTAAGGAAGTTGTTTTCTGATGTTACAGGCAGCATCGGAATTACTAAATTGAATTCTGAGGTAGTGCTTTAAAGAAATGCGTTCTTCTGCCCCTATTCTTTGGAATACTTACTAAGTATGCTTACTATTCCTATTCTTGGGAATACTTGGCTAAGTTCTTAGTTTTTGATATCATAAAAATTCAAAGTATTCTGTTCTAAGAGCCATTGCAAATAGTTGACTAGAATTTCAGAGCAATTACATGAGAGTAATACCAACAGAGTTTTTAAGTTACCCATAGTCCTGTATCCCTAACAAGTATGTTCATGCTTGCATGTTCTCTTCTCATGTTTACTGTGTGCATACTTTCTTAGTAATGGCATGTAGAAATTGTTTAAGCAGGAATAATTCTCGAGATAGTTTTGTATGTTTCCTTTTTTCTTTCTAAGGTATGTATTGTGTGGAGGAGCATTACGTACTGAACTTCTCACAAAACAGGTGATTATTTTCTTATAATACTCAATTTTCACCCTCAATAGAGTGTTTCGATTACGTAAGTTAGGTTGTAAGTAGAAGGTTCTCTTCAAGAAATTTTAGTGTTTTTTTTTCATAGCTCCTACTTTCAAGAATGAAAAAGGTAAACCAGTAAAATGACACTGTACTTGGTGCTGCATCTATGCTGGGATAGGCATTAAGAGTGACCTTTATTTAAGGTTCTAATTTGCTCATGTAGGCCACTTGCAACATCCGTTTGTTGTTTTTGGTGAGATTCTGGAAATGGTCCAATTTTACTTTTTCCCCTTGACTCCAGACTTTTTAACACTGATGTGCTGCTGTTGAGGCATATGCCGTTTTGTTAGGCCTCCTCAAGTGGGAATCAGGAATGCTGCTGTTTTCTAGAGATGTTTTTTCCTTCCTGTAGGGCTGAAGCAGTGCCTACTCGACAGAACCGGTCATCGTACAAAGAAATGCCACGTGACTCAAAGGCAAAGCCAGAGTGCAGCTTGGAGCAAAGAAGGTATTTTATTAAGAATTTTCCATAAACCATAAGATATATTTTATATTACTTTGTGAGCCTTCTGCCTGTCTTGACTTAATTCTTTTTGAGAGAATTTGTTTCATTTTCATTTGGTTTGTTTTCTTCTTGTTACAAAGATGATCTATAGAAAATATAGAAGTATCATTTCTTTATTATTGCTTTTTTCCCGCCTCTGTGCCTATGCTTACCAAGTCTTTTTTTTACTTTTTATTAACTCTTTCAATCCTCTTAATAACTTAAAAAGAGGGTATTACTAATATCTGCATCTTGTGGATGAGGTAACTGAAGGTAGGTAACTTGTCCAAGGTCACAGGTGGCAGAGCAAGGATTAAAACCAGACCGTCTGGCTGCCCAAGGCCCAAGCAAGAGGAGCTGAGAGCAAGCCATTGGGGAGAAGGATGTTGGTCAGGCTGGTTTCCTGTTCAGTTACCATGAAACGCAGGCTTAACCTTAATTCTAGGACATTACCAAGAAAGCCTTGCAAAGCCATAGGTTTTTTACCATGACCATGACTTTCAGCAAGAATTTGTGGTTTAAAGGCAGCGTGGTGCTCTAAGAAGCTTCCGTTCACTCTTACAGAGGGACTGCTGGTTGAGCTAAATAGTGAAATCCTGGTGGAGCACACAGCCTTTAGGGCAGCTTGTGACCTATTTCTATGGTCAGGAAAGACACCTGTCTTTCCCTGCTGCCTACAGCCTCCAGTTATTCACCTTCAGAATTTCCTAGTCTGTGATCACATTCAGATGAGAGATCTGTTTTGTTTTTTCCAGGGTAGGAGGAAGTGAGTCATCACCTATACTAAGCAGTCTAGTCTTCTGTATATAAATGAGCAAGGTTGGGGAGCCAAATTTGAGAACCTTGTGTAATCCTGACATTCTCCAGGAGAATCCAAGAGAATATCAGGATTACGGACGGTGGTAAAGGGGTCTCTTGTTAGTTGTCCCCACAGCTCTCATCAGAAGCACGCACAGATACTTTTTCTAGGAAACCATCTCTAACTTAAGCCTGTAGGATTCCCAAAGATTAAAAGCAGGCAACTATGAATTCAGTGAAATCATAGCATTCAAGTAGTGAACCCAATATATTTGAGAATTATCAGAAACAATGAATGTTTTCCAAAGACTGTAGGTTTTGGAATTATCAGATACAGAATACAGACTTCAAATATTAGAATTGTGAGAAAATAGTTACATGTGAAATAAATGTATTATATAAGAAAAAGATGGACTCATAAAATTGAGCGAGCAGGAGCAGTAAGACCACCAGGAATGATGAGGAAGACGTGAAAGGAAAATGGATGAAATAGAACTTACAGAAATAAAATATATAGCTGGGTATGGTGTCTCACACCTGTAATCTCAGCACTTTTTGAGAGGCTGAGGCGGGAGGATGGCATAAGCCCAGGAGTTGGAGACAAGCCTGGGCAGCATGGTGAGAACTCGTTTCTCCAAAAAATACCCCACCACCACCAAAAAAAAAAGAAGAAGAAGAAAAAAGCTGTGTATGGGGCACCTACCTGCCTATACTCCCAGCTAATCAGGAGGCTGAGGTGGGAGGATCACTTGAGCCCAGGAGGCCAGGGCTGCAGGTTCGTGCCACTACAGTCCAGCCTGGGTGACAGAGTGAGACTCTGTCTCAGAATAAAATGAAATAAGGAAATATAAAATGGAATTGTTGAAATAAGAAACCGAGTGGATGGATTAGACACCAGAAGAAAGGATTAATTGGTTAGACCATTATCTCCAAAAAGTAAGTCCATATGTTACACAGAGAGATATGAGGATAAATGACAGGGCAGAAGTTGGTGGGGTTGGCGGGGAGAGGGAGATCAGAATGAGGTCTAAAATACGTCTTAGTGGAATCCCAGGAGGAGATATTAAAATTATATTGGAAAGTGAGAGAAATGGAAGTTCTAAAGGTGACAGAAGGAAGTCCACATAAATGAGTCACAACAACTGTAAATGGACTAAAGTTACCAGTTAGACAGATGGAACTAATAAAACGATATCCAGCTGTTCTAATCCATCTTATTGAAACTATGAGGATGTGAAAAGATTGAAAGTTTTTATAAAGGAGAGAGAGAGAGAAAGATATGCCGGTATACATTAACCAAAACAACTGATGGAGCTTCAGTTTCAAACAAGATAGGATGTTGGAACACAAAGCATTAGTAACAGCTTGATGCCAACTGACTGTTAATTAGGAGGATGTAGCAATTTTCATATTTTATGTACCTATCAAAATAGACTCAAAATACAGAGGAAAAACTGATAAAACCACAGGGAGAAATTGACGAGTCTGCCATTGTATTTGGAGATTTCAACATACCCTGCTTACCATAAGTAAGTTACACAGAATGCCCATATATAGATTTGAATAACCCGTGAATGGACGTGATGTAATGGACAAATATAGACCTCTGTACCCAATAATCAGATATTCTGTATTCTTCTCAAGCATATGTGGACTGTGGGAGAAACATTAATTATGTATTAATCCATTAAGCACGTCAGAAGATTGAAAAACAATTGGTACAATCCACACCATAAAATTGATAATTTAAATATGAAGCAGTTAAGGTTAGAAGTTAATAATGAAGAGATTAACCAAAGGCTTCATGAACTTGGAAATTAAACACCCTTGTAATTCATAGTTAAAAGAATCCAATGAAATTTTAGAATGCTTAGAATTGAACCATAGTTAAAATAGGAAACTTCTATCTACCCCTCTCTCTCGCCCTCTCCCTCCCTCCAAGGCCCAATTCTTATATTTCTGCTTGTTAATTTGCTATAGTTAATTCGGATATATACAAAGACTAAGAACAATTCCTTGAATACAGTGACAACCTGTACCTGGAATAGTCCAAAGCCTAATTACCCTGACTCCTCCACCAACAGTTCCCAAACTGGTGTACTAGAAAGTCTTCCGAATGCTCTTTGCAAAAAAAACAAAAACAAAAAAACAAACAAACCAGAAAACAACATCGTGGCCATATAAATTCATTGTTCTGAGAGGTCCCGTTGAATTTACCAAGCATTTCCCAAATTGATTTATTCATCAATAATCCCGAGGTGCTGGGATTACAGGCGTGAGCCACCATGCCCGGCCTTCCATAAGGCATGTAAAGGCACTTCCAAAGGTAGAATCAACAGACTTTCCAAAAGTCAGTGGCAAGGTCTCCAGACTCAGACCCGCCTTCAAGTTCCAACCCCCAGCAACCCAAAGGCAATGAATTGTCCTCCCAGAATAGCATCAGATAGCGATTAGAACGTGGTCCTCAAATTCTCCAGATCAACTCCAAAAACATATATACTATTAACAGGGGAAATATTGTGAACTGAAGTCTTTAACAGATAACATTAATCAAAAACATTTCTATGGGTAAACGATTATATATAAAATAGGTTTCTCACCAACAAAAGCCCCTATAATTTCAGGCTGATGACAATTTAACTTATGTTTTAAATGCATAATTATGTCAAATAAATGCATCTACAAAGGCCTGAATACAATCTCTGAGTCAAAGGTCGCCCCATCTTCTCAATGTCACATTTGATTATACGTGTATTTGAGAGAACATCACTCATTATTTGTTTTGGGAGTATAATGGAATATTATCTAATATTTTGGATATTATGGAAACTAGTTGATTGGAAGTCAATGGCACTGTTTCTGTTAAAAGAGTAGGATCCTCCTCAGTAGACAGAGACGTGTAAGAATAGTCATTGTACATCGACAGAGCGTCAGTATCAGGCAGTGGCTTCAAAGCCAAAGTGGTGGTTGGATGTAAAGTGGAATTTTAATTGGCAAAGGAGGCGGATAGTGAGCAATGTTGATTCAATAATAACGTAAAGTCCAGGAAAGCCTGTGGCTGTAAAGAATGTTGAGCCATAGAGCCCATGGGAAATAGGAAAGGGGGCCTCGAAATATTCAGAGACTCGTAGAAGGGTAGCGTAAATACCTAAGGTAATTGTGATGGCTAGTGCTTGAAGTATTTGCTTTCGACTACCTTCTATCAGGCTGTCTAGAAACTTGGAAGTTTCTTGAGGGCAAGAATGAAGTCTTTTACAGCTTGTGGTGTGCCTCTGTGTACCCAACAGGTCCTCAATAAATAATGTGTTACCCTACTTTGTCATACAATATAGGACATACTTAGCTGTACAGCACGATGTGATTTGATCACACCTAACCTATGAGTGGACAATCACAGCGTTCTATCTGTTTAAAAACAACACTCCCTATTCCCTTTCACCTTCGTAATATATGCGTTTGGTTTCTAGGAATGTTGGTTCTACCCATATGTTTTTAGGCAATAGCACAATCTGTGATGTGCCTAAGTAAAATTATACCAAGCATTCTATGGCGGCAAAGCTAATGCACTGCTCTTTGTTTCGATTAAGATTTTAGACGTTTGAAAATATAAATTGAGATATTGGACAGTGAGGGTTTTATTTTGGAGGTTGGAGGAGATTGAAATGTTGGGGTAAAACTGCTAGGCTCCTTTGGGACTTGTCTGTCAGGGTGGGGAGAATATACAAGTTAACCAAATCTTGTAAATTCTCACAGTGCTTAGTTTTGTGACTGTACAAAAACTGGCATTGTTTTTCCTGGGTCTCAGTGGAGAAACGTGAGCTGTGAGATTAACATCCTCTTTACTGTGTTTTGGCCAGGATTTTGCAAGCTTTTGTGGAGAAAATTATATTGCTTTTTTTTATCCTGTTGTAACATATATGTATATCAGTATGCTTCCTTGTGTTTTACTGTGGTAAAATTGTATCTTGCATATAGAGAAATAAGTCTATTAGAGTGAACTTTAAAAAATCTTTACTCTGAGGTGCCAGCCTTGTGTAATGAACCATATGTTTAAGCCTCGTAAATACATCACACTAGAGCCCAGCATGGTGGCGTGCGCCTGTAATCTCAGCCACTAGAGAGGCTGAGGCAGGAGTATCGCTTGAACCTAGGGGTTTCAGACCAGCCTGGGCTACATAATGAGATCCCATCTCAGTCAGTCAACCAGTCAATCAGTTACACAAAAAAGATCAAGGTCTTTCTTGCCCTTTTAGAATGTCTTTCCCAAACATTCTAACAAATGTCTCGGTGTCTCAAATAATGAAAAGGGTTTATGACAGAGTTACGGCAGTCATCAGAGAAAAATCCTGGACAGATTGCAAATGTATACCAGTTGTGAATTTCTATGACTGCAATTGAAATCCAACATTATTTTTGTACGGTCTTCTTGGGTGTATCTGTGTTTAATAACTTGTTTTCAAATTTAGAGGACTGTAGCTATGGTTTCTTCTTAGAGACCTTGACCTTGAGGGGCTCACAGTTTAATGGAAGAGAGAATTAGAAACCAAGAACTAAATGCAGAGAGTGAGGTTCTGCAGTACAGGGTGTATAGAGGGTGCAGAGCAGCACTGTGGCGCCGTGTTCTGGCCTCATCTTCTACTGCTCTAGACTTCCTGAAATGCCATTTCCTGACCCCACCTGGACCTCTCTCTGTAGATGCTGTTCTATCTCCTTGCAAGCCTTTTCTACAGCTTAAGTGCCTGCTGAAGTTCTGTTTCTTCAGAAGCTTCTTGAAGACTGCCTGTAGCTCACCCAAATAATTGTTTTGTCTACATCTCTGTTATTTCTTTAATTACAGCCAATTCTTACTATTTGCAGGAGTAATATTCTACAAAGTTGCCTGGAACACTGAATTAATCAAATAGCAAACCCTTGTTTCCAGGGTAAATATGTACATAAATACATATGTCATATAGGTTATCATCTTAATTCCTAAAAACAACTCATCCTGGTAGATTGAATTTTCTTTCTTTCCAAAAGAATAACGGAAGTACAGAATTGTAAGTGATTTGTCTGAGGCCACTCCACTAACAGGTGCCAGTGTTATGATTCAGACCCCGCCCAACTGGCCCCAGAGCCACAGCTTCTTGCGCTACCCTGCAGTGTCCTCTACTGTCTCTGTCCTCAGGTCATCTTTGTATGAGAGTTGAAACAAGCAGACCAAGGTCACTGTTTGACCTTAGCTTGGGACGTGTGCAAAGAGTGACAGAGTTTTCACTACTGCATGTCTATCCAGGAGCCACCTTGAAAGTGCCACAAGTATTAATTTGGGACTTAGAAAGACATTTTAGCAAGTAAGCTAATTTGAAAATATGGGATACTCCAATGATGAGGGTCAACTGTATTTGTAAGTGACTGCTAGGGTCTGTTTCATGGTAATCCCTTCCCGCAAGAATGTGGAATGTTTCTTTAGCTTCTTTGATAGTTTATTTATTCATTCATGTATTTATTAAGTCCTTATTATAAGCCAGACTCTGCTTTAATCTGTGTGAACAAGCTAGAGATTAAGGTCCTGCCCTGTGGATTTTATATTAGAGTAAGAAAGACAGATAGCTAAGTCTGGAGCTCGGGGGGGTGGGGGGCGGCGAGGCCCCGGTTGGAATTATAGATTCACTTGACCAAGGTGAAACCTGGTGTGCCCCCTCCTGCTTCACATCCACAGATATACTTCCAGAACATTTCTGTTCTATTCTTGTGTATAAAATCCTCCTTTTGAGCCTCTCTCCATTGATGCATGTCAACCTCTACCTGTCTTTTGTTGATTTTGAGGCCACTTGCCCATGTGGCTGGCAGGATATTGAAGAAGAATCATACTGACCTGGCTCTGCTACCTACCAGCTGAGTTACTTTGGTCAAGCTCTTGGACTTCTGAGCCTGTTTCCTGATTTCAAAAGTGGTGATATGATGTGTTAGGCACTGGTGGGTTGCAAGGAAGATGCACGCATGTATTCCCTTTGTGATGAGGGCCGAATGTTAACTTGGATGGAAAGTCATCCAAGCAGCCATATTGTCTCTGGCCCTAGTACTTTCAAAACCTCACAGAACATTAATTTCACAGTATTTAGGATAGGACTTGAGCTCTGAAGACCTATAGTGTGGTTATTTGTTCATATGGCTGTTTTCCATACTAGACCATGAGCTCCGTAAGGGCAGGATCTACAGTTTCATCTTTCTATCCTGGGCACTCAGTTCACTGCCTGATACACAGTAATAGAGGCACAAATGTTTCAAAAGTTGAGGAATTTTCAACACTTCCTGAAAGAATAGGAAGATATAAAGGCTTCTCAGAGAAGGTATTATTTAAGCTTTTCTTTTTCTTTTTCTTTTTCTTTTTCAGATGATGTCTCACTCTGTCACCCAAGATGGAGTGCAATGGCACGATCTCAGCTCACTGCAACCTCTGCCTCCCAGGTTCAAGCAATTATCCTGCCTCAGCCACCCGAGTAGCTGAGATTACAGGCCTCTGCCACCATGCTCAGCTATTTTTTGTATTTTTAGTAGAGACGGGGTTTCACCATGTTGGGCAGGCTAGTCTTGGAACTACTGACCTCAGGTGATCCGCCCACTTTGGCCTCCCGAAAGTGCTGGGATTACAGTCATGAGCCACCATGCCCAGCCTATTTATTTCTGATTCTTTAAGGGTGAGTAGAAATTTTTTCCAGGTGACTAAAACCTTGAGACATTATTCCAAGCAGAGACCAGCGGGGCAGAGACACGGGGATATAGAGATGTTGAAGTTTACCAAACACTGCTAGATTTAAAAAACAGAAAAGAAACAATCAAAATCAAAAATTAAAATTAAAAATCACCTAAAAAAAAAGAAACTGTTAATGGGCTTGTCCAAAGGTGACGTCACAATTGAGTTAACTATGACCATAGACACACAATAATGGATGGAAGTTTTGGGGAAAAAACATAACATTCTCAGGTTGTTGGCAGAGTATCTAGAACAATTTAGAAATACAGATATTGAATTCTGGGAATAATTACACTGTAGTGAAATCATTTCCTTCTCTGCGTATGAAGCATGTATGTGTGGCACACTGTTCAAGGTGCTGAAAATCAGACTCTTCTCAAGGAGCTCATGAGCAATCAAGGGAGATGGATGGGTGAGCCACTGATTATCATGTGACAAGTGGGGTAATAGAGATATGACTAAAATGCTATCCAAAGAAGAAGAAAGGAATTATTCATAGTATATGGAGTGCTGGGGAAAGAGTTCTGAAATGAAGCCGGCCGGGTGTGATGGCTCACACTTCCACTACCTGACCTCAGGTGATCCACCAGACTCGGGCTCCCCAAAGTGCTGGGATTACAGGTGTGAGCCACCGCACCCAGCCCAAAAGCTTTGTGTTTTTACGGATATTAACCATGTTTCCTGTTTAAAAAGAAAAAACAGCAACAATGTAGGAGAATAAGAGAAACATTTTTCCAAAAAAGAAATCATTTTGATTATTTTATCTCATTGGAATGTTGGATAATATAGTCTGCTTCATTAATCATCAAGCATGCTGTGGATTTCCCACTTTTATAGGATCTGTATCTCAGTTCAGGTAATACTGGTAATTTTTATACAGTATTTGAAGATGAAAAATATAGGCCAAAATGACAGACCTTGCATAGAAGCTGGTTAATGAAGACAGCTCTGGAGGAACACATGGATACACACAGAGAGACACACACATATATATAAAGTATACACACATATGATTTTTAAAGTTTTAAGGGTTTTAAAGCAAAAGCCAGCCCCTCCACTCTCCCAGAGCGGGCGGCCCCTCCCCTCTCTCAGAGTGGGTGGGGACAGCGGTTGCATGGGCAGCTTTCCTGATGAGCCACAGGTCCCTCTGGACACACTGCCGCCTGGCCACGCCCCCTTTCCCTGTCATCTTTCTCGTTGGCCAATGGGCTTGAAGCATTAAGGCCACGCCCCTATTCTGCATTCTACTGTGGCCCTGGTTACGCTGCCTCTGGGTCAGTTACGCAGCTGTCTTCCAGGTGACTGGATGTGTTGATCAGCGCTCGCTGGGATTTGGCTGACGTGGCCCCAGCCCCGCCTCCCTCCCCACCCCACAATGGCAGAAGAAACTGGACAGAGTAAATTAGCTGCAGCCAAGAAAAAGGTAAAGACGTACCGGGTCATGGCCCGCTAACCCAGCCACAGATCCCCTCCGACGACAAGACCGCTGCCACAGTCCATACTACTCCTGACGCACACCGGACTTTGCCCCCCAACCCCGGCGCTTCTGGGCTCCCCCTACAAAAGTCTTGTCAGTCAGCCCTGCCCCTTCAGCAAACAGCTCAGTCCCTGCCCTCGCCGATCACCCCGGGGTGACGTTGGGCGGGTGACTCCTGGGGCGCCCCACTCCATTACTGGGCCCTCACCTCTTGCCGCCCCAAGTTGGACCTCCCTGGGCTCTTTGGGCTCGCATATCCAAGGACCTGGGCCCCCCAGCCCCAGGCCCCGCCCTCGCCAGTTGTCCCTGGGTGACTTTGGGCTGGTGACTCCTGGGGCTCCCTGCTGCAGACTCTGCCCTCCCCTCCTGCTGCCTCAAGGTCGACCTCCCTGAGCTCTTTGTGCTGGCGTCTCCAAGGACCTGGGTCACAACCCTGTGTTTCCCTCCCGCGTTGTGGAGTGGAGACTCGGACATCGCGCTGATGTGGTCCCTCCCCCGCACTAGGAGGAGTGGAATGTAGTGATGTCACAGTCTGCCTACTAACTGTCATTACTGGAAGACTGGCCCTGGTCTTATGACCCAGTCCCCTAAACGTTGTCACCCCGTTTCTGGTTCTTCTGGTCACAGCAGAAATTTCCAGCTGGAAGGGAAATGGAGACTATGGGACCTGGGAGCAAGAGGTTTCAGGCTGCCTTACTCCCTTACCATAGACATTGACAGTGGGAAAAGCCTACACTTCCCCCGTGAGCTCAAAACGTTGACAGTGTCTCTGGGTGGCGATGGGAGAATGGGTTTGGTTTGGTTTTTCTCCCAAGCTTCTACTTTCCAAAGAGATTTTAACATTTTTTTCCGAGTTCTCCACCTCATATTCTAATTCTCCATGGTTCTGGGACCAGACTTCAGTCTGGGACCTTCAGTCAGTGGTCTCTGAAGTGAGATTTCCTCATCTTCTGTGGAATAGATCTTGGGAGACTGAACTTGACAGTTTGAATCTTCCTCATATTATCTCAAGCTGGGGTGCTTTGAGTACCACAGGATAAATGTGGGACATCTTTCTGAAGCATCAGTTTCCTTTGATTCTCTTGAGATATCTTGAGATAAGAGAAAAAACATGAATGTACTTAGGGATGGCAGTCCCATAGGTTTCTAAGAGTATACCAGACTTCTCTCTGAAATGAGGCTTGGGTTGTCCTCTTTCTGATAAATTCCCAGATTTCACAGAAAGGCTGCCTTCTGCCATGAGGACACATTGATATAAAAGTTTGAGAGGTACTGGTGCACTTCTTCCCAATAACAGACGTGTGAAGATGTACGACTCTAAACCACATGACATACAGCTCCTGCCTACTTAATGTTTACTTTTCTACCTCTGCCTCTGGGTTTGGTGCCTGGCAAAACCCCAGAGCTTAGAGTGGGAAGACTGAGTTTCCAAGTTCCAGTATCGCTTTTTTCTTTTTTCTTTTTTTCTAGCCATGATGTCGATCCCTCTCAGTCCCTAAATGATTGTGACACCTTATAGAGTTGTTGGTGTCATTAAATCAGATGGTATATAAGAGTATTTTATAAAAACTATAAAGGAGGATGTGGCTGTAGGGGCTGATAGTTCTCATGAGTATTACTGCTCTTCTTTCCCACAGTTCAAAGAATATTGGCAGAGAAACCGCCCTGGTGTTCCAGCAGCAGCGAAGAGGAACACGAAAGCAAATGGCAGTAGCCCTGAGACGGCCGCTTCTGGTGGTTGCCACTCATCTGAGGCTGTGAGTCTTGCCTGGACAGGCTTTTGGGGACAGGGGGCCCAAGGAGCAGTAGAGGGCAATCGTTAAGATTGTGGATGGACTGTTGGGTACTGGTGAAGGATTCTGGATTTGGCCGGGCACAGTGGCTCACGCCTGTAATCCCCACACTTCGGGAGACCGAGGCAGGTGGATCACAAGGTCAGGAGATCGAGACCATCCAGGCAAACACGGTGAAATACTAAAAAATACAAAAAAAAAAGCCGGGCGTGGTGGCGGGCGCCTGCAGTCCCAGCTGCTCCGGAGTCTGAGGGAGGAGAATGGCGTGAACCTAGGAGGCGGAGCTTGCAGTGAGCCAAGATCACGCCACTGCACTCCAGCCTGGAAGGCAGAGAGAGACTCCGTTTCAAAAAAGAAAAGAATTCTGGGTTTGAATCCTGCCTCTCCGTCTGCTAGGGATATGATTTAGGGCAAGTTGCTTGAGCTCTTTGGGCCTCTGTTTTCACGTCTGTATGATAGAGGTGGTATTGTTTGACTTGTATTTGTGAAGTTTCAATGAGATTGATAATTGTCGATTTTATGTTAATCCCTAGTACATGGCCTGCTGTCAACACCCAGGACACCCAGGATATGGTCTTTGCTGTTTGATTTTCCTCATCCCCAGTCTCAAGGGGAAGCCAGGACAATGAGAACAGCCACTTCCCATCAGGAGTCACTGCAAGGCCCCCAGGGTGGGATGGTGGGGAGATAAGAACCGTGAGAGAAGTTGGCACAAAGGAGTTATGGGACAAAGGGTCCAAGATAGGCAGAAAAGAAAATGTTGCCAGTTGATGGGGAAGAAAGGAAGTCGGAGGGCTCAGACACTGAGGGGGACAGAACATCTCCATGTGCAGTCTCATCTCTTATAGTCAGCAACAGGTATCCACGGGGAGGGCCCTACATCATCTGCTACCCTGAAGGATCTGGAGGTAGGAGGCTCTGGGTGGAGGTGCAGTGACCCCGCAGGCCAGCCCTCCAACCTCCTCCCGCAGCGGGGACTGGGTGCCCCTCTGCCAGCTGAGACAGCCCACACACAACCCAGCCCTAATGATCGTTCTCTCTACCTCTCCCCCAAGTCCTCCTCCGCCTCCTCCTCTCTGCATGCGCGTCAGAGCCCGTGCCAAGAACAAGCAGCAGTCCTGAACTCGAGGTCCATAAAAATCAGTCGACTGAATGACACCATCAAATCTTTGGTAAGAGTCCAGTGGGGTCCCCTGATTCCACGCTGCCAATCCTGGGCTCCGGTTTCCCCTTGGGGCCCTGAAGAAGGGGGCTGGGGGCCCCTGGTGCCAAGGGCAGATAGGGAGCTGGGGCGCCCAGGCCTCACCTGGCGGGACCCCAGAGCATGCAGCATGGCTCTTCTTTTGCTGCCCTCTTTGCCGACTCTCTCCTCTCCAGGCACCCCTACTCGAGTCCTTGCTACACACGCCCTGGGGTTGTTGCCTCTTGGGGAAGTGCTGGCCTGACTGGTTGTCAGGGGCCCCGTATTTCTGCCATGACTCAGTCCCTAATTTGCTCTTTGATTCTGGACAAGCCACCTCTCCTTTTTGGGCTCGTGTTTCCAGAGGAGGTAGTGAGTATCAAAGGTCTCTGTTAGCTCTGAGAGTCTGAGATTTAAAGGCCCCCTAGAATGGAAAGCTCAGGGCCAAGGGCTCTTGTCTGTTCTTTTCCATCCTATATCGGCTGTGAAGAACCGTCCCTGGCCCGTACGTGCTCAGTAAATGTCTATTGAATGAACACACTTTTCTAAATCACAAGCTGGCAGAAGGGGGAGCCTTTCTCAAACTCCATCTCTAGAGGTTTATGTTACTGTCCTCTCAAGAGATTCCTGATTCAGACTTTGAGTTGTGAGGCTGTGGCTGAAAACCAACAAAGACCCAAATCCTCTGTCCTTGGGAGCTTGGGAACAGTTCCTGTTCCCATTGGGTCTGAGAACTTTGCCTTTAAAATCCATTCCTGGCCCCTGCCTGCCGCTTCCTGTCTGGGGAATAGAGTTGAGGGGGCCACCCTCCATCACTTTAATTTGACTCTCCCCACAGAAACAACAGAAGAAACAAGTGGAACATCAGCTGGAAGAAGTAACGTGATTTCTTTGTTTGCTGGCGACATGACTGCTGGGTTTGGGGGACACTCAGATGTAGAGGCCCCAGTCTCGTCTCACCCACTCCCAGCCTGGGGAAGGAGGCTCACCCCTCAGATTCCACCCCATCCCCACAGGGTCCCTGATAACCGGGTCCCATGGGTGGGCCTGTCCTGGGGCATTGGTGGCATTCTGGGGGCATATCTCTTGCTGTGCCTTCTCTGCCTCCCCCTGGTAAGAGCTCTGTCTTCCTCTTCCTATAGGAAAAGAAAGCAAACAATGAGAAACAGAAAGCTGAAAGGGAGCTAGAGGTGAGTGGAGGGTGTGAAGTTTCCTCCTGTCCTCCGGAGAATGTTTCTTTCCTTCTATTTCAGCACTTGCTTGGCTTTTCTCCCAAAGGGTCAAATCCAGAGATTGAACACAGAGAAAAAGAAACTAAATACGGACCTGTATCACATGAAACATTCTCTCAGATACTTTGAAGGTGGGAATCTGGGCACCCTGTCATCCTTCAACCTGGCACTTTGACAGGTCTGTAAGGCGGAGTCCTTTGAGCCCCATGTCAACTCTGTCATTACAGAAGAGTCCAAGGATCTGGCCGGCCGCCTGCAACGTTCATCGCAGCGTATAGGAGAGTTAGAGTGGTCTCTCTGTGCTGTCGCCGCCACACAGAAGAAGAAGCCGGATGGGGTGAGTCCAGTCACCTGCCCTGTCCCCTGGGAGCCCGGCTTCACAGATGGAGGAGTGAGCCTAAAGGTCCCTTCTGCAGGATGGAGTGTCCTGCCCAGAAGGCAGCATGGCCATTTCTCACTGCTTTTGTGTATGGTTGTTAGAGGCAGCCTGAGGCTGAGTCAGCTGCTGTGGGTGAGTCGGGGGGCGCGGTGGGGAGCGAGCACTGGATGCAGAGCTTGGAGGCCAAGTGCCTGCCCTGCCCTTACCTGGCTGTGGTCTTGGCCAAGTCCTAGGTGGGGTGTGGGGTATTGGGTACTTGTACTGTGAAGGTACAGAAGGGTACCTTTAGTATGTTCCCATTTCTGTAGAGAGAGGAAACGTGTGTGTGTGTGTGTGTGTGTGTACATAGTATGATAATATACATAAAACATGTCTGCAAGTGTTCGTAAACAACTCAGGAGAGAGCAGCAGGGTGGCTGGGAGATACTTCCCTTTGATACCTTCCGAGTTTTGGACTATGTGAATGTATCATCTTTTCAAAAAGTGAACAAAAGATTAATTTTCCCCTTCCTAACCGTGCCCCCACCCCCAGCAGAAAAATGGGCTTAGAGAATCTGATAGACCTGGGTGTTCAAATCCTAGCTCTGCCTAAGTGATCTTAGGCAAGCACTTAACCTCAAACACTCCATGTTTTTTCATCTACCCAAGAGAGGGCATCATAGTAACTGTCTCCTCTGGTGGTTGCGAGGATTAAATGGGATTGCTAGCAAGGTACCTGCTGAAGCACTCCATAAAGGTTCAAACAGTGGGAGTAATAACAATAGCAATATTATCTGATCTCTCTCCTTGTCCCTTCCAACTTCACTGAGTTTTTTTCAAAACCAGACCACGGGCTTGGAAATGCCTTGATCTTTACTGACCGAGTTGTATATTGAGCCTAGCCCTAGCCCTTTTAAGGGGCACTGTGTGGAATGGCCCAGGCTCCCCAGATCGAAACTTCTCACTCTTCACCATCCAGTTCTCGAGCCGCAGTAAAGCACTTCTCAAGCGGCAGTTAGAGCAGTCCATACGGGAGCAGATACTGCTGAAAGGACACGTGACACAGGTGAGGTTTTGCAGAGGGAGGGATGTGGAAGGAAGATGACCCCAGGTGGCCAGGAGCAGGTGAGGACCAGTGACGGCCCTTCCTAACTTGTGTGGCCATTCTTGCAGTTGAAGGAGTCGCTTAAAGAAGTCCAGCTGGAGAGAGATCAATATGCTGAACAAATAAAAGGAGAGAGGGCCCAGTGGCAGCAGAGGATGAGGAAAATGTCGCAGGAGGTGAGATCTGACCCTTCAGCCTCCCGCCCCACCCCCCCCCCACCAACAACTTAAGATAGGTCACTGGATCTTTCTGGGCCTCTTTAAAATGGGAATAGTGCAGCCAGAGGTGGTCCTGGGTCTGGGCTTTGTGGAGGTGGGGGCAGAGAGGGAGATGGGAGCCTGTCCAGCCACCAGCCCCTCTCTCCAGGGCCCTTTCCCCCTGTGCTTTGGGCAGGTTTGCACATTGAAGGAGGAGAAGAAGCATGATACGCATCGGGTAGAGGAGCTGGAGAGGAGCTTGTCCAGACTCAAAAACCAGATGGGTAAGATGGGGCTGGCATGACCTGGGAGCAGGACTGGCATCAGAGGGCTGTGGGGGTGGCTTAGAGTGCCCCAGGGAGGTGGGTGGATGGCAGGGCTTTGAGGCAGAGGGAAAGAGGTCTGTGCCAGGAGACAAGTCTTGTCATCTCCCTGAGCCTCAGTGTCCCCATGAGCAAAGAGGGCCCGTTGTCAGCCACCCGCAGTGCTCTCTATCTGAAAGTGGTTTGGAAGACTGGCTACCATCCGGGTGCGAGGGATCGTTAGCAGTGAAGCCAAGTTTGGGAGCCTGAGAGGAGCTGTGCGCCAACAGGAGGGTGTTTTGTTGTTTTTTCTGTTTTGATTTTTGTTTTGAGAATCCAGAGGCCCTTATGATCTGCTTCCTTTCTCAGCTGAGCCACTGCCCCCGGATGCCCCAGCAGTGTCCTCTGAGGTGGAGCTGCAAGACCTGAGGAAGGAGCTGGAGAGAGTGGCAGGAGAGCTCCAGGCTCAGGTGGAAAACAATCAGTGCATCAGTCTCCTGAACCGTGGGCAAAAGGAGAGGCTTCGCGAGCAGGAGGAGAGGCTTCAGGAGCAGCAGGAGAGGCTTCGGGAACGGGAGAAGAGGCTTCAGCAGCTGGCCGAGCCACAGAGCGACTTGGAGGAGCTGGTGGGTTGCCCCACCTGGGGAGCCTGCCCTCCTCCCTAGCCCTCCAGGCCTTTGTTTCCCCACCTGTAAAATGGGGCAGTGTAGCCCTCACATGAAATATTACTTCCAAAGGCACCTGTGAGCCAGAGCTTTGCTCTGGTGGCTGTGGGAGAGAGGAGAGTATTTTTCTAACTTGGCTCCACCCTTCCCGGTGCCATGGGAGGCAGACACCAAGTTCTGGGGTCTCCAGCTGCAGTGGGTGGCTGCTGATTGCTTCTCTCTGTCCAGAAGCACGAGAACAAGAGCGCACTGCAGTTGGAGCAGCAAGTAAAGGAGCTGCAGGAGAAGCTGGGCCAGGTGATGGAGACGCTCACCTCGGCCGAGAAGGAGCCAGAGGCAGCAGTCCCAGCCTCAGGGACTGGGGGCGAGTCTGTGAGTGGGGAGACCCTCCGGGCCCTGCAGGAAGTCATGGAGAAGCTGGAGGGGAGTGAGTCCTAGCATGGGCCAAGAAGGGCAGGGCTGGGGCAGGTCGCTGCTGAGATGTGACCCCATTATTTTGGCTCCAGAGCGGCCTTATGGACCTCCTGGAGGAGAAGGCGGACCTGAGGGAGCATGTGGAGAAACTGGAACTTGGATTCATCCAGTACCGGAGAGAGAGATGCCATCAGTGAGTGGGAGGCCAGGGCACGGCAGGGGGAGCTGCAGGGCTATGGGAGGGGCCCCAGCGTCTGAGCCCTGTCCTCCCGCAGGAAAGTACATCGCCTTCTAACAGAGCCAGGGGACAGTGCCAAAGATGCGTCACCGGGAGGAGGCCATCATCAGGCTGGCCCAGGACAAGGAGGAGAGGAAGGTAGGGTGTGCAACATCCCTGTGGGGGTGGGGGTGGGGTGGGGGTGTGGGTGGGGTGGGCATGAGGGTGGGCGCCAGCAGCGGCCTGACAGCTGAGCACCCGTCCCTTCAGGTGAAGCTGCTGGAGCTGCAGGAGATGGTGTTGCGGCTTGTGGCAGCTACAGCGAGGGGCACGGCAAATTCCTGGCCGCTGCCCGGAACCCTGCTGCTGAACCCAGTCCAGGAGCCCCAGCCCCCCAGGAGCTCGGGGCTGCCGACAAGCATGGTGGTGAGTAGAGCCCCCAGGCGGGGTGAGCAGGCAGGAGCGGGGGGCGGCTAGCACTCCACTCAGATCCCCGCCTCTCTCTCTCCAAAGATCTTTGTGAGGCGAGCCTCACCAACAGCGTGGAGCCTGCACAAGGAGAAGCCAGGGAGGGTTCTTCCCAGGACAACCCTACTGCACAGCCAGTCCTGCAGCTCCTTGGTGAGATGCAGGACCACCAGGAGCACCCAGGCTTGGGCAGCAACTGCTGTGTGCCATGCTTTTGCTGGGCTTGGCTGCCGAGAAGAAGGAGATAAACACCACCATCATCAAAGAGCTGCTCAAGAAATTTTTAAAAACGAAACAAAGTTATGGGGTTAATCTCCTACACAATTCATTTACTTCATTTGAATGTTAGAGCTACTCATGATTATTTGTGTTTCTAATTTATAGTTTAAGTTTATTTGTAAAAAGTTAAAAGAGAGTGGGTCTCTGTGCCTCTCACTGATGTTCACTCTGGCATCCTTTAGCATTTTTCTTTTTTCATTTCATAATTGTAGGTCATTAGCATGCATATCGAGTTTGCCCTTACGTGGTGGGAGTTCAAACACACAAAGACCCACTCTTTGCACAAAACTGTTCTCGCTGGTTTGGAATAGGCTCCCGTGCTTTTTTAATGTTATTGCAGCATGGATGTTCATTACAGAATTCAGATAAAATTTGCTAATGTTCTGCTATGATGTTTGATCTCATCTTAATCACAGTGAGCTCTTCCATAGCTCAATATGCGGTTTGCCCTCAAGTGTGCACTGTTTATTACTTTGTAATATGCCACTATGAGTACTGACACTTAGAGCTGTTTAAAGGCCGAGAACTGGAAACAGCCTTTCCTCCATTTTCTGTGTATTGGTGATGGGAGTGATAACCTTTTGGGGGAGCTTTCTAAATCTCGCAGAAGAGGAAAGTGGCCTGCTCTGGCAGGTATGTGCAGGATACAGTGTGTTTCATCTGTTCCGGTGCCAAGAATGAGCACTGTACTGTGGCAGTTCCCTTTGGATTTGTATGTGCTCTGGGCTCATGAAGATATTGCATCGTGAGCTGCAGCAGTTGCACTCTTTTTCAGTGACCTAAAAATGGCTTATTTCCGAGGAATGAAAGGCTGCCATCGTTGGCTGTGGATGTGGAAAACCTTTCCTAGCTTAGAGCATTTGTATCTACAATACATTTTAAAGTCAGAGTTCGTGTTCCCTGTTTTAATCACATGACTACCTGTCCCAGTACACGAAAGGGCGCTGGTTGGCATTCTTCTTAATGTATTTAGTAAAGATCATAAGACATCCTTTAAGAGTTTAAATGTCTCTGAAACAGGCATACAGGCTCTAGTCAAGAATGAATTAGAGTGAAGGAAAGCTGTGTGACACCTGGCATTCCTCTCTGTTCATGGAGCTTCTTTGAGGCTTGAAGTTTGATTTTACTATCTAGACCTCTCTGGCTAATACCTATTCTTCAACCACCTCGGTTACTCTGACATAGGAATTTACTTCTTTTCCTTGAGTGGAAAACACTTTAGAAAATAATAACAAACATTATTATAAACTAATATATGTGAGAGTACTTAGTTGAAACAAAAAGGAATTTTAGTAGACAGTATTATATTATCTTTGAAAATCAAGGAGAAGTTTATGCAACTGAAAATGTTTACACACTGTGCTGCAATCTACTGTTTGTGAATGTCAATGTATTATCAGGAAACATGTCTATACGATCGCAGAGTTGTATTTCCTCACAAACTTCTTTACGAAGAGTGAAATATGTTTTTGTACCTCTCAGTTTCAGTCAGGGACATATTTTGTGCAATATTTCTGTGATTGTGCCTATGCGTGATGAGTGAATGCATTTCAATCATACATTGCCTAAATCATAACTTGATGATGCTTGGGAAAGAATCAACAGTTAAAACTTCATGAAGTTCTAATGTCTGTGTTCCAAAACACATCACATTATTAGGTTGTAGGGAGATATGTATGTGTGCTCCCTGGGGTGGGGAGTTTTCTAGTTACTAGACCATCTCCATTTTTAGCACTTGGCAGCCTCATGATCCTTTTATAAATAGGAGATTAACAGGAGAGCAGCAATACGATTTTGCCAATGGAATAACAGATTTGCCGGCATTCACTGAAAGAGGGCAGATATTGGGTCCTTGTGACTTCAACTGACTCTTCCGAATTGTATGAATTTATCAATGTATTAGATAAACCCAGTTTCAGAATAATAAAGAAAAAATATTAGACCAAATAATGTGGCTAATAGTGGTATGATTTCTAGCCCGTGGGTTTAAAACTGTATCCTAAAGAGTCATTTTAAAATAATATAAATATTTAAAAGTGTAACTGCTATCTTTATGTTCTGAAATAAGTTAAAACATTTTAAAATATGAATACTGTAGTTTAAAAGAAAGAAATGGTGGGAAGGAAAAGTAGAGAAAGAAATGCCAATTCCAGTCCAAAGCTTTGTTTGCCAAGTTTTCTTAGAATGAATTTTACCAATGTATGGGTTCTTGTTAACAGAATGTGTAACAGAAATACTGAAAGACTTTTGCCTAAAGTGGCATTATTGACTGCTGGTGTGATGCTACTGTAATGTGATAAATTATTAAATTGTTGCAAAGTGCTGTTTTTGCCTTAAAATTTTATTTTGCGCATCTTGAAAATTATAGTATTAAAGGTATTGATACTGTGCAAATACTGGGCATGCTTGGCATGAGATAATCTGTTTCATTTTCACAAAATTGTAGTATAACTATGCAAGTGTTTATTAAAAGAACACAAAATAAAAAAGGTATGGGATTAAAAAAGTTATGGGGTGAAAAAGTTATTGGATAAAAAATGTAAAACTGTTGTGGCAAAAAAGTAGAAAAACGTTTTCTGAAAAGTTACCAAAACAAAGTTATGAAAAAGAAGTTATGGGATTTAAAAAAGTCATGGAATAAAAATAAAAATTAAAAGCAGGCCCCTGTCAGCAAAGCCTGGAGAAGTGGGGCCGGAGTCTCCACCGCCACCATGTCCCTACCACCCCTTCCCAGGCACCCCTTTACAATTAGGGTAGCAGGACAAGACCTCTGTCTAATGGGGAAAGACAAACAGACCCTTTGCCCCCTCGATCAGGGCTGAGTCCCTAAATTTCTGGATGATGATGATTGTTATTTAAGAGCCAGAGGCTGGTGGAGTTGGTTTGTTTGGAGGAGGCCTGATGCCCCCCTTACTCTCACCATAGCAACTTTTCCCTCAGGGGGGCTCCCACCTTCTTATTCAGAGAGGCAGGACAGTGGGGCTAACTGTGGACCAGGCGAGGGCACGGGCTGCTGGGGTGGCCCCCGTTCCCCGGTGTACATATTGTGTCTGTGTAAGGTTTTGTATATTCCAGAGGGTAGGGCCGCCCCTGTATCATACCTAGCTGAGGTTGGAGCCGGCACATGGGGAGGAGGTTGTAATAATTATTTGTGGCTGCGAAACTTATTTATTGCTAGCATAAGACAGAGGAAGGAGGCGGGGATGGGGTTGTGGCTCCCTGGTGATGCGACTCCTGTTTATTTTGCTTTTTATTTTGGAATATATGGATTTAGCCATACTGCCCGACCTGGTGTGTTCCCATTTCACTCACTGGGTCCTGGAGTTTGTGCCACCAAATGAGGAGCCCCAGAGTGTCTTGAGTGTGTCCAGCTAGGCTGTTAGGGACCTTCCAGGCGTGTTACCTGTATGCTGCCTAGTGGCGCCTGGGGGATTCCACGGGGACTGCCATGGTGCCTATGGGGCGCAGTCCAGCCCTGACAGCCAACAGGCTCGGAAGCCTGTTGTAGCGGTGGCCGGGAAGACAGGTACCAGCACCTAAGGGCACTGACTTCCACCCACCCCAGGCGTCTTCCCTTCTGTCCCCTTCCTCCCTCCCCTGTCTGCACCTGGTGGCCTGTTCTCTCTGTCCCTCCAGAGTGCCGGCTGCCCGGCAGGCTCCCTTCAGGCTGAGTTCGTGGCCCTGCCCCCTGGTGGCCAGAGCCGGCTTCACAGGACAAGAGCCAGCTAAGTTCCAGGGGCTTTCCAGGAAAAGTGTCCCTTGGAAAGGGTATGGCCTTTTCACCCCTCCAAACAGCACCCTAGAAATGGCTTGGCCTTTCCCCTCCCCTGAGCTCCACAGAGAACACAGCCAGCAGAGGACACACTTCCCCGTCATCCAGAAATGGGTTTGATTCTCAGCCAAGGGACAGCAGGACTGGTAGAGAGTGTCAGGCCACACAGCTGCCTGCACAGCACTCCCATGCTTGGTGGGGGGCGGGAGGGATGGCGGGGGCTGACTCTCCATAGGCCAGGCGTGACAGGGAGACTCACCGGAGGTCTTGCACTTTGGAGGGGCAATGTCGGGACAGCTTTCTCTTGTTGGGCCACAAGACTCCAAGAGGACAGCACGGTGACTGATTCCCAGCACTAGAGGCGAGGCCGTTGGCCACATGTAGGTGTAGGGGTGTGTGTGTGTGTGTGTGTGTGTGTGTGTGTATGGGTATTTATAGATATTTATAGAACAATGCGAGGGCATACCACAGAGGGGGGCACAAGTTTCACAACAGTCACACCTGGACGTGTCAGCTCACCACTACAACAGACTAAGTCACAGATGAAGGGGGCTGGCTTTGGGGCTGGGGGAGCCACTGCCAAGTCACAGAACAGCCGCCCAGGCAGGCTTGGAAAGGGAGGCCTCCGAGAAGAGGAGGGATCTGTTTAGAGGTCGAAGGGGGGCGTGGGGCTCTCAGGATGGGATGGACTTGCGTGACCCGATCGGCTGGCAGTTGGAGAGAAAGCAGAGAGAAAAGAGGAGAGACAAAAGGGAGCAGAGAGCTGGTGAGGCCAGTGCGGAGCACAGGTGTGCCACAGCAGCTGTGGGAGGGCCAGGGAGGGGAGGGCGCAGGTGCGGCTGTGGCAAGGTTCCTGGAAAAGAGGGGCTGGAAGGGAAAGGGGAGGAAGATGGAGGGAGGAGCCGGAGCTTCACAGGTAGTGCCTGGGGACTGTGGCGGCCCTCCCCACCCCACACATGCTGGCCTCTTCCATTGCACCCAGGCAGTGTACCCACAGGTCAGACCAACGCTCGGCCCCTTTGGGCTTCCCTCTTCTCTGGTCACCAACCAACTTGTCTTCCAAGTCGTCTTCCAACCTGTCTTCCAACCAACTGGTCCAGGGCCACCTCTCACCTTGGGGAGCCCAACGTAACAGCCACCAGGCCTGACAGAAGGAACATCGCTCGAACAAGGATGATGAAGCTAAATGGGATGGATGGTTGGAGTGATCGCCGGAGCCCCCTCTGGGTGGTCAGGAAGCTCAGGACCCTCTGAAGGGACCCTGGGGGAGGCAGGGTGGGCAGGCAGCCGGATGCCACTGGCTATAAACTTATAAGTCTAAGAGGGGAGCCTCAGCTTGTTGGAGATTGCAGGTCCCATAGGTGAGGCTGGGTCCTTCCTCCCAGGGAAAGAAGAGGGAGACCATGGCAAGGGAGGTGGGTGGGCTTGCTGGGCAGAGCTCAGCTGGGCCAGCAGGCACTGTGCTCCCCTCGGCTGAATAGCAGGGCCAACCTCTAGGAGCAACAAGCCAAGGTGCGTGAGCCTGCTGGCTGGTGGTAGTGCTTCAGCGGAGCCCAGGGACCCTGCCTTCAGTCACATGCTAGCAGCTATGATGGTACCTGGGAGGGAGGGAAGGGGGCTGTGTGCCCCTACCTGACCTGTGAGGTGTGTTTTGGGTTGACCGTGTGTATGGGACTCTCGAGGTTTTATCCTAGATCACCACTGTTTTGCCGACAGATAGAGGAGGTGGGACCCTATCACCCCTGCTCTGCAGTGGATTTGGCTGTCAGCACTCCAAGGCATCCAGGCTGGGAGCTGGATGCCCCACCCTGGCAGCATGGCTCAGACAGCACAAAAGGCATGGCGTGCCCAGGATGACATTCCTGGGCCTCTGGCCACCTCAGAGTACAGCCCCACACACAACCCCCTCCAAGCTCTCAGCCCTTACACCATAAACCACGAGCTCCCTGACGGCTCCAGAGACCACCCACATCTGCCAGCTTGGGCACGGAGCCTGTTCCAAGAGCCCCCAGGCTCAGCCATGGGGGCTGGGGAGCCTTGGGGCCATGGGGGCCAGCCCTGGTACCTGCGTCTGGCAAGGACGCTCTGCACCTGCAGCCAGGAGTTGTCCATGGGCCCCCATGTGCGTGCTGATGGTGGTTGTGTTGATGTCACCGATGATGCTGAGCACCTCCTTCAGCACGTGGTACATGCGCAGCATCTCATCTCGCCACTGTGCCTGCTCTGCCAACTCCTCCATCAGCGTGTTCTGGTTCCCATGCAAGTACAGGTTGGACAGCAACTCTGATAATATGAACTCCTTGGTCTGAGAGGGGGCAAAGAGGGAAGGAGGTTGGGACCTGATGCATGTGCTGGCCTGATGCCTGTGCTGGGACAGTGTGCTGGACTTGGAGCCCTGAGTATGGCTTTGCACACGCGGCTTCTACACCGCTTAGACTCAAAGATCTGCCGCCCCACCGCCCTTTTCTCACTCAGATAGGGACACTGAGGTCCAGAGGAAAAGTCACCTGTCCAAGGTCACAGATCTGGGAGGGGACACAGGACCTATCATGCCACCAGGACACCTGTCTACTCAGTTTTTTTAAATAAAATTTTTGGAGAGAGGATCTCACTGTGTTGCTAGGCTGGAGTACAGTGGGTGAGATCACCGCTCACTGCAGCCTCAACCTCTTGGGCTCAAAGTGACCCTCAAATGTCAGCCTGTCGAGTAGTTAGGACTATAGGCACGTGCCATCACCAAGCCCAGCTATTTTTAAAATATTTGTGTAGAGACCAGGTCTCACTATGTTGCCAAGGCTGGTCTCGAACTCCTGGGCTCAAGCTATCCTCCTGCCTTGGCCACCCAAAGTGCTGGGATTACAGGCATGGGCCACTGTCCTCAGTACCATGTTATATTTCTATGAGACAGATCTGGTCTGGACCGTGCCTCCCTCCCTGGACCTGGTCCCATAGGGCTGGCCAGCATCTCCCCCTGGCCAACATGGCCACCTGCATCCCCAATGCCACAGGAGCCCCCTGCTCCCATGAGGCGGTGCATGCCTGTTGTTGATCATGACGTGCATGATGGTCTTGGGCGTGACACCAACCATGAGGTCCCACACGGTCTTGTTGACAATGGCCGCGTAGGAGTCCACCAGGTTCTGCGTGGTTTCCATTTGCCGCTCCAGCTGTGGGTCCATGGAGTGCATGAAGCTGTCGGAGCCATTCTCCTCGGCCTTGCTGTCCTGTCATGGAGAACACAAGGGCATCAGGGTGGCCAGGCCATGCAGCCAGGCTCCAGGAATCCCTAGGATCTCAGCCCCTCCAAGGTGTACCTGGAACATTGAGGCACAGAGAAAAGCAACTGGCCTGAATACACACCCAGCTCCCCACATGGCTCTAGACGGTTTCAGGCCTCTGCCTCTCAGGACCCCAGACTCCCCTGATTCAGTCTCGTCTAAGTTCTGACTCTAGTGCCCAGAATTTGCCTCAAGTTACCAATCCAGAAATTGGAAAAGAACATCTCCAGCTCCCTTGCTTGGAGACCTGGCCAGAGCTTGTGCCAGGCTGCAGACGCCTGGCAGGAGGCAAGAAAAGGGCATACTCACTTTCCCCTTGCCCTGGGAGGCCCATGCACCAACACTGCCACCGCCGCTGCCACCATGGAACACGGCAAAGGAGACACACACAGAGAGGAAAACGGGAAGGGTTGAGTGAACCTGCAACACTGCACCCCAACTTTAATGCGTTGTGGAATTCAGTTAGCTCATATTTTGTTGAGGATTTTTGCATCAATATTCATCAGTGATATTGGCCTGTAGTTTTCTTTTTTGGATATATCTTTGGTTTTGGTATCAGGGTGACACTAGCCTTGTAGAAAGAGTTTGGAAGTATTCCCTTCTTCTCTGTTTTTGGAATCGTTTGGGTAAGGTGGGTATTAGTTCTTCTTTAAATGTTTGCTAGAATTCAGCAGTGAATCATCAGGTCCCAGGCTTTTCTTTGCTGGGAGATTTTTACTACCACTTTCATCCCATTATTTGTTATTGGTCTGTTCAGGTTTTGGCTTTCGTCATGGTTCAATCTGGGTAGTCTGGTTGTGTCTGGAAATTTATCCATTTTTAATAGGTTTTCCTATTTCTTTGCCTATAGTTGCTGATAATAGCCACTAGTGATCCTTTGAGGTTTTGTTTGTTTGTTTGTGTGTTTTTTGAGGTGGAGTCTCGCTCTGTCTCCCAGGCTGGAGTGCAGTGGCGTGATCTTGGCTCACTGCAAGCTCTGCCTCCGGGGTTCACGGCATTCTCCTGCCTCAGCCTCCTGAGTAGCTGGGACTATAAGCATCTGCCACCACGCCCGGTTAATTTTTGTTATTTTTAGTAGAGACGGGATTTCACTGTGTTAGCCAGGATGGTCTCGATCTCCTGACCTCATGATCCACCTGTCTCAGCCTCCCAAAGTGCTGCGATTACAGGCGTGAGCCACCGCGCCTGGCCTGAGTTTCTGTAGTATCAGTTGTCATGTTTCCTTTTGTTTGTCAAGGTTGTGTGTCTTTTCAAAAACCCAACTTTTAAAAAAATTATTTTATATTACTTTATTTTATTTTATTTTATTTGCAGACAGAGTCTTGCTCTGTCACCCAGGCTGGAGTGCAGTCGTGCAATCTCAGCTCACTGCAACCTCTGCCTCCCAGGTTCAAACGATTCTCCTACCTCAGCCTCCTGAGTAGCTGGAATTACAGGCATGCTCCACCACGCCTGGCTAAGTTTTGTATTTTTAGTAGAGACGTCATTTCACCATGTTAATCAGGCTGGTCTTCAACTCCTGACGTCCTGAACTGCCCATCTCGGCCCCGCAAAGTGCTGGGATTATGGGTGCGAGACATCGCACCCGGCCCACAGTTTGTTGTTAAATTTTACTTATTTCCTTTTTTTTTTTCTTTAGAGACAGGGTCTCATTCTGTTGCCCAGGCTGGAGTGCAGTGGTGCAACCATGGCTCACTGTTACCTTGAACACCTAAACTCAAGACATCCTCCCACCTCAGCCTTATGAGTAGCTGGGACTAGGAGCCTGCACAACCACACCCAGCTAATTTTTCTAGTTTCTGTAGAGACAGGGTTTTGCTGTGTTGTCCAGGCTGGTCTTGAATTCCTGGCCTCAAGCAATCCTCCTGCCTCAGCCTCCCAAAGTGCTGAGATTACAGGCATGAGCCACCATGCCCGGCCTATATATACATTTCCTTTTCCAAGTTATATAAAGTATGCTGTATGCATCCTTCTGGAATTTGTTTTTTTCCCCTTAATAGTATATTGTTCAGATTCTTATTGTTGCTTATAGCTGGCTTTTATTCTTTTGACTGCTTGTGACATCACCAGAAGATAGAGATCCTGGAGATCTCTTAAGAACTGCTGTTGGGCCGGGCGCAGTGACTCACACCTGTAATCCCAGCACTTTGGGAGGCCGAGGCAGGTGGATCACAAGGTCAGGAGGTCGAGACCATCCTGGCTAACACAGTGAAACCCCGTCTCTACTAAAAAAATAAGAAAAAATTAGCCACGCATGGCGGCGGGCACCTGTAGTCCCAGCTACTCAGGAGGTTGAGGCAAGAGAATGGGGTGAACCCAGGTGGCAGAGCTTGCAATGAGCCAAGATCGTGCCACGGCACTCTAGCCTGGGCGGACCCTGTCTCAAAAAAAAAAAAAAAAGAACTGCTGCCTGCTGCTGGGAGCATACACTGGTATGACCACCTTGGAAAACAGTTTGGCTCCATCTCATAAGGTTGAATATTCACACTCCTCCCCGCCCAGCAACTCTACTCTACATCCAAGACAAATTCTTGACTATATAAAACAGGGGATGTGGACAAGGCATGCAGCTCTGTTCAAAATAGCAAAAACTTATTGCCCATCAACTGGAGAGTAGCTGACTAAATTGTGCTTTTTCTTCCCTTTGATTTTCTGTAGTCTTACGATGCAAGTGGCTTTCCCATGGCTAGCTTGGGGAGGGGGATACTGTTGGCAATCGAGTCTGGGGTGGCAGTCCTGCTTAGCCCTAGGGCAATCGGTGCTGCCCAAAACAAGAGTAAACAGAACAAGTTACCCAGTCGAGCCAATGCCTTGGGTCCCTGGAGGTACAGACTTGTACCTGTAGGAAATAGCCATCATACACATCAGTCTTTTCAAATGCTTTTGTCACCGGGCTGAGTCCAAAGGACATCCTCTCCCAAAACATTACAAAGTTTACTGGGGCTACCATTTATCGAGCATTTATCATGTGCCTGAGCATGTACTAGTGTACCGATTGCATGCATTATTTTATTTGTTTGTTTATTTATTTATTTACTTATTCATTTCTTTGAGATAGGGTCTCTTTCTGTTGCCTGGGCTGGAGTGCAGTGGTGCGATCACGGCTCACTGCATCCTCAAACTCCTGGGCTCAATTGGTCTCACCTCAGCCTCCCGAGTAGCTGGGACTACAGGCATAAGCCACCAAGTCCAGCTAATTTTTAAATAAACATCTTTAAATAAACATTTTAAATAAATGAGGTTTGGCTTTGTTGCCCAGGCTAGTCTTGAACTCCCGGCTTCAAGCCAGCCTCCTCCTTCCGCCTTATTGTTGCATTGAATCTTCACCATCACCCTATAAGAGTGCCTGGGGGTAGGTGCTCCACACAGTAACAACGTAGCAACCTCCACTCATAGGTGACAACGAGATTCAGTTTAGTCAAACAGCTTCTCAAAGGTCACACAGTTGGAGGGTGGCTGGGCCAAGATGAAGACCTAGGACTCTAAAGCTGGTGCGCCAGTAAATGAGAAAAATCTCTGGGGGTTCAGGATCGCTTCCTCCCAAGAAATCTTTCTCCAAAGGTTCTAAAAACAATGACAGATCCATCTTTCATAAAGCAAACAAAACTAGCAGCCCCTTCATTTTGGGGGTGGGGAGTGGGGGGAGGATAAAGGTTAGCTAAGCTCCAGGGCATCCCATTTTAATCCTACATATTTATAAGGCAACTGCCAGCACAGCACCCCAAACCTAAAGAACCCTGCACAGCTGTCTCTGTGGGGCATGGCGTGTCTATGGGTGTAAAGATTTTCCAATGTGTGCTTACAGGCCAGTGGCATCATCCTCAGTCACAGGTTAAAGGGCAGCTAGGGCTGGCCTGCTGGGCACCACCGTGAGAATCTGCGGAGCTTTCCAACTAGTTTACCTGTAGTTTGCAGCGACAGACGCCCTGAAAAGAAGGGGTGTGGGTGGGAAGAGTTGTGATTTGAGGTCCCCTGATCCGGGCACGATCTCTTTTCCCAGTCTCAGGAATCAGGGGACTCCATCTGTAAACACAGGCTCAAGCTATGTCCCCCAGCACCCTCTTTCAACCAGGCGCTACCCTCTGCTTCTCTTCCATAGACAGCCCAGAGCTGCCAGCATTCCCTTAGGATCTGTGCCCTCAGGCCTGGCTTAATTTTTTCCTCTCCAAAGAGCCATCTGTAGGGCCAGAGCCCGGCAAAGCCTAACTCATTACTGGATGTCAGTTCCTTTGCCTGACTTTCAGTGATTCCTACCTTAACCTGGGGTTTTATGTTTCTCGTCTCAACGCTAACATTTCTCATTCCTCCACGAGTTGAATTGCTCACTCCAGCCAACTGACGCATGCTTTTCTTGACAGTTAGCTTGAGGCACACGGTTGGTGCTTTAAAAAAAAAAGCATTATGTCAATTTCATTGATCAACAAAAGTGATGGCTCCACTGCAAAGCTGATAGTGCCTGGACCTCTGAGTTCAAGAGCCTTCTAGACAAAGGGCTCTGAGCTGAAACGTGAGCATGCACACATATGCCTCCCTCTCGGTCTGATGAGATAATTTGCATACTTGGTTGTTATCCTTGAGCATTTTCCTGCCTCATTAGTGCACGTGTAGCCAACACAATAATAATCATAGCTAATAACGGCTAAGGCTGAGGACTTTCCTTAGCCAGGTAGTCGCTTTAAAAACTTTAAAGTTTTCACTAGACTCTCATTGAATCATTTCTCTTTTTCAGATCAAGAAACTGAGACTTACTATCACATTCGGGATGAAGTTAAAACAAAAAAAGAAACTGGGGCTTAAAGCTGTCAAGTATTTCACAGCCAGCAAGTGGCTACGTTGGAACTTGAACCCAGGCAGTCTAGCCCTGGGATCCAGTGTTGACTACGCAAAACTAAAGTGTACATGTTTTCAACTACAGTTTAAGTGGGTGACATATTTTTCACTATATTTTATGTAGGTGACTTTCAGTTTGGGGGTATTCTACTTACACAATCTATTGAGCTGGATATTAACTGAGAACAAAAAGAAACTAATGAACTCCGAAAAACATAAAACATGAGCAACATGATGTCACCGCAAAAGACAAATCAGCACAGAGCCTTCTTGGGACTGTATTTTGCTGACCGTCCAGGAACGAGTTATCATCTGCCTGAACTCAGCAGTGCTCTGTTCCCTTGGGACACACACACACACACACACACACACACACACACACACACACAGAGAGAGAGAGAGAGAGAGAGAGAGAGAGAGAGAGAGAGAGAGAGAGAGAGTTAGTGGCTGTGCCGCCCTGAGCTTCCAGTCGGCGAGTGTGAGGAAGGAACCAGATGGGTCGGGCAGAAAGGTGCTGGGTCAAGGGAGGAGGGGGCAGCCGGGAGCGCGCGCACGCTCTGGACTCGTGCACCCGCCGAAACTGGTGCGCGCAGGGCCCGCCTGGTTGAGGGGTGAGGGGTGAGGGTGACGGGGGCAGGGTAGGGGCAGCCCTTTCCCAGGCGGTAGTGGGGGCAGTGGTTATGTTGCCCTTTGAAGCTGCGGCTTGACAGGAGCCGCGCCTCCTGTGGGTGGAGTCGGTTACAAAGGGAGCAGCCCCCCAGGCCGCCACACAGCTCCCGCCAAGGCCTCCGTGCCCTTGCCATTTTCCAGCCGCGCTCCCACAAGGGTCCAGGCGGCAGGCAGAGGCAGAGTCGCGAAAGCTCGGCTGGGCGGCCCCGCTGGGTAGTCGCGGCCGTGACAGCGGCTCCGGACAGGCTCCCCTTCCGCGCCCCTCCCGCCGTAGATGAGTGGAAGATGTCCGTGTCAGGGTTCAAGGCCAAAGGGAAGTTTCTGGGACTATCTTCCACAAGAACCAGGAGCCGCAGCCCCCGCTCACGCTCCACTGCAACATGACTGTGAGGCGCCCGGCGGCGGCCTCGCGGGGCAGGGCGAGGGCAGAGAGGGGGCGCCCGGAGTCCCAGGACAAAGGGGAGCCTTCCCCAGAGAGGCCCCAGTTCCCCGCCCCTTTCTCCCGCAACTGGCCCAGCCCCGGCCCGGGACTGCCGGAGGCTTGGGTGGGAGGAGAGGGGAGGGCGCGTCTCTCCGACTCCTCGCGTGGCGTAAGCTTGGGGGCTGTTGGCCCCTCTAGGCCCCCGTCGCCGCGCCCCGAGGTGGGAGCCCGCGACTGCCGGAGCCTTCTTGGGACCCATGGTCGCCCTCAGTCGGCCAGCCTGCTCCGGAGACCGCGACAGGGCGGTGCAGGGCGGCTCCGGCGTTTTTTGAGCCCAGGCGGGGAAGGGGAAAGACCTTTAAGATTTTCGGTATTTTGGCTGGGCGCAGTGGCTCACGCCTGTAATCCCTTTGGGAGGCAGAGGCGGGCGATCACCTGAGGTCAGGAGTTAGAGACCAGCCTGGCCAACATGGTGAAACTCCGTCTCTACTAAAATATACAAAACTTATCCAGGCGTGTTGGCAGGAGATTTAATCGCGGCTACTTGGGAGGCAGAGGCAGGAGAATCGTTTGAACCCGGGAGGCGGAGGTTGCAGTGAGCTGAGATCCAGCCGTTGCACTCAAACTTGGGGGATAAGAGGGAGACTTCTCTCAAAAAAAAAAAAATTCTTTTTTCTTTTGAGGGAGTCTCACTCTGTCACCCAGGCTGGAGTGCAGTGGCGCGATCTCGGCTCATTGCAGCCTATCTCTCTTGACAGTCCACTGGTTAAAGCGATTCTGCTGCCTCAGCCTCCCGAGTAGCTGTGATTACAGGCGCCCGCCACCACGCCTGGCTAACTTGTGTTTTTAGTAGAGACGGGGTTTCACCGTGTTGGCCAGGCTGGTCTCAAACTCCTGACCTCAAATGACCCACCTCTGCCTCCCAAAGTGCTGGGATTCCAGGTGTGAGCCACCGCGCCAGGACCCAAGGCCCTTAAGTTTTAACGCCTCATTCTTCAGTCAGGTTTTCCTTGCTCCCGCGTGTTCAGCCAATTGGTTTCAAGTTTGTGTTGAAGGAGAAACTAACAATGAAAACGGAGTCGTTGATGGAAGAAAAGTTGGAATGCAGCCTCTGGTGCTGTTTGAGTGATCCCTCTCCCCAGGGGCTGGCTGCGCACTGCTGTGTTCTGGAAAGGCGCATTGTATGGTAGATGCCGCAGGTAAGAGTCCTGTACAGGTGCTCTGCCCGCTTTTCCTTTCAGGCTTCTGTATCAGCTGTTTTTCCCTTGTAGAATGTGCCCCTGACCTGTGCCCCTGACCTCCACCCTTTAACCCTACCCAACTCGTCTTTACACGTCTGACCATCAAGGCTCTTCTGGGTCATATTGAGTTCATGCTGATATTTTCCCTTCCTCCCCTCTTCAGTCCTTACTATTTTTGTTTTGGTCACGTTATGCTATATTCTGTAAGCCTTTAAGAAATTCTTTTATGGTGGCAGGGGAGAATATTTTGTAATTATGCTTTGTGCTTTTTATCTTCCACTCAATAAGTGCTTGGTAAATATTTGTTTTATTGAGTATATGACCCTATTCTAGCTATATTGTGCTTGAACAAAAATCTTAACTGCCCTGTAAGTTAACTGCTAAGAATTTGTCAAAAGTGCAGAGATGACATCCAGAACTTGTCATGGATAGTGCAAAAAGGTCTCTAAGGGCTTGATGGAGGTGTGTAAATGGACTTCATGTGAAAGAGTGTAAGAAGCGAAAATGTGAAGCATGACTGGAGAGCCGGAGAGATAAAGCAAGGGTCTCTTTCTCCAGATCCTTTGTAACAGTGTCATGTGACCTCTTCTTGAAGATCGTTCTGAAAGATAATGCCACCCTGGAACCTAGGAAATCACCCAGTGGGTTTCTGCAGGTTAGGTGCTTCAAATCCTCATCAGCACCTTTGTTTTCTCTGCCTCTGTTTGCTCACAACGATGTTCTCAGTAGCTGTAATTGCTGTCTTTGAATACTTAAGCATTTTTTTTAGATCACAGGGGTATATGTGCATTTTTATTTTACGAAGTGTTAGAATTTTTACTCCGCTTTTGTGGGCTCTGCGTTAGCTACTTGGTTGTTTAGTTGTAAAATGATTAGCAGGGAAAACTGTGTGTGTGTCTGTGTGTGTGTGTATTTTAAGGTTCTCTTGTTGTCAGAGCACTTAGAATTTTATTTTATATGGTAATTCTGTCAGTTTACTTTATTCTCCAGCCCACATTTATTGAACAGCAAAGTATGAAAGTGATGTGTCCCATAACCAGCCTTCAGAGGAATTACAACTGCTGTATGTCTGAACTTAGAATTACAACTGCTGTATGTCTGAACTTAGAATTACAACTGCTGTATGTCTGAACTTTATTTTCTTTTCCTTTTTTTTTTTTTTTTTTTTTTTTTTGAGTTGGAGTCTCACTCTGTCACCCAGGCTGGAGTGCAGTGGTGTGATCTCGTCACACTGCAACCTCCGCCACTCCGGTTCAAGTGATTCTCCTGCCTCAGCCTCCTGAGTAGCTGGGATTATAGACACCTGCCACACCACCCGGCTAATTTTTGCAGTTTTAGTAGAAACAGGTTTCACCATCTTGGCTAGGCTGATCTCGAACTCCTGACCTCGTGATCCACCTGCCTCAGCCTCCTAAAATGCTGGGATTACAGGCATGAGCCACCATGCCTGGCTGAACGTTCAAGAAGAAGTTTGTGCATCAATTTTTTAAAAATTGTGATGTCAAAAGATAGCTGTGTCCTACACTTGGAAAGATACAAAAACTGCACATTCTGGCAGGTAGTTTTGCTTGCTGGTGCTTGAGATAGAGCCATACATTGATCTCAGTGGATTTATGGAGAAAAATAGATAGAGAAAGTTATTTCTAAATAAGACCAAAAAGTCCTTTTCTTAAGCAGTGACAGGTAAAGAGGTTGTCTTGGTTAACCTTGAAATGTGTTGCCCTTGATTAAGACAGTTTTATGGTGGGGATGGTAGTGGTGATAAACTTGTTTGAAATTTGTCCACTTATAGTAACCTTTGTGGTAGCTGTCACAGACAACTTCATCCTCACAGGCCTTAAAATTACTATAAAATTAATAGAATAGAGGAGAAACAAAGGACCTGAATAATTAGATGCTTAGATAATGGTAATGTGTTTTCATAACCGGTGAAGAAGAGCAGTGTTAGAAGCCTTTAAACATTCTATGTAAGGAACACTGCCTGAATTTATATTGCAATTTTTGAGCACCATTCATTGTTTAAAAACTGGTATATTGTAGGTCATATTTTAAAGACAAATAGAAAACTTTTTTCCAGATGGATATAAAGCTTAACCTTAACAAAATTACAAAATTTAAAGCATATGATTGAAAAATATTAATGCATAGGTTTAAATATTGGTCGTCATTTTAGATGTCTTTCAAAATAGATTGTCTCTTAAACTGAACAAACTTTGAACATGTTGTAGCATTTGTGCTGAAGGTTAAGTTTCCTGAGGAGGTGGATATTTTATAATATGGATAACAAAGCCTTATTTTAAGAAATTTAGAAAATGTTTAGGCAAAACTAGAAAATGTTACCGATAATTCTCCCACTCAGAAGGTACCACTATCAGAATTTTGTATTTTTCCAGTCATCTGCTCATCTCTTTTCTCCTGTGCTTGTATGTGTTCCCTCTCCCTTGAAAAATCAGATTTTTTTGTAATCTGCTTTTTCACTCAACAATATTGTAGATCCACATCATAACTTACTCCTCTACAGTGGCTTCAGTTATTGTGTGTTTTCTGTTGGATGACTATACCATCTAGTCCATCATGTTTCCTGGTACTAAATACATAGGGGTGTGTGTGTGTGTGTATTTTTTTCTACCTTAACTAATGCTTTAGACGTCATTAGGTAGAGCTAAATCCTTGAAACCTTCCAAGTGGTGGCTTTCAGTTCTCATTGCTGAATTGGTTTCTAGAGATGGAACAAATTATATTGTATGGAACCTTTTTTTGTTTTTGAGATGAAGTCTTGCTCTTGTCACTCAGGCTGGAGTGCAATGGCATGATCTTGGCTCACTGCAACCTCTCCCTCCTGGGTTCAAGCAATTCTCCTGCCTCAGCCTCCCAAGTAGCTGGGATTACACGTGCCTGCCACCACGCCTGGCTAATTTTTGTATTTTTAGTAGAGACGGGGTTTCACCATGTTGGCCAGGCTGGTCTCAAACTCCTGACGTCAGGTGATCCACCCGCCTCGGCCTCCCAAAGTGCTGGGATTACAGGCATGAGCCACCATGCCTGGCCTTTTTTTCTTCTAGGTACCAGCTTTTATTTATCAGTTTGGTAAAAATGTTAGAAAGTGTGCAATAAAATGGGCATTCTCACAGTTGTGGCACAAAGTATAATTATCTTTGACTTTCTAGGAAGCAGTTTGGCTTTGTAGAAACTTGCCTAACCTCTCCCCTTTGAGGCAAGATGAATTCTGACTATCCCAAGGTGGCCAACCTTGTCCCTGTGATTCCAGATCTCCCAGAAAAAGAGGTCTAGTCTCAGAGAAAACCCAGATTTTCTTGGCTTAGCCCACCTTGACAGCTAAGCACTGGAAATGGGGTGGGCTGGTAGAGTCCTTTGGTCAGATTTTGTGTCAAGACAGGGAGGTGGAAAGATGGGAGGGAGGTAGCAAAACTGGCCTGAATGGAACTCTGTAAGTTAAAATGGCAAAGGGATGTTCCTTCCAAGGAAGAAATTCTAGGGAAGGCAGGAAAGTGGAGGGGAAGGCAGCAGTTCTCAAAGTTTTGGAATCAGGACTCCTTTACATTCTTAAAAATATATTGAGGGCCCAAGGAGCTTTGGTTTATGTAGGTTATATCTACTGGTATTTATCATTAGAAATTAAATCAGAAATATTTAAACTATTCTTTAAAAGCTCACCACGTATTGTTATAAATGTTTTTATGAAAAAATTTCTAAACCCAAAGTAGCACAATCTTATATTTTTTGCAAATTTCCTTGATGTCTGGTATGTCATTTTCATCTGCATTCAATTTATTGTGTGATATTTCCTTGAAGAAATGTGAACAATGTCCAATCTCATACAGATAGCCATTTTAGATCATTGTGGATATATATATATTTATATATTTATATATATATATAAATTTTGTTTTTTGAGATGGGGTCTTGCTCTGTCGCCCAGACTGGAATGCAGTGGTGTGATCACAGCTCACTGCAGCCTCAGTCTCTGGGGACTTAGGTGATCCTCCCACCTCAGCCTCCAGAGTAGTTGGGACTACAGGTGTGTATCACCACACCTGGCTAATTTTTTGTATTTTTTTTTTTCGTAGGGACAGGATTTTGCCATGTTGCCTAGGCTTCTTTTTTGATACTCCATCAAAACTTGGTTTTTCTTGAACTTTGGATCTTTTACCCTTGCATGATATTATAACATCATGCATTGGTCATTTAGAAAATAATGGTTCACCGAGATCTTCTACATGTTGATACATTTGATTATACAGTATCAAAATACATTCATCAATATCACCATCAATCTCAGCAGAATACTTTTGGAAAGCAATGGTGGATATATTTTCTAAAATTCTAATTTTTTATTCAGAAGCTTTAATTTTATTATTAGCAGTTTTATTATTGAATTTTATTATGGCCTGTCTGTTGTTTTTCTTGAAATGACAGAACCTCATTTTTTGAGAAAATGTCTCCCAAAAACCCCAGTTGAAATAACATTGTTTGTCAGTACTCCTTTCAAGTAAAAATGATACTCCATTAAAGTGGTTAATTCACTTCAAGACTTAGTCACATGAGGGTTTTTCCTCAGGCAGTCTGTAGGAATGCTCATGTGTGCTTCCAATTTCATCACTTGAAATATTAAAAAGACATATTCAAGGATTAAGATGTAGTAAAATTTTCACTGCTTCATCATAGACATTCTTTTTATTTTTGAGACAGGACCTTGTTCTGTCACCCAGGCCAGAGTGCAGTAGGATGATCACAGCTCACTGTAGCCTCAACCTTCTGGGCTCAATCCTCCTGTCTCAGCCTTCCAAGTAGCAGGGACTACAGGCATGCAACCACCATGTCCAGCTAAATTTTGTATTTTTTGTAGAGATGGGGTTTAACCATGTTGGCCAGGCTGGTCTCAAATTCCTGACCTCTGGTGATCCTCCCACCTCAGCCTCCCAAAGTGCTGGGATTACAGGCGTGAGACACTGCCCAACCTGCCCTTCTTTTTCAAACCTTTCCTGTGCATAGTGAAGAATACTATGATTACTAGTAGTTTGGTGTTACTGCCTTTATTTGTGCTAAACTGCCCGCATTTTTACCCGGTATTGTATTAGCACCCTTACACCAAATGTCGCCATGTTAGTATTCCTGTTAAAATAGTTTGGACCTGGGTGTCTGAGGGCCCCACTGTGGGAACCATTGAAATAGGTACTTAAACTTACTATATATCATATCTTTTCATCTACAAGATTTTTAAAATAATAATTTCATTTAATTTTTTCTGTAATTTTTAAAATACGGTTTTGAGGAGTTTCAGTTCAAAGCAACACATATTTTATTTTGCTTAAGCTGAAGTTTACTAGACAAATACTGACCTAATAGAATGAGGACCTAAATCTAGTTGCAGTTTCTCTAGGAAAAAAAAAACAAAAACCCAAAAGTAAAAATGTAAAAATGGTCCATATGGTGTAGTCCCAATGTATGCTGAAGAATTTGAAGAGGAAAATGCAATACTCAGTAAGTGCTGTTCTTTATGAATAGGATTAATTCTGAACAGTTTCTTTTAGCCTGTAAAGAGATTTGGGACACAGTAAGAGAGGAATGAGAATATAGTAAAATAAACCATTATTGAAGAGATATACTGTTAATGATGTCCTCTTTCAATACAACTTGTTTCTTTTCTTCTTCATCTTCTTTTTTTTTTTTTTGAGACAGAGTCTTGCTCTGTCACCAGGCTGGAGTGCAGTGGCACAATCTCAGCTCACTGCAACCTCCACCTCCCTGGTTCAAGCAATTCCCCTGCATCAGCCTCCTGAGTAGCTGAGACTACAGGCATGTGCCACCATGCCCGGCTAATTTTTTCTTATTTTAGTAGAGACAGGGTTTCACCATGTTGGCCAGGATGGTCTCAATCTCCTGACCTCATGATCCACCCACCTCGGCCTCCCAAAGTGCTGAGATTACAGGCGTGAGCCACCATTCCTGGCTAACTTGTTTTTCTTAAAAGAACCTTCAGTAAATATTTGGTTTCTGTGGCCTCAGCTATAATTCAGATTACAGTTTTCAAAGCAGTGTTTCCTAAAGTTGTTTGTGCGAAATTGTTTTCCATGACTTGAACCTAGTTGTTCTGAAGCTAATATAATAATGGCTTTTCCCCAATTCATAATAGAAAACAGTACAAAGTCACAGACTATTAGATGGGGGATGGAAGAAGGACAAGGGTTGAAAAAGTAACTATTGCATACTATGCTCACCATCTGATTAATGGATACATTTGTACTCCAAACCTGAGCATCAAGTAGTATCCCATATAACAAATCTGCATATGTACCCACTAAATCTAAAATAGATGTTGAAAAAAAAGTTTTTCCATATCAGCAATAATTGAATTGAAGGTGTAAAAGTGTAATAAAAATTGAGACACTACAAAGTATCTTGTAGTTAAGCTACAAAAAAAAATCCTAAAACCATCTATATAGAAAATTTTAGGAATTGATCTTAAAGGAAATCCAAATAAGTGGAGAATTATCATGTTAATGGATGTGATAAATTAATATTAAATTACATTATTTTTCCAGTAAATCTAATATGGTCATTGATTTTAAAATGTGCGTAGACTATTAATTTTTAATAAATAACTTGATTAATTTTTTAAAATGCGGAGGGTTGGACTTGCCTTATCAGACGTCGGAACTTATTACAAATATATGGGGAAAAATGCAGTAACTGGTGAATTTTTCATTTCCATTAAGAAATACTGGATCTGGCCTTGTGCGGTGGCTCATGCCTGTAATCCAGCACTTTGGTAGGCTGAGGAGGGCAGATCATCTGAGGTCAGGAGTTCAAGACCAGCCCTACCAACATGGTGAAACCCCCTCTCTAGTAAAAAAAAAAAAAAAAATTAGCCAGGTGTGGTGGCAGGTGCCTGTAATCCTAGCTACTCAGGAGGCTGAGGCAGGGAGAATCCCTTGAACCTGGGAGGTGGAGGTTGCAGTGAGATTGCACCACTGCCCTCCAGCATGGGCGACAGAGCAAGACTATGTCTCAAAAAAAAAAAAAAAAATGCTGGATCTCACTGGCAATGGAAAGGGAAAGGAACGTTACTGATGGCAACATATTACTAATGATAAATAAGCACATGAAAAGATACTCAATATCATATGTCATTAGAAAATTGCAAACCAAAACAATGAGATGCTACTACATAGCTCTTATAATGGCCAGAATCCAAAATAGCAACACAACTGAGTGCTGGTAAGAACAATGAGCAGAAATAACTTATTCATTGCTAGTTGGGATGCAAAATGGTACATCCACTTTGGAAGACAGCTTAGCAGTTTCTTATGACACTAAGCACACTCTTAGCCTATGATTCCATAATTGTGCTCATTGGTATTTGCCAAATGAGTTGAAAACTTATGCCCACACAAAACGTGCACACAAATGTTTATACCAGTGTTATTCATAATTACCAAAACAGAAACAACCAAAGGACCTTTCAATAGGCAAATGGACTAACACTGTACGGTGTAGCCATACAATGGAATATTAACCAGTTCTATATAAAAAAAGAGCTATCAAGCCACAAAAAGTCATGGAAGAACTTTAAATGCATATTACTGAGTGAAAGAAGCCAATATGAAAGCCTACACACTATGTGGTTGCAAGTATATGACATTTTGAAAAAGGCAAAACTGTGGAGACAGTAAAAAGATCAGTCATTTCCAGGGGTTCCTGGGGAGGAAAGAAAGGAGGAATAACTAGGTAGAGCACAGGGGATTTTTAGGGCAGTGAAACTATAATCCTGTGTAACATTGTCATGGTGGGTACATCTCTGTTAAAATCCATAAAATGGACACCACAAAGAGTGAACCCTAATATAATTATGAACTTTAGATAAAAATAATTTATCAACGTTTTCTCATCACTTGTAACAAATGTAACACACTAATGTTAAAAATACCACAAGATGTTAAAAATAGGAGAAATGGGGGTGGAGTGAGAGAGTCTACAGACAGGCACTTTAACTTTCACTAATTTTTGCCTCTAAACATAAAACAGCTCAAAAAGTAATGTCTATTAATTTATATCTATATATAAAATATATCTGTGGTTACTACAATGTCTTTTTGAAATTAATACACAGTGAGAGATTGTGTCTAAGAACTGACATGGTCTTGAATTTGAATAACAACATTGAAATACAATATTAGTGTATTTAACTATAAATTAAGAAAATAAATTTTTCATATATGAATTGTTTATAACTCTTTATTGAAATAACACCCACATCAATCCTCATCAGTTCTGAGGCCCACATAATAATTAAAGGCCTCCAGCAGGTCCAATTTCATTCATTCCTAGAACCAATGAGTTTCACTCTTGCAGGCCATGAGTAGCAGTTCTTCAATGGACAATGAGATCTAGAAGGAGAAAGATGTGTTCTATTTCTTTGTGACTAGTGTCCTAAGTCATGGAGACAGAATCATGGGCTTGGAAGTAGCATCATCTTCCAGGCTGCGGTGTAACTCGCATTCCCAAGGAACAGACTGTTGGCAAACCCTTTGGTCTCCATCCTTGGGATTTCTTCTTCTCCTCTACATTTTGTTTCTCTTTCTCTTTTTTTCTAAATCATTTTTTCTTTTTCCGACCAATGATGTTTGTCCTTTTGTCCTAGGACTGGATCTCATTTATCTTTCTGGGAATAGCGCCATCTCTAAGGACTCCAGGTTAACCCACTTCATATCTAATCATTCCAGTCTAGATACTAAATATTGCAGTGTCAGTCAACATTCCCAGGGCCAGATCTTACCTCATACCTCAGGTTCATAACTTTCTTGACTATATTGGGTTTTGTCCTACTTTCCTCATTCTTGGCCATGTGTATTTTGTCCTATCCTGGGAACAAGGAGAGGAGTGAAGAGCTTTCTCTTCCATTTCATTATTAACCCTGCTCCCACATTCTTCCCAGAAAGCCAGGAAATACAATGCCAATGTTCTGCATTGAGTTTATATTTCATGTATAATTAACTTTTGTGTTGAACATGAATAAACTGAAAATTTCTTGAAATAGAAACAATTTGATAGAATTTTGTGGGTACAGTGTATACAATCCATGTCGAATACATTACTGACATCTAAACTTGTTATAGATTTTTTGTTCCATCATGTACTAATTCAGTAATTCTATTGCAATAAAACTAACATTTGTTTGTTGGTTATAATTCATTCTTGGTAAGGCTTTTTCTGTGTTTTGCTTATGCTTCCATTATCTCCTAGATGAGCACTTTCGTGTATCTAATTTAGAAGCATTACATTAAGAACAGTAAGAGAAAATCCTTTAATCTATATTTCCGCTTAAAATAAGATTATAATAACATGTGCTCCACCAGATATAGATGTTCACAAAACATAAGCAAGTGTGAATATTTCTTATAACCACTTCTGAAGAAATAGAAGGGCTCCTATTACATGCGCTGTAGCAAATTATAAAGTCATAAACACATACTCTTCAAAGTAGCAATAGGCAAATCAGGGAGAGAGAGACAGAGAGAGAGGGAGCACAGTGTTGCTCCCAGAAGACAATGAATTTATTGCTACCACTGAAGAAATTTTTGGAAAGGCTGAAGCTTTTTGCTAACATGTACAATAACAACTGCAAAAGGAATAGGACCTGCAATCTTCAGTTGAATCAGTCTGTTTATAATCTCATTTAAGATTGGTAGAGACAAACATAGGTCATGGCTTTCTCATCACTCGTTAATTCACTCACTCATTCAAAACACAAATAGATGCACGCTATGCTAGACACTGGGGATACAAATGGTTACAACAATCCCTGAAGTTTCTCAAAGCCAGTGGGAGAAATAGGCATATAAACAACTAATATCATGCACTCTCCTATTGGACACTTGAAGACTGCCTAATGGACTGTGGGACTACAATATAAGATACTGTCAATTTGTCCTAAGAAGGTCACTCATGGGGAAGTGAAGACTGAATTCCATCGCAAAGGAATAGTCAAATTTTCCAGGCCAACAGGGAAAATGCTATTCCAGATGGCAGGAACATTGTGAACAAAGTTAAGGATCAAGGAAAAAATATAAGTATGAAGAGATGACAGTAGAGCCACATTGTTCAGTACGAAGGGTGGAGTATTTGGTGGAGAGAAATGAGAATTAGGAGGGAGAGATGGACAGGGTCAGATCAAAAAAGGTCATGGTCAACCTAAAACTAAGGAGCTTAGAATTCATCATGAGACAAGTAGGAGTCATTCAAAGATGTTATAAGGTGCAACATGATGAGATTTGCATTTCAGAAGCGCAGCGCTGATAGTGGTGCAGAGGCTGGATTACAGGTGGGAATGGAGGAGCTATGGTGGAGGCCAGGGTAGGAGAGAAAGGAGTGTGAGGAGTGGTGGGGTGAGTGGGGTGGGGATGGATTTCCTAAAAAGGTGATAGAGGAAGGGAGATTGGCTTGGGGCATTCAGAGGCAAAAACAGAAGGAAAAAAAATCTAAAAGGAAGGAGCAGTGATAGGCCTGTGTGCCAATTTGAATAATACTGCAATTGTTTATTGAGAGATCATGATGTACAAAACATGCTATTTTAATACTCACTGCAATTAATTTTGGAAATTTTTTCACATTTTATCAATTGATATCCAGAGGAGTTAAATCACTTACTGAAGGCCATGCCAATTTCAAGTTAAGGGATGAGATTAAAACTAAATGCTACTAGATACAGAGCTGGTGTCCTCTCAACTATATTCTTTGGCCCTCTTAACTGGATCAGCAACGGGGGAGAGGGCAGAGACTAGAATAGCTCCTCACAGTTCTCTGGATCTGCTTGGATGCTGACCAGTTTGGAGGAAGAAGATGAATTAAATGGAGGTAGCTGAGGGATATCCAGGTGCAAAAGATAAATAAGCAGTTGGATACATGAGTCTGAAGAAGGTTCCTGGTGACACTGGTTGGTAGATAGACTGAGAGCTGAAATTCACCTGCAGTAATTGTTACTCTGTGTCTTCCTGTTGTATTTATGGGTCAGCTCAATATATCTTTTCCTCTATCTTTTAAAGTTAGAATTTACAATACCTACCTAATAGTTACTTCCTGAAGGGTAAAAATCTTTTGTATTAGTTTTTCTTTGGTCATCTATTTATTAATGCTATCCTCAACAAATATGTATTCATTAACCATTGGGTGCATTGTGCAAATTACACCACACTATTTGATGGAAAGAACGAGGTCTCTTCTTGCTAAATAGTTCTAGTCATCTCCCTTTTATAGTTTCCTTTACTTTGTCTTAAGAGCAAATTATTTTTCTATTCATTATTCATCTTATTACATGTTCTTTTTGCTTCACTTTAATCCTTTCTTGCAGGAGAAAGATTATAAATAAAAACATCTATATATAACTATAAAGCTTACACTCTCATAGCTGGCACAGAGTTTGTGCAAAAGCAAAAAGATGAACACTTTAGCTCTTTTGTAGGTATGATTTTTGAGTTGAGATGGCAGGAAAATTAAGTGGGATTTTGATATAAGAGTAACAAAAGGAAGCCTCTAGGGAGAAAACAGATAATACATTGAGAATAAATAGAAATTATGTCTCACGCTGGCTCTGCCACAGCAATTCCTCTCCCTTCCCCATAATTAATTATTATCTGGTTTAACTGAGAAAATATGAGACAATCTCAAATTTCCTCAGAGCTAGAATACAATGTACCATTTTATTAGCCCTAGAACAACATGAACAGAAGCTTTAGTGGTAGCGTTACTGTCTATGCTGAGGTTTGTTAGCAATGCATTATTACCTAAGAGATGGCTGCTTAGTTCAGACAGTTAACTGGAGGTCACTAAAATGTTCTGCTCTTGAAAGAGAAAGAGGGGGACAAAACATTGGGGAGAGAGAGAGAGAGAGAGAGAGTGAATGTTCCTTCTTCACAGAGCAATTTGTGTAAATGCATGGTCCAATGGCCCTGATATCCATTAATTAAATTTCTAGACTTCATAGCATTCGCTGATGAATCATGATGAAAAAAGTTGGAAGGGAATAGGAAACACATACGCTGCAGCATCCGGTTTCGCCAGAGTTGGGCCCTTGAGAATTATTAAGTGATACTTTGACATAATTCAGAATTAACAAAATCTGCCTGCTCTCTAAAAGTGTGTCTTTTCATAATTTAAGTAAGTCATGCAAATTAGCTTAGATCTAAATGTGAGCTCCATTGTTGCCTGCAAGTCAGCATGACTTCATGATTGGTGATATAATAGTATCATCACCCCAGGGAAGGATATTTCTGTGAAATTAAGTGATATAGTTCTATCTGAGTAGGAATATTGTACCTGAAAAATCCTGCTAATAAATATAGGTCTTATTTTGATATTTTGGAATTTTATAGGGAATTAAATATAATAAAATCATGCATCCGACTGAGGTCAGACATCTGAGAAAAACAGGTCAGTCAAATCCTGATTCCTGTGAAATTTACCAAGGGGCTTTTAAAATGGCCAAACGTTAAAGTACCTAGCACGATGCTTGAAATATAATCTGTGGAAATACACTAAACTAAAATGACCTTGTCCAGTCTCATGGCTTCAAATACCAGCCCCATGCTAATGATCAAATTTTCTATGCATTCAAAACTCCTGAACTCAGATTTAGATATCTAACATCTCTGCTGGTTTCTTCACCTTACTGTTTCCCACAACAAACTTCTTTCTTTTCTTAATCCATTTCCCCCCACCTTTTCCATTATATTCAACCTAATTAAATAGGGATGTTTGGCTCAGGCTATGAAATTTGACTCACATTCCATGTCAAATTCATCACCAAATCCTGTCAACTCTACTTCAAAGATATTTTCAAAATACGACCACCTCTTACCAGTACCACTCTAGTTCAAATCATCCTATCTCTTTCCTAGGTGACTGCAATAACATCTCACTACCTAAATCTACCCTTTGTCCTATAGTCAATTCTTATCTCAGCAGACAGCAGACTATTAAAGCTGTGAACCATATCAGCCTCCATTTCAAGTGTCTTCAGTGGCTTCCATTTCACCTCCAGTAAAATAGAAATCTCCACAATGACATCTAAGACTCTCCATGGTTGGTCCCCTTCTTGCCTTACAACTAAAAACTCTTCTACCATTTCCACTCTATTTACTCTGCTGTAGCAGGGAGACCTATTTGCTGTCCCTTAAACAAAGCAGATGTCTTTCTCCTCTGGTCTTTGCATTTGCTGGTCCTATTACTGGGAGTGTTCTTTTTCCCATCCTCTTGATGACTTCCCTCATCTCCTTCAAGTCCTCGATGGAATGTTCTTACACAGTGAGGACTTCCCTGGCAACCATATTTAAAACAGAATCTTCAGTCCCATGTCCAGCACTCTTTATGCACCGTCCCTGTTTTATAATAGTTTGAGAAAATGAGTAAGTGTTTTGGGGACACAGCACTTACTATCATCTGACATCATGAGGCATAAAACTGTATTTCTTACTTATTTTATGTATTTGTTTGCCTTCCATCATAACTAAGCATTTAGTAGAGATTGTCTATTTTATTCACAATGGTATTCCTAATTCCTTAAAAGTGTTTGGTATAAAACAAACATACTTTGAGCATTTGTTGAATAAAGGAATTATATGTAAAATTATGGTCAGGCATTATTCGAGGGGAAAACTCTTAGTGTCTAAACAAATTTATTTGGATACCTGGTAAATTATACTATAACTAATTTGGGAAATAAATTTGTTCCTCTTATGTCAATTGAGGGAAGCTTTGGCAAGAGCATTCTGCTTCATCTCCAAGTCTTTTTCTTCAAAGCCTATTGTTATTTTTTTCAAATCTGACAACCCTATGAGACCCACCCAGCTGAAGATTAGCTGGGATGCCCAGTTCCTGTTCTCACTGTGGGGCACCAGATTTTCTGGGCAAGCAGTGTGAGTAGATAAAGCAATGAGATGGGGTGAGGTTACAGGCATCAGCCCATTCTAGGCTTTGCTCTTCAACACATACTGTCCTCCTGAGCCAGGACGCAGACCATGGCTACTTTTGCCCCTGCATGTCTGTTCTGATTTCTTTCTTCATATGGGATGTCTCACTATTCTTCTGCTTTGAATATGGAGCTTCAGTCTCTAAGCTAAAAGGCCAAGTACAGATTCACCTGCCAATGAAGCTCTTTAAATTCTCTCTTCTTTCTCAGGACTCATTGGCTGTAAGTCCATGGAGCAAAAACAGAATTTGCTACTTTTCAATGACATTGTTTTAGTTGAGTTGTGTTTAACTAACTTGTTGAATGAACGGACACTGTACATTCTCCCTGTAAAATAACAGTGTGTTTTCTATTATGCCTATGTAAGTCTGTTGCCTCAAATTGACGTTATGTTGTTAACTTATCTACCAGACAGTTTATTTAGGTTGTATTCAAGTTGGTCTTTTGTGACATAAATAAAATCAGGGATGTGATTATAATAGAGTGGTGCTATTTATGTAAAAATATCTGGGTCTTGAAAAGATTAGAAAAAGCTAAGCTGATTACTAGGAGGGCTAAGCAATGTAAATTTTTAAGAAAAAATTATAAAATTAGAATAATCAGAATAGCAAAAATTTAATAAGCTAAAAGGTTTTTGCACTTCAATTACTTTTTTTGTTCTACTTTAAACAAGTAAAAATTTAGAATTATAATTGACTTCTTATGATCCTAATTTATACAAAGAAGACAATGTATAGAAACTCCAGTTAGTAGAGTAATAATCAAAGGGTCCTGGACTTATATCAAAATATTGGCCAAATAATTTACATTTCTGGTTTTTTTTAACCCCATGATCCTCCTCCTTAACTCACTTTTTAGATTAACTATCAAAAAACTGGTCTCAATTATATTTGAATAGAAGTTTTCTACTCTATTGTTCTCTAACTTGACCGTGCTCAGTACCCTTAATTAAAATATATAATTCTTTAGTAAATAGTTTTCATAGATGTTTTCTTTCTAACTGGTTAGATGAAAGCTACCCAATAATGGTCAGGTTGAATAGTCGTGGGGTAGGCTCAGTGTTGGTCTGTGGAACGCTGCTGTAGGTCTCCACAAACCTAAGACACAGAGACGCACCCTTAGAATTATCTACTTAACAGTAGAACTGTGACTGAACCTGAGGCTTGCCTGACTCCATACTTCTTGGTGTTATTCACAGCACCACAGCCTAATTTTGCTTGTTTCTTTATTTGAAGAAATCTTGAAAAAGAATTGCATTCTTTGATTTTTCTAGTTAATTAAAAATTTCATTGGAATCAGCAATATCTTACTGTGATGGCAATTGTATCTCCTAAAAAATCACAGTGGAGATATATTTGGAATAAAAATATCCAAATATTTAAGTAGTACATTCTCAAGTATCTGAGTAGTATATTCTATAAATTTTGTCTGCAGGCTTAGAAATAACCTTAGTATAATGTTAATAAAAATCAAACTAGCTATTCAAAATATACTCGTGGCATTGGCTATTTGGGGGTAATTTTCACCAACCATCAACATCTGTATTCATATATTTATGTGATGGTATTGTTATTTCTGCAGTCTTGGTCAACAAAATTTACTCATGTTTGATATAATTTCCACATACCCATAGCATGTCTTTGGAAGTAATGCAGTGCTTGAAATTTAAGGAAAAAAATATCTGGTTAGGATTCCAAAATGTAAATCATTGAATAAAATAGTGCCATTTACTTTTAAGATGAGGATAGTGTTTTGATGGGAGGACATAGGTGATTTTGTGAACAACAAAATAATCTTGAAGCCACATACATATGGTAAATGTTTACACTTAGGACTATGTGGGAATGGCAGCAGTCATTTCTAATAAATAACGTGTGAAAATCAACAGGTCAGTTCCAAAAACACCTCCTGCTTGTTCATGGCATAAAGCCAAAGCTCCGCTATATGAATATTACATATGCTTTTGACAAAACATCTAGTCTTACACCAGACACAATATTCTAGTTTCCTGAAGAGGTAACTTTATTAAAGCATGTGCTAAGTAAACTATAAGATTCATATTAGAAACTTTAGTCCTATAGCTGTTTCTATTTATTTGGAGTTTAAAAAAATGGCATTATTGTACAGGTACCTGCTTTATAGTTAAAAAAAAAAAAAAAAGGAAGGGGGCAAAATAAATCAATCACACTCTCAAAGCATCAAGGAAATTTATAGTGGAATTATGAATCATATCATTGCGGGGTCATTTTCCTTTATATCATGATATCATATGAGACCAATGTCAAATGGAATAGGTAAAAAATGGACAAAAAGTTTTTTTGGGGGGGGGAGCTGCAGACTGAGTTATTTTATTTCACTATTTCCAGTTTGAAGCTACTATCATGGGCGTTTGGAGTTATACAAATGACACTTACAAAAAATAAAAGACCAGGACACCCAGAGTGAGATGCATGTCGGGGACGGGACGGGGGAGACTGGCAGCAGGGGGGCCCTGGCGGCTCACCCCAGGGCTCCCCGAGGGGGCGACGCCTGGCTTCATCCACCCAGGAGGCCCAGGAAGCACCAATCACAGCGGGGGCTCTGGCCCAGGCATCCGCAGCCCAGGCCCAGGGCTGGGGCTGGACCGGAAGGACGGAAAGAGGGGGCTGAGATGCACCCCCTGGGGAGGGTGCTGAGACGCCCCACCCACATCACTCACTACTACAGCCAGGCTTGCCTGGGACGCCTCCAGCAATAATATTTCATTAAAAAAAAATACCGATTTGGTCATTTTCTGCTTCCGGTCAGGCTAGGGTGAAAGGAAAGAGGAGGAAGACGGCCCCCACACCCCTACCCCCCCGCCACCACCACCCTGGCAGAACATGCAGCGGGCAGACCCTGTGGCCGTCACACCCTGCCGCTCCAGGGAAGGGAGCCAGGCTGAGCCTCTGCCACGTGGGAGAGGGGCTGTTTCCAGCCACCACCCAAAAAAACACCGAGGCTCAGTCCTCGCCCACCTGACGGCTTCCCTTCCCAAGCAGGGGTTTCGGGACAGTGCACCAGGGAGGGCCACTGACAGGCTTGGGACACGTGCCCAGCTCCTGGGGGGCTGGGAGGAGGTGGCTGGGAGGGGCAAGAGATTCCAGTTACACTACACGCCCAGGGCTCCCAGCCCCCAACCGTCCCTTAGCCGCTTCCAGAGAAATAAGGCTCAGAGCCGTCTGAGGTCAGAAGAAAGAGGTGCCAGACTCGCCCCGTGGCAGACAAGAGGGCAGGGGCATCTGAAATCCCTCCCAGGGCCAGGCCGCAGCCGCTGACCCGAGGGGAGTAGGGAACCAGGGCGGAGGGGAGACTGGGAAGTCCATAGGGGCGACAGGTGGGGGCACCGTTTTCTCTGGGGTTTCCAGTTTGAAAGGCAAGGGGGCTTGCCTCCCGCCCGGGGGAGCCCACCTGGAGGAGAAGGGGTTAGCAGGGAGGGTTGGAAGGAGCCGCCACGTGGGCAGGAACCGGGAAGGGCGGGCGGGCCCTAGTACTCCCAGAGCGAGGCGGGGTGCACGGTCTCCGCGGAGGCCCTTAGGACCCCTGCGTGGTCGCCCTTCAGGTAGCGCCCGTCCATCTTGATGGCCTCCTTGTTGTAGTCGCAGAACTCGAAGAAGAAGTCCACAGGAGTGTCGCCGCTGCTGGTGACCGCGGAGTCACTGCCCACCGTCCAGTATTTGCCTGTGGAGTCTTTGATGTTGTAGGTACCATTGTTGAACTCCAGCTGGAAGACGTCATAGCTGCAGCGGTTGGCGTCCAGGGTGCCCCGACCTTGCGGCAGCCGATAAAGCCGTGCTCCCCGCGCAACACGGTGATGGCGCGGTTGATGAACTTCATGAGGAAGAGCTCTGAGTCCCCTGCTGTCTCCACCGAGGCGGCCAGCTGCCCATTCTTCTTAGATGTCACAAACTTGCCATTGGACGCCCGCAGTGTGATGCGCCGGTCACGCCGCTCAATGTCGAAGTAGCAGCTGGCATTCTTGGTGGAGGCGGTGGACTGCACGCCCCCAGTGGCCGTCAGCGTCCAGTACTTGCCCCTGTGGGTACAGAAGGCACACTTGTTGTTGTCGCGGTCGATCTCCAGCTGGAAGGTCTCCTGGTCGGTCTCCTCGTCCGGATTGGCAGACAGGTCCATACCCTGGCGCGTGGACACATTCCTCCCGTTGGCCGCCTGCAGCACGACCTGGGCGCAGCTCTGCTCCAGGGCAAAGAGCTCGTCCTTGCCCACCTTGGTGGCCTTGCCCGCCTTGAGCGTGCCGCTGGGCCCCGACGGCGCCAGGTAACGGCCCTCGCAGTCGCGGAAGGCCACATTGCCGGAGCGGAACTGCAGCGTGTAGCCAGTGGCCGGCTCGGGGCGCGCCACCAGGCGCCTGTCATGGCGCAGGAAGCGGTGGTCCGCGGTCTGCACGCTGTAGCGCTGCTCCTGGAAGGCGAGGGTGACGAGCGAGTCGACGCCCCAGGGCACGTCGCGGTCCACTGCGATCTCGTCGGCCGGCGGCGCGCTCAGGTGCGCCTAGCGCTTAGGGGTGACGCGGTAGATGTTGACCTGAGGGTGCATGGCGATGTGCACGCTCCACTTCTCGGCGGGGGACACCGTCTGCGCGAAGCACGACAGGCGGTCCTCCGTGCCGCCGAAGGAGCGCCGGTGCGCCTCGGACTGCAGCGACCAGCGGCCGTCGTCGTGCGCCACGGTGAGGAAGCGGCAGTCGGGACCGGGCACCTCGCGCTCGCAGGTCACATTGCCGTCCTTGTCCGCCGCCAGGTAGCGGCCCAGGTGGCTGCGCAGGCACACGGCCGCGCTGCCCGCCTAGTCAGGGGGCTGCTCCAGCGTCCAGATCTGCTGCTTCTTCAGGCTGCTGGCCGACGCGTTAACCTTGAACCCGAACGCCTCCGCCCTCAGGTACTTGTTGCCGCAGTTGATGAGGCCGAACCGGATCTGCACCGCCTCGGCTGTGCCGTTGGCGGTCATGGTGGCGGTGGACGGGAGGCCGCGGCGCGGCCCCGGGAGGTGGGTGGCGGGTCCCCGCGGCGGCGCCCCTGCTCCTTTGTTCGGCGGCCGGGGCGCGCACGCACCTCCCGCAGCGCTCCACCAAAACGTTTTAAAATCATTTCAGTTAACAGATTTAAACAGAGTTTAGCTATGAAGCAATGAGTAATGGAATACAAACTAGTGAAAAAGATGAACAACTAGGGATTAAATGTTGAGGAAAATTCTTTTCTAATGAATTAATTTTGAATCGATAAGAGACAAAGAATAGGGACTTTTAAATATACAACTTTGGTGACAAAGTATTTGTCTATACAAGTTTCTTATGTCTAGTGCCTTCCTTACCTCCCCAATATTATTTTATAACTCTCTGATAATTTCTAAAAGATACATATGAGATATTCATATCTAAAAAAGTCACCAATATTTTGAACTAGTATCAAAAATAAAGAAGTATTTGACATAGGTTTATTTACTGGTTTTTACATAAATAAAATACAAATATAAATCACAACAGCAAAGATAATAATTAAAAACTGCATACTCACCTTAGGGTTTTTAAATAAGCTAATTGTTTTTCTTCTACACAAATAGCTAAAAATGTACAGTGAATACAAATGTACTTAATTTCTCCTTCTTTTTCTATATTTTGATTGGCTAGTGAACTGTCAAAAAGTGATGATGCTGAATTTTTGCTATTTTCTCTCTAAAGTGATGTTCTGAAAGAAATATATATATAATTTGCGGTTGTGAAGAAGCCCTTTTTTTAGTGCTAATTTATTTCCTTTGCGTACTTTGCAGTGGACATACATGTTAAAAATTTAACAGAAAGAAGAGGATAAAATAATCATGACATGAAGCCCTTTTAGAAATTAGCAATGTTCTCTATTAATAATGGTGTGATGATATGCCACTCCATGAGCTCTTGAACCAAGTTATTCATTATTTCTCTGCCACATGGAAGCAGGATATTTGGTCTTTGTCCTATCTCAATGCGATGCCTATGGTTTTGTTACAGAAACCTTAATTTTGCCTGCTTTTAAGTAAAGCAGTTTTTATGCAGACTTCTCAGAGGGCAGCCAGATAACTTTCAAGCACATTTGAAACACCAGAGGTGACTCTGCCAAGTGCCCCAGAGAAAAATTCAAACTATGATAAAGACACTTCTTCAACCCATCTTTCTAAAGTTGCTGACTCTACAGGTTTATTATAAGCATTAGACGAAACCAGTGAGAGGCATGTGTCAAAGCTTGAATGTGCAGCTCCAGGTTAGAATGTCAGCTTTTCCTTTGGGTTACTGAAGAAGGAGAAAAGCCATTATCCATGCATGAAACAATAAGATATATGGCCAATGAAATGGAAGGCATACATTTGGTAATCCAATCCCAATATTTGCCATTTGCTTTAGTGGGGCTAAAATAGGTCACTTAAGTGGTTTATGCTCCACCTTCTAGAAGTGAGCAGAAAAATATTTTAAATTAATGGTTATTTTACCATCAGCATTTTTTTAAAATTGAAAATGGAACACCGGTTTTATAACTAGTTTCTTCATTTTATTATTTAATGAGGTGGCTAGCCTTGATTTGAAAGGTTTTTTCTAACATGACTAGCTTTCTGACACTCTAATGCCCATTTTCTAAGACTTCTGTGCTGTAAGCTATTTTAACAAAGGGTAAGTGGTATGTCTTTAAATTCTGATTTTAGAGGAATTCCTAAGTTCTCACTACTTTCACATATTATTTTATCTACTGTGGAATGATAACTTTGTTAACATGAAGCTTTTCAAGCTGTCACTGTATTCCATCGGGTATTTCGGTTGGTTCATCAAAGTGAAATGAAATGAAAATGCAGGAAAAACAAATGAATAGAACACAATTAAGAGTAATTCATTTTGGCCAGGTCCGGTGGCTCATGCCTGTACTACCAGCAGTTTGGGAGCTCAGGAGTTAGAGACCAGCCTGGCCAACCTGGTGAAACCCCGTCTCTACTAAAAATACAAAATGTAGCCAGGCGTCATGGTGCACGCCTTCTGGTACTGGAAGGCTGAGGCAGGAGAATCACTTGAACCTGGGAGGTGGAGGTTGCAGTGAGCCGAGATCATGCCACTGCACTCCAGCCTGGGCGACAGAGCGAGATTCCCTCTCAGAAAAAAAAGACTAATTCATTGAAACACCAGTTTGTAAAGCATCAGGGATGCTTTTCTCTTGTTAACTACAACATTGTTGTTGAAAACTCTGCTAAAATTTCACATTCTTTTTTTAAAAAGGTAAATGAATTTTAATAACGTATTATGCATAAAAATTATTTAAAGTTGACATTAATATAAAACTTATTGAGCTACTTTAAAGTTTTTTTCACTTCCTTTTTAAACTTTTATTTTAGGTTCGGGGGTACAAGTGCAGGTTTGTTACATAGGTAAACTTTTGTCATGGGGGTTTGTGGTACAGATTATTTCATCATCCACGTATTGAGCCTAGCACCCATTAGTTATTTTCCCTGATGATCTCCCATCTCTCTGCCTCCTCTCTCTGAAAGTCCCCAGTGTGTGTCGTTCCCCTCTGTGTGTCCATGTGAGTTCTCATCATTTAGCTCCCACTTACAAGTGAGAACATGTGGTGTTTTTCTCTTCCTATATTAGTTTGCTAAGGATAATAGCCTCCAGCTCCATCCATGTCCCTGCAAAAGACATGGTCTCTGTTCTTTTTTATGGCTGCATAGTATTCCATGGCATATATGTACCACATTTTCTTGATCCAGTGTGTCACTGATTGCCATTTTGGTTGGTTCCATGTCTTTGCTATTGTGAATTGTGCTGCAGTGTACATATGCATGCATGTGTCTTTATAACAGAATGATTTATATTCCTTTAAGTATATACCCAGTAATGGGATTGCAGGGTCCAATGCTATTTCTGTCTTTAGGCTTTTGAGGAATTGCCACACTGTCTTCCACAATGGATGAACTAACTTACACTCCCACTAACAGTGTATAAGCATTCCTTTTTCTTCACAACTTCACCAGCATCTGTTATTTTTTGACTTTTTAGTAATAGCCATTCTGGTTGGTGTAAGATGGTATCTCATTGTAGTCTTGATTTGTATTTCTCTAATTATCATGAACAGACAGTTTTGAAATTTTTACAATCTTATGAAGACAAATGAATACAGAATTTTCTGAGCTGGGGTACAAATGGCTTTTCTGGGGCAAGATTATAGAGATTAACAAAATGAGATGGGGAGAAATTGAGCTACATTATTGTCAAATTTAGCTTGCTGGGAGTAAAAAACAAAAAACCAACAAAACTGAAGTCTTGCACTTATTAGTAACTATTTCTGGCTTCCTTCCCTCTGCTAAACATGGATTGTCAGATTTCTCTCTGTGAGTTGTCCTCATCCACTACTAGAGTCAGTCAATGGCCCTACACTGTATTCCCTGGCAATGATTTTGCAAGGAGTTTCGTTCAGGTTCTTAACACTTTAAGATAATGTCAACATTCTTCCTTAACTTCTCTCTGCTTCCAATGTCTTCCATTTCTAATCCGCCCTGCACACAGAACATTTTATTTATCCTTCTTAAATACAGAAACTACTCTCAATTGTCTACAGGATAAAGCACCAACCTTTTAAACTTTACCAAACTAACTTGGAAAAGTAATTTCCTGGGAGAAGCGGCGTCGGCGGCTGGAGCAGAGGCAGCAGCGGGAGGAGCAGCAGAGGCGGTCGGGAGCGATGAAGATGGCGGCGGGGGGCGGCAGAGGCGGCGGTGGCGGCTACTAAGGCGGCGGCAGTGAGGGCGGCGGTGCCCCTAAGCGGCTCAAGACTGGCAACGCCGGCGACCAGCACGGAGGCGGCGGCGGCGGCGGTGGCGGTGGAGGAGGCGGGGCGGCGGGGGCGGCGGCGGGGAGAACTACCATGACCTGCACAAAACCCCTGCCTCCCCAGTTGTCCACAGCAGGGGCCTGATTGACGATGTGGTGGAAGCTGACCTTGTGGAGGCCTTGCAGGAGTTTGGACCCATCAGCTATGCGGTGGTAATGCCTAAAAAGAGACAAGCACTGGTGGAGTTTGAAGATGTGTTGGGGGCTTGCAACGCCGTGAGCTACGCAGCCGACAACCAAATATACATTGCCGGTCACCCAGCTTTTGTCAACTACTCTACCAGCCAGAAGATCTCCCTCCCCGGGGACTCGGATGACTCCCGGAGCGTGAACAGTGTGCTTCTCTTTACCATCCTGAACCCCATTTATTCGATCACCACGGATGTTCTTTACACTATCTGTAATCCTTGTGGCCCTGTCCAGAGAATTATCATTTTCAGGAAGAATGGAGTTCAGGCGATGGTGGAATTTGACTCTGTTCAAAGTGCCCAGCGGGCCAAGGCCTCTCTCAATGGGGCTGGTATCTATTCTGGCTGTTGCACTCTGAAGATGGAATACGCAAAGCCTACACGCTTGAATGTGTTCAAGAATGATCAGGATACTTGGGACTACACAAACCCCAATCTCAGTGGACAAGGTGACCCTGGCAGCAACCCCAACAAACGCCAGAGGCAGCCCCCTCTCCTGGGAGATCACCCCGCAGAATATGGAGGGCCCCACGGTGGGTACCACAGCCATTACCATGATGAGGGCCACGGGCCCCCCCGACCTCACTACGAAGGGAGAAGGATGGGTCCACCAGTCGGGGGTCACTGTCGGGGCCCAAGTCGCTACGGCCCCCCAGTATGGGCACCCCCCACCCCCTCCCCCACCACCCGAGTATGGCCCTCACGCCGACAGCCCTGTGCTCGTGGTCTAAGGCTTGCATCAATCTAAGATGAACTGTGACCTAGTCTTCAATGTCTTCTGCTTGTATGGCAATGTGGAGAAGGTGAAATTCCTGAAAAGCAAGCCGGGGGCGCCATGGTGGAGATGGCTGATGGCTACGCTGTGGACCGGGTCATTACCCACCTCAACAACAACTTCATGTTTGGGCAGAAGCTGAATGTCTGTGTCTCCAAGCAGCCAGCCATCATGCCCGGTCAGTCATACGGGTTGGAAGATGGGTCTTGCAGTTACAAAGACTTCAGTGAATCCCGGAACAATCGGTTCTCCACCCCAGAGCAGGCAGCCAAGAACCGCATCCAGCACCCCAGCAACGTGCTGCACTTCTTCAACGCCCCGCTGGAGGCGACCGAGGAGAACTTCTTTGAGATCTATGATGAGCTGGGAGTGAAGCGGCCATCTTCTGTGAAAGTATTCTCAGGCGAAAGCGAGCGCAGCTCCTCTGGACTGCTGGAATGGGAATCCAAGAGCGATGCCCTGGAGACTCCGGGCTTCCTGAACCATTACCTGATGAAAAACCCAATGGTCCATACCCTTACACTCTGAAGTTGTGTTTCTCCACCGCTCAGCACGCCTTCTAATTA